>NC_000010.11:30314282-30618564 GCF_000001405.40 Homo sapiens | reverse complement strand
TGCTTTTGTCAGGTTTGTCAAAGATCACATAGTTGTAGATATGCAGTATTATTTCTGAGGGCTCTGTTCTGTTCCATTGATCTATATCTCTGTTTTGGTACCAGTACCATGCTGTTTTGGTTACTGTAGCCTTGTAGTATAGTTGGAAGTCAGGTAGCGTGATGCCTCCAGCTTTGTTCTTTTGGCTTAGGATTGACTTGACAATGCGGGCTCTTTTTTGGTTCCATATGAACTTTAAAGTAGTTTTTTCCAATTCTGTGAAGAAAGTCATTGATAGCTTGATGGGGATGGCATTGAATCTATAAATTACCTTGGGCAGTATGGCCATTTTCACGATATTGATTCTTCCTACCCATGAACATGGAATGTTCTTCCATTTGTTTGTATCCTCTTTTACTTCCTTGAGCAGTGGTTTGTAGTTCTCCTTGAAGAGGTCCTTCACGTCCCTTGTAAGTTGGATTCCTAGGTATTTTATTCTCTTTGAAGCAATTGTGAATGGGAGTTCACTCATGATTTGGCTCTCTGTTTGTCTGTTATTGGTGTATAAGAATGCTTGTGATTTTTGCACATTGATTTTGTATCCTGAGACTTTGCTGAAGTTGCTTATCAGCTTAAGGAGATTTTGGGCTGAGACAATGGGGTTTTCTAGATATACAGTCATGTCATCTGCAAACAGGGATAATTTGACTTCCTCTTTTCCTAATTGAATGCCCTTTATTTCCTTCTCCTGCCTGATTGCCCTGGCCAGAACTTCCAACACTATGTTGAATAGGAGTGGTGAGAGAGGACATCCCTGTCTTGTGCTAGTTTTCAAAGGGAATGCTTCCAGTTTTTTCTTTTCTTTTCTTTTTTTTCTTTTTCTTTTCTTTTTTTTTTTTTTTTTTTTTTTTGAGACAGAGTCTCACTCTGTCACCCAGGCTGAAGTGCAGTGGCACGATCTCGGCTCACTGCAACCTCCGCCTCCAGGGTTCAAGCAATTCTCCTGCCTCAGCCTCTGGAGTAGCTGGGATTACAGGCGTGTGCCACCACAGCCAGCTAACTTTTGTATTTTTAGTAGAGACAGGTTTTGCCATGTTGGCCAGGCTGGTCTCAAACTCCTGACCTCAAGTGATCTGCCTGCCTCAGCCTCCTGAAGTGCTGGGATTACAGGTGTGAGCCGCCGCGCCCGGTCGACATACTTTCCTAAGGAAATTCAGTTGTGTCCAATGAGTACTTTCAAAACATCCCAATTGTGCAACAAAATGCTCTAACAACATAGGAGGGGACAAACAACTTTACGCGGTGTCTGCTTCCTGGTCCTGCATGGCCTGACCCTTTCAGGAATCCTTACAGAACATTGCCAGCCAAGCAAACTGCCCTGCCCCCAGTACAAATGTGCACTTTCTGTACATGCCTGGGATGACCTCCAATCCCAGAATAATAGAATGTGATCTGCTTCCTCCTCACTGTGTCTCTCCAACCCCTAGAGACAGCCCCAAACCCATGTCTCCCAGGAAATACGCTAGACCACTTCCAAACACAAACGAGTGTCTCAGCATTTATTAAGCACTTATGCACCCGAAATAAAGGGTCTCTAAGTAATTTGAACATATATCAGGTACCAAATGCTTAAGTTTGGATAATCTCATAGGTAAATAATTACTAGAAAAATTAAAAGTATATTAAAAGTAAATAATTACTAGAAAAATTAAAAGTATATTTTCATTATCAACTTTATTAGCATATAGTGTTCCATGAGCAGGAATCTTGCTTAAGTGGCCTCTGTTGGAAGAAGGAATCAGAGGAAAACAGAATTTAAGCCCTCTATCGGAATACAGGCTCATTAACTGAGTGTGTGAACTTGGTTTATGGGGATAAAATGGTACCCATAGAAATGGTTGTTCTGAGGACTGATGGAGATTTTGCGTGAAGAGATTTAACATGTGCCTGACATAGAGTAAGATTTCAATAAAGTATTAGCTAGTGGTAATAGCTGTTATTATCCTAAATATTTATATCTCAAGAAGATAGGCAAAAGACTTTTTTGTTGTTGTTTGTTTGATTGTTTGTTTTGAGATGGATGTTTGTTTTGAGAGGATGGTCTCCATCTCCTGACCTGGCGATCTGCCCGCCTCAGCCTCCCAAAGTGCTGGGATTATAGGCGTGAGCCACCGCACCAGGCTGGCAAGAGAATTTTATAAGCTGATATAGCTTTAGTTTTCACTGTAGAACTATAAACCAAATGCTAGTGAATCTGCGTATGTTGTTTCAATTGCTATCTCTTATAGACGATGTATTTTGTTACTTTTTCTCCTGGTTAATAGAATTTTGTTTCAAATAAAAATTAAGCCACATTTAGAATAAATTTGCTTAAAAAAAATCTATCACTACGTTTATCTTCTAGTGAAGCCTAACTGAGAAAGCAACAAAATTAGCAACTCAAGGAAATAGCATGCTCAAGGAAAAATTCCACTTTCAACTGAGTTAACAAAATAATTTGGAATTACAATGCCTTATTGAAATGCAACATTTTATGCTAACATTATTTTTGGTTATTTTTCTGGTAATAAAAGTAGTACATTTCAATTGTAAAAAATTTTAGAAAATATACAGTAAAGACATAAAAGCATTGGTGAACCCACAGTTAAGAGCCAATCTTTCTTAAAATACTGGTGAATTAATGACTATCTTTTTTTTTCTAAACCAGTGCTATCTAATAGAACTTTCCATGATGACAAAAATGTCTTCCATCTGTGCTGTCAAACAGAACCACTAGCCATGAGTGGCTATAAAGTATCTGAGATGTAGCTAGAACAAATAAGGAACTAAAGTTTTAATTGTCTTTAATGTTAATTAATTACAATTTTTTATATTTTTCCCAGCTTTATTGAGGTATAACTGACAAATCAAAATTGTATATATTTAAAGTAAATAACATGATAATTTGATATATTTATACATTGGGAAATGATCACTACAATTGAGTTTAACATTACCTCACATAATTACTGTGTGTGTGTGACAGAGTGTGTGTATGAGAGACAGAGAGAGAGAGAGAGAGAGAAGAACACTTAAGATCCACTATCAGCAAATTTCAAGTAAGCAGTACAGTATAATTAACTATGGTCACAATAGCTTACCTTAGACCCCCAGACCTTCCTCACCTTATAACTGAAAGTTTGGACCCTTCCATCAGCATCTCCCCATTTTCCTAACCAGCCACCGCTCTACTCTCTGCTTTTATGAGTTCAACTTTTGTAGATTTTGCATATGCGTGAAATCATGTGGTATTTGTCTTTCTGGGTCTCACTTCCTTCACTTAGCATGACGTCCTTCCGTTCTTCCATGTTGTTGCAAATGTCAGCATTTCCTTCTTTTCCATGACTGAATAATATTCCACTCTCTATATAAACATATTTTTATCCATTCACCTGTCAACAAATATAATTTTAATTTAAATTATCACATGTTGCTAATGCCTGCCATATTGGCATTAGCCAATACAGCTCTCAATGGATATTTTTATGATATTGGGAACTTAACATTGCATTGGGAGCATTTCTCCATATTATTAAATATCCTGGGAAAACATAATTCAAACAGCTCTTTATTTTATTAAATGAAGGTATTATGACTAATTTGAATATCACTGATTATGAGGCAATTAGATTTTTTCATTTTAACTCTTGTAAATAATGCTATAGTAAACCACTTTGTAAAGAAATATTTGTCTAGTGTCATGACTATTTCCTTAGGATAGATCTGGAGAGAGAAATTATTAGGTGAAAGGATAAAAACCTCGTTAAGGCTCTAAACACATGCTGCTATGTTGGTTTCCTGAGACATTGAATCCATTATACTCCCACCAGCAAGTATCCAGAGAACCTGCCTCTCTGTGCCCTTGTCAACATCCAGCATTACCCAATTCTCTTAAAAAAAAAATCTTTGCATAATTGACAAGCAGTAATGAGATCAAGTGGTTTGAGTATTTTTGTCCTTGATTGGTGGTTGTGGTGGTCATGGAGATGGGCCTCCCAGATCCCCTGCTAAGGGAAGACATGCTGCCCCCGCTGCAGTTGTGTGATGAGCAGACAGTACCTGCCACCTGCTTCAGGATTGGCTTCAGGTGCAGGTTGCTCCCTTCCGGGGTGACCCACACCCATTGACGTGTGAGGCAGAGGCATTCAGACCTGGCATGTGGGCCTGACTTGGGCCACTCTGATGGGCAGTGCTCACTCGGGAGCTCATGGCTGGGCTGCCCAATGAATTGCTGGGTCTGCGTCACAAATGGACATCTCCGTCTGCCCATCCTGCTTCCCCCCAGCCGATTCCTTTCATAGGTGTGGATTGCTGAAAATATCTGGCATTTCAAACCCATCTCAGCATCAGCTCCTGGAGGACTCAACTTGCAGTAGAAGTAATGTTGAACTTGTTTTGTTTATTTGCCTTTTTCTGTCATGTTTGTGTTGAGGATTTTGAGGCCGCTTCTAAGCAAGCAGGAAAGAATGTGGATATCAACTAATACATTTCAATTCAAAGATTTGTTATGTCTGAAGCAATAGAAAAAATAATAGGTGGCGGGGCATGGTGGCTCATGTCTGTAATCCCAGCACTTTGGGAGGCCAAAGCCAGAGGATTGCTTGAGCCCAGGAGTTCCAGACCAGCCTGGTGAAACCCTGTCTCTACAAAAATAAAAATAAAAAATGGTCAGGCGTGGTGGTGCATACCTGTATTTCCAGCTATTTTGAAGGCTGAGGTGGAAGTATTGCTTGAGGCCAGGAGGTTGAGGCTGCAGTGAGCTATTATCATGCCACTGCACTCCAGCCTGGGTGACAGAGTGAGATTCTGTCTCAAAAAGGAAACAGAAAAGGAAAAGTAATAAAGACAAAGACTGGTGTATTTGATTTAAAAGGTAAAACTTTCTGCACATGAAAAACACCCTGGATAAAATTTTTTTAAGACACAAACTGAAAAATGACAATAGACAAAATTTAATATTTACCTGTAAAGAAACCTTACACGTCAAACTAACCCAAATACAGAAAACACTATACTATCCTGTCTTATGTGCCTTTTTTTTTTTTTTCTTAAGACAGAGTCTCACTCTGTTGCCCAGGCTGGAGTACAGTGATGTAAACACAACTCATTTCAGCTTTGACCTCCTGGGCTCAAGTGATTCTCCCACCTCAGACTCCCAAGTAGCTGAGACCACAGGTGTGTGCCATCACACTAGGCTATTTTTTTTACATTTTGTAGAGATGAGGTCTTGCTATGTTGCCCAGACTGGACTCAAACTCCTGGCCTCAAGTGATTCTCCTACCTTGGCCTCCCAAAGTACTGGGATTGCAGGTCAGCCACCACGCCCGGCCTGTGCCTATTTCTGTAGGACATAAGGAACATTTTCACATAGCGTCTTCTCTAAACACATTTCCAAAAACCCTTCAGGATTGGGCTCTTCCTCTGAAATGTCAGGTAGTGCAAGATGAAGATGGTCTTAAAACAAAAGCAAAGTTCTTTTCATTATGAAGAAGCTCAACAGAAATGAGATTGTGGCTTTGCAGGGAAAATTATAGTTCTTCCAACCTTCCCATCCCAAAAAGACTGAGAAAAATGAAGTAAACTTGAGTTGGGGTCCCTCTCCAACAACAAAGTCTCGCCTAACCCTGATGACCTCTCTTTTTACAGCCTTGGTCACTGATGACCTCACAGATGCGATTATCTGTGCCAAGAAAATTGTTAAAGAGACACAAGGAATGAACTATTGGTAAGAGTCTTTCCTTGGAAGACTTGGGCTGTCATGGGCAAAACCTAGTGTGTGTATTTATCACAGTTATGGTGGAATTGACAAACTCACCTCCGCAGAGTGGTCCAACCAATGGAAGGAGACCTTGTCTATATTCTCCTCCATCAGTGTGTGGGTGTGCAGTGAACATAGTAGTACATAGAAAGGGAGCAGAGACATGGGAGTGAGTTAAGATAATTTGCAATTGCTTTTCATATGAACATATTCCAAACAATGGAGAAAGGTATTTTCTAAAGTGACTTGGAAAGGGTCAATTGAGTCAATTCACCAGAGGGAAAAAAAAGCTTGAGTTTGCTCTAGATTTGGATAAGATTTTGAAGGTTACGGCAACATTTTGCAGGGAAAGAGAATGAGCAGCAGCAAGAGGAAAGTGAGCAGGTCTGTGTCATGGCGACTCAGCAGAAAGCGTCCCCAGCATTGAGCCTGGGGCCTTGCATTCCCCGCTGCTGTGTTCTGGTGAACATTGCCAGCCGGCCCCACTCAGGGAACCCGAATTTTCACAGATGTGGGTGTGACATGGAATGACCCATCCTTACAAAAGTTGATTGCTTGTTGCTGAGGCTAACAGTGGCTAGGAGAAAACCAGGAGATCAAAGTCTGAACTAGGCAAAATGACAGCGTCCTTTGATCTCAGAAGCAAATGAAACCCAACCCAGGGTTCCGCTGGCGATTTTGGTTAATTTCTGTAGACTTTGAAACTGAGACGGTTTGGATTGTCACGCTTCTTTCTGCTGCTCTTGCTTCCCTCTCGTCCTCAGGCAAGGCTGGAAGAAACACTGTGAGGGGAGAGACCTGTCCGACTGGAAAAAAGACTGTGAGGTTTCCTAAACTGGAACTGGACCCAGGATGCTTTGCAGCAACGCCCTAGGGTTTGCAGTGAATGTCCAAATGCCTGTGTCATCTTGTCCCGTTTCCTCCCAATATTCCTTCTCAAACTTGGAGAGGGAAAATTAAGCTATACTTTTAAGAAAATAAATATTTCCATTTAAATGTCTTCACCCTGACTCGGTTCCCTTTTCTCTTTCTTTCCTTTCTTTCTTTCTTTCCTTTCTTTTCTTTTCTTTCTTTCTTTCTTTCTTTTTCTTTCTTTCTTTCCTTCCTTCCTTTCTTTCTCTCTTTCTCTTCCTTTCTTCCTTCCTCCCTCCCTCTCTTTCCTTCTTTCTTTCTCTTTCTTTCTTTCTTTCTTTCTTTCTTTCTTTCTTTCTTTCTTTCCTTCCTTCCTTCCTTCCTTCCTTCCTTCCTTCCTTCCTTCTTTCTTTTTCCTTCCTTCCTTTTTTTTTTTTTTTCAGAGTCTTGTGCTCTGTCCCCCAGGCTGGAGTGCAGTCGTACGATTTCAGCCCACTGCAACCTCCACCTCCCGGGTTCAAGCGATTCTTGTGCCTCAGCCTCCCGAGTAGCTGGGATTGCAGGCATGTGCCACCACACCCAGATGGGGTTTCTCCATGTTGCCCAGCCTGGTCTCAAATTTCTGAGCTCAAGGTGATCTGCCCACCTTGGCATCCCAAAGTCCTGGGATTACAGGTGTGAGCCATCGCACCCCACCCTGACTCAGTTTCAATGATGTCTTAATGGCATCGTGTTAAGACTTGAAAAATTGCCTCCAAAATGCTCTAGCCCTGAGGGAAACAAACGTCCCTTCTTCATTGTAGGGAGTCCTGGTTCCTGTGGCCATTCGAAATAAGACTCATTCGAAAATAAGACTCCCTCATCTTCAGGGCCATCCTCAGAAACAGGACACATGCAGAAGGGTTAGGTTAAGAGCTAGGAGCACCTGAGGGGCGGGACCCCCTTAAGAGTACCCCAGAAGGACCATCGATGTATGCATACCCACAAGCCTAGACACCATTTGTGTACCTACACGCACGCAAGAGATGTGGAGAGACAAGGCAACTGAGATTCATGGTTTGATGATTAAAATTCTCATGAAGGTTTTTAGTTGTATTTTCTGTATTTTGCATTCGGCATTTTCCAAGTTTTCCATGACATATCTTGCTATTGAAGAAAACCATCCACTTTTTTCCAGAAAAAAAAATAAATAAATAAGACTTCCAGTGAGGCACAGTGGCTCATGCTTTTAATCCCAACAATCTGGGAGGCCAAGGTGGGAAGATTGCTTGAGGCCAGGAGTTCAAGACAAGCCTGGGCAACATAGCAAGACTCTGTCTTTACAATATTTTTTAAGCCCTGTGTGCATTAGGTATTTGTCCTAATGCTCTCCGTCTCCTTTCCCCCAACCCCCTCAACAGGCCCCAGTGTGTGATGTTCTGCTCCCAGTGTCCATGTGTTCTCATTGTTCAACTCCCACTTATGAGTGAGAACATGTGGTGTTTGGTTTTCTGTTCTTATGTTAGTGTGCTGAGGATGATGGTTTCCAGGTTCATCCATGTCCCCGCAAAGGACATGAACTCATTCTTTTTTATGGCTGCAACATTTTTTTTCAATTGAAGCTTTTACCCCAAATCCTGCTGGAAAGTCTAATAGGACAAAATAGATAAAATTGCAGCTCTTACCCCCAACATCCAGAGAGTTCCCCATGTTATTCCAGCTTCTACTTAAATCAAGCTTTTCAAACCCAGCCCAGATGGCTTTAAATGTGGCCCAACACAAATTAGTAGACTTTCTTAAAATATTATGAGATTTGTTTGTGATTTTTTTTTTTTAGCTCATCAGCTATTGTTAGTGTTCATGTATTTTATTTGTGGCCTAAGACAATTCTTCTTCTTCCAGTGTGGCCCAGGGAAGTCAAAAGATTGGATACCCCTGATTGGAAAACTGACTCCAAAAATAAGTGCTTCAAAATTCAAGGTGAAAGGGCACTGGGTGTGCTACCATTAGACTCATGTATCTTTTTGCAAAACTCATAAAATTTCTAAGCATGCAATCCTACTCTTCCCCCATATTTGATTTATTTCTATAATAATTTAGGGTAAAAAATGCATTTCCCAGATAATTTTCCATAATTAATGCCTTCAGAAATTCAAGAGGAAATGACTACTTCTATGCCTGAGCTATCTTTATTCAACAGAAGTATATTTTAGAAAAACCCACACTCATGTTCCCTTTATAGATATTTGGAAGTAGATTTTCATTTTCTCCCCATGGCCACATTATCTGTTGGTTACCAGGTACACTGAGCAGACTCTTGGGTATTAGGGGATAGTGACTGGCTTATGTGGGGACATGCTTTCTGTGGGGACTCAGCTCTGCCTGGTTCTTGGGACAGCCCCTGCTATCTCCAGCATCTGGCTCTTTGTATCCCAACTTGTTCTCTGTTGTTTGTTCCTGGATGCTTTCTGGTCTGGTCTGCAATTTTCTCTTGATTCCTTTTATACCCAGTATATCATTTCCCTACAGATGTCCTTGCTCCTGGTTTTTCCCAAACTTGGAGGTTGTGCTTCTCCCCTAAAGCCTGTTCAAGCCTGACCCAGCCAACATGAAGCTCCCTGCTCCTCTAACCCCCTAGTGCTCTTGCCTCTGAACTCGTGGCTGGTGTGTGCCATAGGATTAGGTCACTGGGAATTGGTGTCCTCATCCAGCCTGTAAGCTACTTGAGGCCTAGACCATGTCTTTCACTGTTATATTGTCCACAGTCCCTTCTGCAGTGCTAAACACATAATAGTTAACATTCAAAAATATTAGATGTTGGCCAGGCACAATGACTCAAGCCTGTAATCCTAACACTGTAGGATGCCAAGGCAGGAGGATCACTTGAGCCAGGAATTGGAGACCAGCCTGGGCAGCACAATGAGACCCCATCTCTACAAAAAATACAAAGATTAGCTGCGTGTGGTGGTGCACACCTGTAGTTCCAGCTACTCAGGAGGTTGAGGTGGGAGGGTCGCTTGAGCCCAGGAATTTCAGGCTTCAGTGAACTATGATCGAGCCACTGCACTCCAGCCTGGATGACAGAGTGAGGCCCTGTCTCTTAAAAAAATTAATTAATTAAAAAATTTGATGGGTTTTTTTGTGCCACTGGACACATGTGGAATCACAGAAGGAATACAAATCAGACCTCGCATTAAGAACATTTTTGTTTTCAAATCAAGTTCATGTTTATTATTTCATATGCTCCTCACAACAACCTTGGGATATAGGGGAATGTAACCTTCATTCCACACACATCCCTGAGATACGGAAGGGGTAACTATCGCCCAGGGGCCACAGCGCGACAGCAGAGAATCCAAGAGGCCCCTGCTGCCCTGCGGGGATCTTCAGAACTCAATGACAGAACGTGTCCTAGTTCCTTTACGAACAGGAAGTACCTGAGCCCTTCACCTGCGTTCCATATAGCCACTTCCTTGAGTGTCTCAAATATGGCACAAACCCTAAGCCAGCCCCTGAAAGATCTGCAGGAGCAATTTAATCTCTTCAAGGTGAATTTTAAAAGTAGAGGCTTTATCAAGAAAGCCAGAAAGATTTTCTCTGTGTCTCCAAAATGGAAGGAAAATGATCTAGATATCTAAAATTGAAACTCCCAATAAACAACAGTTACTTTTTCCAACTAGAAACCAATTACATTTTTTGATTTAAAAGGTTTAAGGGCCATGCATGGTGGCTCATGCCTGTAACCCCAGCACTTGGGGAGGCTGAGTCTGGAAGATTGCTTGAGCCCAGGATTTGGAGACCAGCCTGGGCAACAGGGCAAGATCCCATCTCTACAAAAAGTTTTAAAATTAGCCAAGTGTGGTGGTACACGCCTGTGGTCCCAGCTATTTGAGAGGCTGAAGTGGGAGGATCACTTCAGCTTGGGAGGCTGAGGCTGCAGTGAGCTGTAATTATACCACTGCCCTCTAGTCTGGCTGGGCAACACAGCAAGATACGTAGGCTAATTAGCCCACTCCAGGCCCACTCAGCCTCCTGGCGATGTTTCTCCAGGTTATCGGATTTCCTCTACAGTGCTTCTGTCTTGAAGGGTCCGACTGCTTGAGGACGGACATTGCTATCCCCCAGGGCTCAGGCTGAGAGCAGTTCTTTACACGCAATGATGTCTAAGGGTGGAAATTCACACATCCAGCTTGCAAAAAAGCCGCAGCCAGGGAGAGCTTAGGGTCCTGATCTGGGAGGAATCCTGGGTGTAGTAGAAGCTTTGGGAGTAACATGAGGCTCCTTAGGGGCCAGGAAGGCAGCTTCACAGCACTCTGCCTTGAACAGGTGATTCTTTTCCTCATTTTTCTCCCGTCTCTCATCCGATTCCACAAGTTCAGGGAAACGGAACAGGGGACACTCAGAAACTGTTCTGATTTACAGATTCAGCAAGCACCTCTGTTTAAACTGATCCTCCAGTAACAGAAAGAGAAGAGGAAGCACAAGGGCAGAAGCTAATAAGCAGAGTCTTGCTGGAGAACAGGAGAGAGGAGAGAGGTAAAGAATCCGTTTCCTTACACGAAGCTGCAGTTTGCACATTTTTTACCACTGGGGCCTCCTTTGCTGATGTAACCCAAAAGAAACGCTGGGTATTGAATGGAGGCATTGTTTTACTCACCTTATTGGTTAGGCTCTGTTCATAACAATAATCTACATTCTTTGTAGGGTAGAAAATATTTTTCAAAACTCTAAAAATAAAAGAAAATAGGCTGGGCGCGGTGGCTCACACCTGTAATCCCAGCACTTTGGGAGGCCAAGGCGGGTGGATCACCTGAGATCAGGAGTTTGAGACCAGCCTGGCCAATATGGTGAAACCCCGTCTCCACTAAAAATACAAAAAATTAGCCAGGCGTGGTGGCGGGTGCCTGTAATCCCAGCTACTCAGGAGGCTGAGGCAGGAGAATTGCTTGAATCCAGGAGGTGGAGGCAGCAAGCCAAGATCGCACCACTGCATTCCAGCCTGGGCAACAGAAGCGAAACTCCATCTCTTAAAAAAAAAAAAAAAAGACCAAAAGTATGAAAGCTGATCACAGTTTGATCCATCATCTACCATTTGGTTGGTACTAACAGAAAACATTTCAAGTTGGTACTGTACTGAAAAACCCAAAACATGCCCTTACTGTAGCTCCAGGTCCTCTGTCCCTGGTGATAGAGCAAAGTTGATAGCTGTGCAGAGTGGGGAGTAGACAGGGCGCCCTTGAGAAGCTGCCAGAGTTAAGTTAAGCCCACCTCCTCTGAGACTAGCTCCGTGAGTACAGACAAGACACTGAAGTTCTGTGTTTCACCTCCTGTAAAATAGGAATAACAATATTTGCCATGCACGGCCATGGGAAGGACTAGCAACTGTGTTAGAAGCACATGGCACAAACCAGGCTTTTAAAAAGCGTTGGTGACTAATTCAGCTGGGGATGGAGGTGCATGCCTGCTAGTCCCAGCTGCTTGGCAGGCTGAGGTGGAAGGATCGATTGATCCTGGAAGTTCAAGGCTACAGTGAGCTATGATGGCACCACTGCACTCAGCCTGGGCACCAGAGAAAGACCCTATCTCTAAAAAAAAAAAAAAAAAAAGTAATTATTATTCTATTTCGGTATTTTTCCTTCTCTATGATTTTGTACCAGGTGATTTCTAACAGGACCTGCAGACACTTCGACAAGATAAACTACATTTTATGTGAAATAAAGGCATGTTCAAAAAGCAAGAGGGCAGATCGTGGCTGAATGAGACAACCTGAAACTGAGGCTAAGTTAATTTTCACAAGTCCCTGCTACTAAGATTTCTAAGCTACAGGGAAAAGGTAAACTCATCGCTAGATTTCCCTGCCTGCTCAAGACCACACCCCAACTGGCAGCATAATTCTTGGTGAGGATGAAAAAACTAAATATATACTTGCCTTGAAAAGCAAATATAGGTTTTCAAAACAGTATCCTGTTGCCAGCTAAAGCAAACAGAGTGGTTTCAACCCCAGGAACTGACAGGCAGTGCAAAAGGGCAGATTGGAAGAGATTAAATATTTGTGCAAAAGCCCGTACCCCCCTTCACAAAGGGCTGCCTCTGTCTGGCATAAAAGGGAAGGGATGCGGGAACTGAGAAGAGGGCCTTATCTTTCCAGAGGAAGGACTGTTTGGGGCCGGAGGAGGTGGAGAAGGGGAGAGAAAATAGCGGAGAAGGGGAGGGATAATAGCAGAGGAGGGGAGACATCAGATGGGTGTGAGTCCCCTGGTCACTGTCGGGCCAGGCCAGGCTGCTGTCATCGGCTGAGGCTGCACTTCTGACCCCTGCAGTGAAGCCAAGCCACGCGGGCTCAGGGGCAGACGGAAACAGGATGACTCGAGCTTTGAAGCTGCCAGCCTGTGATGGCAGAGAGGCCAGAAAGAAGCCCGCTCCAGAACCCACTCTCTCAGCAGCAGCAACACATTAATTTGCAGGGGGGTGGGAAGGACAGAGGAGGGGAGGGGCAGAGAGTGGAGGGCAGGAGAGGTCGGGCTGGGACGGAGGCCAGGGAAGCGGGTCATGTGCACAAGGCAGCCCAAAGGCCTGCCACGGGGTGCCCAAGAAGGACCTTAGAGAAAGGAGATAAAATTGTAGTTTTCGACTCTGCTGACAGTTGATCAAAGCTGGTTTCTGCTTCTGAGACATTTTAGTGTCTGCCAGGAACTCAGAATTTAGAAGAGAAAAAAGAAGAGGAAAGGAAAAAATCGACAATGGAGCAGTCTGCGCGGGCGGTGGGGAGAAAGATGAGAGTCTTTGAGGAATTGGGATTTTTCTGTGGACTTTGGAGCTCCTTGGGGCCCACCACAAAGACCAACATGTGGCCGGCGGCACAGGGAATAACACCCCTGGGAGGCCCTTAGAACACAGCTCAGGTTACCCACATTTGAGGAGAGACAATGGGAGGGACGGCCTGCAATCCCTTGGGCCAGCTGAGGGACAGGGCTGGAACTGTGGTTCCAAACCCTGGCTGCATAATGCAATCGTCAGGACATTTCAAAAAAATGCAGATGCTGGCCAGGCACGGTGGCTCACTCCTGTAATCCCAACACTTTGGGAGGCCAAGGCAGGCAGATCACGAGGTCAGGAGTTCGAGACCAGCCTGACCAACATGGTGAAACCTCATCTCTACTAAAAATACAAAAAAATTCGCCGGCATGGTGGCAGACGCTGGAGGCTGAGGCAGGAGAATGGCATGAACCCGGGAGGCGGAGCTTGCAGTGAGCCGAGATCGAGCCAGTACATTCCAGCCTGAGCGACAGAGTGAGACTCCGTCTCAAAAAAAAAAAAAAAAAAAAATTAGCCAGGCATGGTGGCATGCGCTTGTAATCCCAGCTACTCAGGAGGCTGAGGGAGAATTGCTTGAACCCAGGAAACTGAGGTTGCAGTGAGCCGAGATCACGCCACTGCACTCCAGCCTGGGTAACAGAGTGAGACTCTGTCTCAAACAAAACAAAAAATGCAGATGCCAGACCTGGCTCACTTGAGTTAAATCAGTCTCCCTGAAGATGGGGTCCTGATGCAGGTTTTAAAAAACTCCCTCATTGATTCTAATGCCCAGCCAAAGTCATGAACCCTGAGTAAGAGACTTAATGGGGCCCTGCTGAGGACAAGCTTCCCTTGGGCTATGGCATCCTCTCTCTGCACTGGGTGATATGGTTTGGCTGTGTCCCCACCAAAATCCCATCTGGAATTGTAACTCCCACAATTCCCACATTTCATGGGAGGAACCCAGTGAGAGGTAATTGAATCATGGGGAGTGGGTCTTTCCCAGGCTGTTCTCTGATAGTGAGTAAGTCTCACGATATCGAATGGTTTTAAAAATGGGAGTTTCCCTGCACAAGCTCTTCTCTTGTCTGCTGCCATGTGAGACGTGCCTTTCACCTTCCACCATGATTGTGAGGCCTCTCCAGTCATGTGGAACTGTGAATCCATTAAACCTCTTTCTTTTGTAAATTGCCCAGTCTCGGTTATGTCTTTAACAGCATTGTGAAAATGGATTAATACACTGGGAAAAGAGCATCGGGGTCACCCACCTTCTGACTATTCCCTGAGGACTCAGGAAGCCTTTCCCCCTTGATGGCTGAGAGTCAATCCAGGGACCTCAAGAGTGGAGCCTCATCATCAAAGCAGACTGGGGACAACAGAGGACAGAACACACGCAACATTCAGCAAATATTTGAAGGTCAGGCATGGAGGTTCATGCCTGTAATCCCAACACTTTGGGAAGCTGAGATGAGAGAATCTCTTTAGATCAGGAGTTTGAGACCAACATGGCCAACATAACAAGACCCCCTCACTAAAAAAAACATAAAAATTTTAAAAAATTAGCCAGGTGTGGTGATGCACACTTGTAGTCCCAGCTACTGGGGAGGCTGAGGCAGGAGGATCTCCTGAGTCCAGGAGTTCGAGGCTGCAGTGAGCCATGATCCCACCACTGCACTGCAGCCTGGGCTACAGTGAGAATCTATGTGGAAAAAAAAAAAAAAAAGCCCACCAAAACAGAACCAAAAAACCCCAAATATGTGAGTAACTGTGCCAGGCACTATGCTATGCAAATGGTGAGTCTAACCAATTAGTTGATTCTGCAGCTCTGGGTTTTCCCTGTAACAGAAGAACAAACCATACCCTGAGGTCTACAAGTGCAGAGAGAGCAAAATCACAGTTTCCAAAAAGATAAATCCAGGACTCTTCATGCGAGTATAAAATGAATACATGTCAAACACTTTATCTGACTCATTAATTAATGAGGAAATCAGTAAGGTCTTAATACCAGGTCGGAGAGATGTGAAAAGCTAGGTATTTACAGGCAATTTACAAAAGGAATGTTAGGGTACGATTACTGGGTTAGATACAAGCTAGTTAATATCTTACAGGGAAATAAACTATACACTTTGGAGTTGTTTTTGTTTTTCCTGCCAGATAGAAATGACTTTCATCTCTATCAAGGAAAAATCTATAACTTAACACATAACTTCTCTAAGTCTAGGAATTTTAAACAACAGTTAACAGTGAGTTGAAGAAAATGCTTCTACCCCCATGTGACATTGAAAGGACATGCTGCCACCAATTTGCCTGATTTTCAAGTTTTTGACCATTTTTCTCTCTTTTTTTTTTTTTTTAAGAGTCAGGGTCTCACTCTGTCACTCAGGCTGGAGTGCAGTGGCATGATCAAAGCTCACTGTAGCCTCAAACTCTCACATCAGCCTCCTGAGTAGCTGGGATTACAGGCGCCTGCCACCACAACGGTCTATTTTTTTAAAATTATTTTTCTTAGTAGAGATGGGGTCTTGCTATGTTGCCCAGGCTGGTCTTAAACTCCTGGTCTCAAGTGATCCTTCTGCCTCAGGCTCCCAAAGTCCTGGGAATACAGGAGTGAGCCACCGTGCCCAGTGGATCATTTTTCTTGAAAGAAAAAGGTGGTGAGACCATAGGCCTAGAGAAGAAATAGGAAGGTACAAAGCACAAGAAAGTCCAGAATCGATGCAACTACAAACCCATAAAGTGCAGGTCCTGTCTGGTTATGCTGGGCACTTGTACGAAGGGGTCATCCACATATTAGCTATGGCCACTGGTCCTTCAAGATCCTGGGAAGAGTGACTCTAGGAACATTGGAAAGTCCAAGGCCTTCTGCAAGATTTCTGAGCACTAAAGAGCTTACATTCTCATGGTCTTTTCTGGCTCTGAGCCTCCACTTCTGCTGAATTTGTTTGTTTAAAAATCCTCTCCTTGGCCCAGGCGCAGTGGCTCATGCCTGTAATCCCAGCACTTTGGGAGGCCGAGGCAGGCGGATCACCTGAGGTCAGGAGTTTGAGATCAGCCTGGCCAACATGGTGAAACCCCATCTCTACTAAAAATAAAAAAAAGATTAAAAAAAAAAATAGCTAGGATTACAGGTGGTGCACACTTGTAATCCCAACTACTCGGGAGTCTGAGGCAGGAGAATTGCTTGAACCTGGGAAGTGGAGGTTGCAGTGAGCCGAGATCATGCCACTTTACTCCAGCCTGGACGACAGAGTGAGACCCCATCTCAAAAAACAATAATAATGCTAATAAATAAAAATAAAAATCCTTTCATTGTTATGGTTGTTACTGACAGAAAAGAGGTTTCTTTTCTTCCTTTCTACAACACAGAAATAAAATTAAACCTTCCATAGAAGACATTTATATGGACTTTCCTTAGAAGGTTTAGGAAGATTGAAAGATCTAGATTTCCAACGCAAAAAACTCAGACATAAGCAATTCCTGTTCCTTAAATGATGCTTCTCCTCCTGCTCCCCTTCTGGGGTTTTTCCTCTTGTTTTCTCTTTTCTCTCTGACCAAACAGCCTATTTTTCTTTTGTTCTGTTTTTTGTTTTTTGTTTTTTTTAAGACAGTGTCTTGCTCTGTTGCCTAGGCTGGAGTGCAGTGATGGTATCTTGGCTCACTGCAACCTCCGCCTTCCATTCAAGCGATTCTCCTGCCTCAGCCCCCCATGTAGCTGGGACTATAGGCACCCACCACCACTCCCGGCTATTTTTTGTATTTTTAGTAGAGACAGGGTTTCACCATATTGGCCAGGCTGGTCTTGAACTCCTGACCTGGTGATCCACCTGCCTCAGCCTCCGAAAGTGCTGGGATTACAGGCGTGAGCCATCATTTCCAGCATGTTTTTGTTTGTTTGTTTTTTTAATCATCTTGGCTTGTGATAATTCAGATGCTCAAAGTTTTATCTTCTCTTTAAGCAGTTGATGAAAAAATGCTCTTAAATGAACTTTGATCCTGCCTATAAGAAAAATTTGGTTCTGGCTGATAAGAAAGCAAAATTTTTACCCACACTTATAGTAAAATTTATAGATCCCTCTTCCCCCCACAGCACTGCTCCCTCTGTCCCAGCCCTGCACACCCAGGATCCACCCTGCTCCCAGCTTGAGAGAGGGAAAGACCTAAGTGTACATTTGGGGCAGAAGTTTCTTTGGTTCTGGTGTTCTGAGCATGCCTTAGTTTCATGAACCTCTAAGAATGTCTTGATTTGGTGAGATGGAGCAGGGACCTCTCTAAGGGTCTGCTGAGCACCCCCAAACATGAAAATAAAGGAAAATCTTGAGTTCCTTCAAGGGAAGTTCCAGGCACCTAGCTGGCCCTGAGAAGTAAATGAGCAACTTCGTAAGCAAGAAGGTAATAGTAGCTTCAAACAGTAGCCAAGGGCCGGGTGTGGCCAAGACTCGTGACTGTAATCCCAGCACTTTGGGAGGCCAAGGGAGGTGGCTGTGTCTCTAGAAAAAATACAAAAAAACAACAACAAAAAAAATTAGGCAGGTGTGGTGGTGCATGCCTGTGGCCCCAGCTACACGAGAGGCTGAGGTGGGAGGAAGGCTTTAATTTTAGCCTAAAGGGCAGAGGTTGCGGTGAGCTGAGATCACACCACTGCACTCCAGCCTGGGCTACACAGTGAGACCCTGCCTCATTTACAAAAAAAAAAAAAAAAAAAAAAGATGAAAGCAGCTGACTGGCTGGCTCAGGATATTCACTAGACTGTGATGCCTAACCATGAAGCATTCATTTTCAAAGACCTGGGATTTTATTATTTTATTTGAGTGCATCAGTTTCTTTCCTTTAAAAAAAAACGTATTTCAATAGTTTGTGGGGTATAAGTGGTGCTTTTTGTTACATGGATGAATTATATAGTGGTGATTTATCCCCAGTCCCCCACCCACTTCCCCTGTCTGCATCTTTAAAGTCCATGATATCACACTGTACACCCACTTCCCCTTTCTGCATCTTTAAAGTCCATGACATCACACGGTATGCCTTTGCATACTCATAGCTTAGCTCCAACTTATAAGTGAGATCATGTGGTTTTGGTTTTCCACTCCTGTGTTACTTCACTTAGAATAATGGCCTCCAGCTCCATCCAAGTTGTTGCAAAAGACATTATTTCCTCCCTTCTAATGGCTGAGTAGTATTCCATGGTGTATATATACCACGTTTTCCTTACCCACTCATTGGTTGATGGGCACTTAGGTTGGTTCCACATCTCTGCAATTGTGAATTGTGCTGCTGTAAATTTACGTGTGCTAGTGTCCTTTTCATATAATGACTTCTAGGAAACGCAGTTTTGATGAACACTCCAACCTACATTCCTTGCATCACTTTGGGACTTTTACACACTCCTATAATTCTCAAACATTTCCGCCCCTCTGCCTTCCAAGTAAGATGCTTACTCAGCCAACAATTCCTGAGTGCCTGCTGTCTGCTAGGTGCTGGATACACAAAGATGAAGAAAACGCAGTGCCTGGCCCAGTCATGAATTCCACTGTTGATGTGTTGAGTTTGAAGTTCCTGTAGTACTTCCGGGTGGAGATGTCCAACAAGCTGTTGACTATTTAGATTTGAAGCTCAGAAGTGACATTCAGAATCAGGGAGACATCGCACTTCATTTGTAGTTGATCATGAGCGTGAAAAGCGTGGCCCAGGACAGAGCATAAAGTGGGAGGAGCTATGAGCAGGTACAGAATCCTGCAGAACGTGGGCATGCCAGCGAGGAGACAGGCTCGCGGAGGACAGAAGGAGGGTTCCGAGAGCCGTGGGCAGAAGCAGGGCAGGGCGGTGTCAAAGAAACCAGGGGCTATGAAGGGACAAAGGAGAAGGGTCCCCTAGAAGACAGAAGAAAGTCCATTGGATTTGGAGCAGGAAGAGGCCCATTGAGAGTGGCCTGAGGACAGAGTGCTTATAAAGACAGCCCAACGACAATGGCTGCTTTTTATAAATAGTGTGGATGAGAAGACGAGAGTCAGGATAGTTACTAGGGGAACACTGAAGGTAGTGGGGAGTCGGTTTGGGGGCTATGTTGGTGTTTGGCTGTTTATTTATTTACTTATTTGTATTGGGAGAAAGAGATTTGATGACATTTACAGATAGAGGGAAGGAGCCAATAGCGAAGGACAGGTTGGTGATTAGAACATGTGAGAAGGGCTGACACCCCCATCCCACTGCTTTTCTCCTTGTCCCAAACAAGCTGTATGCCCTTTGATGGTTTCCTGCCTCCTCTCATCCTCAGACACACCACCTAGAAAAATGTACAGAGTAAAATGGTGAATCGTATGTAAGATCTCTCCTAGCTCTAAGAAAATTCCATTTCCCAATTTCAATCTTTCAGTTATCTAAATAGCAAAGGGAAGAATTATACAGGTTAAGTATGTTTAAATAACTGCCTTTGAAATGAAAGCCAGCCTTATAATATCTCACATCACTAAATGCATGCGTGTCATAAAATGCAAAGCAACCCATTCAAAATAGTCACTGGCTGGTGTGCGGTTGACCATGTAAATGGCACGTCTCCTTCTGCATGTGGATCTAGGGGCTGGCCCTCAAGATCCACCATCCACATGTCACACCCCAGTTGAGTCTTCAGATCCAGCCTGTCTGTATTTCCATTCTCGAGCACTGGGTAATGTGTTCCTGGCTTAGTTCTGTGCCAAACACGTAGTTAACACTTCAATTTATAAATTGTTTGTAATTAGCCTCCCTGGCCAATTACAATAGAGAATTTGTATGCAAGTGAAGATATTCAGGCATGCAGAAAATTAAACAGTCTATACACATATTTAAATACATCTTGCAAATTGCAGGAAACATATTCACATTACGTTTTGTGAAGGCCCCGGCTGTGTTTAATAGGCCCTTTCTAATAAGGAATGTTTTGACTATGATCCTCCCAAACCACTATAGCACTCAACAGAAAGACACATTTTTTTATTCATGAATCTTATAAACTTGAGCTCAAGAAGGCCTTGGCACGCTTGTTTTGTGCCCCAGCAATGGAAGGTGAGTGCTAACCTCATTCATTTCCTTGATGAAAAGGTATCTTGATTGCTCTGCAACTAGAAGAATGGCTACTTTAAGTCCCCGGGGGGGATCTCCATTTCCCTCCCTGGGACTGACACAGAGGGTCAGTCCATTAGGGAGGCCAGACCTCCAAAAGAAGAGGGTCTCAAAAAGACAAAACTTGGTGAGCACGTTCCTCCAACTCAAACATCATTAACACCTTCATTCTTGGGACAATGATAAAGTTTCTTGATGCGTATTGATAATTACCTACTTTAAAGATTATTCAGACCCCCTGCTCTCTTTTCTGTTCCCTCTCTCTCCCTCTCTCAATCTCTGTCTACCTTTTGGTGCAGGAAGAGAACGAGCAAAAATCAAACCAGTCATCTAGGCTCTGCGATAAGCCTTTCAGGTTGGGAGATGAGCCGCCAGGAGAGTCAGGGAGGTTTGGCCGGAAGGAAAAGATGGCTTGTTGCTGTGTTTCTGTCTCTCCTGTTGCGTTTGCTCTCATTACTGATGAACTGGGGGACTGACTGAAGAGAGGGGCTTCCTGTATCTGTGCTCTCTGGGGGCCGACTTCTGCCTGCCTTTCTGGTACCTGTGCTCTGCCAACAATGTGTGGCTTGCATTCAATTTGTCCAAACACTTACTGATTTTAATTAACCGATTTCTGTCCCAAGAACCAACATCAAATACTCTTGTGATCTTTCATGGTGAAGCAGAAACCACTGGGTGAGGGGACAGGAAATCGTCCCGCTCCCAACTCCTGCTGGTTACACTGAGCTGGGGCCAGAAACACCCTGTAAACCCTCGGGCAGTCATTCATTAGAAATAATGTCATTGAAATGGAAGTTGCCATGGTACAGTGGCCTCCAGCTGAGAGCCCAGACTCCTGGGGAGGAGGGAGGGAAGAGGCCTTCCAGCTCCTGCTGCTACTCGTTACCCTCACTCCCACTGCGCAGATAAAGCACCACAAAGGGTTAGCGACTCTTTCATTTAAAAGGTGATTCAGGTGAGGTTTCTTTATAACTCCATTGAATAAACGTTGCAAAAACATTGGGCTCAGAAGAGTAAAATCAGAAGCTGAAACAAAATGACTTAATTGCTTTGCCATATAGAGGCATATTTAGAAATGAGAGGTGCAACAGGAAAGATTGCATCACTGAGATTTTAAATCCTTGGTTACTGCAAGCAAACACAGCCACAAACCTGGATCCCAACTCTGTCCAAGTTGAAATAAAAGCAAGATTGGCTTTATTACAAATGAGTAGAGGTATGGGCTTATTGGGATGGGCAGCTTTTGAATTCTTTTTGCCTGATGTTGTTTTACAGAGATGGATAGCTGGGCATTCCAAGCCCAAGGATAGGGACTCGGATTAAACCAAGTGTGTGGTTTGGTTTTTAAGCTGTGCTGGAGGTTCTGTTACCTAATGACCCAGCCTCTGCGCTCTGCAAATAAGCCTCATCTTTCTGGTGAAATTAACAAACATAGGCTTTTCCACCTGTCACCGTGGGTATACATGGAATGTGGAATTGCTCTTCAACTTCAAGTGGCTTGGGGGGCCCAGCGTGCTCCAGCCCCTCTGAGGTGTCCAACCCTGCCCTGCCTCCTCTTACCTGCGTGACCTTAGGCAGGTTAGTTTCTGTGAACTTCTGATTTGTTACTTCTAAAATTAAATGTATAATAATAATAGTAATACCTACTGTATTTGTTACTGTGGCTGCCTAGCAAATGACCCAAAACTTAGCAGTTTAAAACAATAAACACGTGCAGCCTCACACAGTTTTCTGCAGGGTAGGAATCTGGGAACAGCTTAGCTCCAGCGCAGGACCTCCATGAGGCAGCGGTCAAGGGGCAGGCTGAGTCCAGAGTTATTCCAAGGCATGACTGGGCCCAGAGGACCTGCTTACACAATGGTGCATTCACAGGACTGCAGACAGGGAGCCCCCAATCCTCACCTCCCGGGCTTCTCCACAGCTCACTTGAACGTCCTCATGGTGTGGAAACTGGCTTCCTTTCCCCACGGTGAGTGATTCCAGAGAGAGCAAGGGATTAAGCCACAATAGCTTTTGCAGAATAGCCTGGGCAGTGACAAACCTTCACTTCTGTGTTCTGACGGCCACACAGACCAAACCCAAGTACTGTGGGAGAGGCCCACACAACGCTGCCGACCATGTGTCCCTTGAGGGGTATTAGGGAGATGAGTGTGTGTCCATGTGAAGTAAGCAAATGACACCCGGTAGAGGCTCGATAAAATAAACCAAAGTTATCATTATTTATCCCATCAATACGAAGCATCCCAATTCAAAATGTGAGGCTGAGAAAGAACTGCTAGGTTAACATACAGAAGAGCCAAATGACAGCTGGGCGCAGTGGTTCATGCCTGCAATCCCAGCACTTTGGGAGGCCGAGGTGGGTGGATCACCCGAGGTCAGGAGTTCAAGACCAGCCGGGCCAACATGGTGAAATTCTATCTCCACTAAAAATATAAAAATTAACCAGGTGTGGTAGCGTGCTCCTGTAATCCCAGCTGCTTGGGAGGCTGAGTCAGGAGACTCACTTGAACCTGGGAGGTGGAGGTTACAGTGAGCCGAGATCGTGCCACTGCACTCCAGCCTGGGTGACAGAGCCAGACTCTGTCTCAAAACAAAAACAAAAACAAAAAAGCTGAATGGGGATGACATTTATTCAACAAGTATTTACTCACAGAGTTCTTACTATGCACCAGACACTGTTCTGATTACTTGGACTATATTAATAAACGAAATCAAGATCCCTGCCTTTAGAGGTGAGACACAGACAACTAAAACAGACATAGTAAATGAGTAGATTGTATAGCACATTAGAAGGCAGGATGTGCTATAACAAGAAGAAGAAAGGAAGAGCCAGTCAAGGGGCATTAGGAATGCAGGGGCAGGAGGTGCAGATTGAAATATTCAGCATGGCGCTGGCACGGGTCTTATGGGAAAGGTTCAGCACAGCGCAGAGGGGCCATGAGGCAGGCCCTTTCCTGGGAGACACAGACTGCTCTGCAGAGATTACGTCCTGAGGCTTCACTGCAGCCTGGGACTGTCCCACCTGACTCTCCCTCTCTCTCCTGCATTGGAGATCTGACCTGCATCCCAACCTGATGCCTCCCTCAGCCTCCTCCCTCCTTCCTGATATCTTCTCTTGGGCAGATGCTCTCGGAAAAGCCTCGCTCACTGAATCCCCCCCCACCCCTCGGGCATCTGTATCTCAGGGGACCGGGTTGGCACACCAGGGAAGGATGCCAGCTTCTGCACTGAAGGAAAAGGGCAGCACTGCAGGGCTCAGAGAGAGAAGGAGTGCCATGAGAGCTGCTCTGAAAGGATTGTCCTGACGCAGTTTTGAAGAGAACCCTTAGGAGTAGCAGGAGTCACAGCAGGAGACCAGGTGGAATGTTCTAGGTTCTGCCACAGCCAGGAAATGATGACGCCACTGTGACCCGGGGCAGCAGACAGGTGGGAGAAGTGGTCTGACTCTGGGTGTATTTTAAAGATACAACCAACAGGATTTCCTGGTGGATTAAGTGTGCCGTGTGAGAGAAAGAGGAGTCAAGGATGTTCAGCCTAGGAAGCTAGACCAATGGAGCCACCAACACCTGGAATGGGGGAACCTGTGGGCGGAGCAGATCTGGGGGAAATTTGGACACATCGGTGTGACGTCTCCTAGACATCCAAGCCACCATCTCAAGGAGGGACTTGGACGAATGTGTGTGCACTTTGGGAGAAAGTTCAGGGCTGGCAATGGACATGCAGGGGTTGTTATGTGTAGATAAACAGATGTTTAAAGACAAGGGACAGGATAAGGCCTCAGTGGGGAGATGAGGAAGTGATGAGGCTGGAAACCAAGAAGGAACTGCAGCAAATCTCAACTGATTTAGAGGTTTATTTTGCCAAGGTTGAGGATGAGCTCAGGAAAAAATTACACACACACACGCAGGTTACAGGAACATATGTAGCCTGTGCTTTTGTCCAAAGAGGGTTTTGACAACTTCAGTGTTTAAAAGGGAAAGAATGGGCAGGAGAGGAAGGAGGAAAGGAAAAAAAGGGAGGGTTGGCAAAAAGAACACTGATTAGTACACACTGAATCCACATTTTACATGTGAAAAGGGGAGGTCAATTATGCATTTGTCTGTGCTCAGTAAATCTACATTCTACAGAAGATAAAGTAAGCATGTGAAATTACAGCTATCTAGGAAAAAAAGGAAGGCAGTTGTTGGTTTGTTGTTTGTTTGTTTCAGCATAACTCAGTTGCCAAGATTCACTTTTCCCTTTGGCATGGTGAGTTTGGGGTCCAGGGATTTTATTTTCCTTTTGCAAGTCCAAAGATATTGTGACATTACAAGATTAAGGTGCAGCGAATGACACAGCAGAGAAGGCAGAGTGACCAAGGAGCAGGAGGAAAACCAAGAGAAGGTGGCGTCCGGATGCCAAGGGGAAAAAGATCATGAAAGAGAAGGGACCATCAACACACCCCAGCTGCTGAAGCCCAGGACAATGAGGACAGAGGAATGGCCATTGGATCTAGCAGTGCAGAGGTCATTAGTGACCGTTAAGGAAAATGCTGGATCTGGCTTTTCCTTTCAGAGGCCACAACTTCCACATGTGGGTCCCCTACACTCATCACCAGGGACACAGGCTCCAGACCACCCTGATCCCTGATGACCGCAACTTCTGAAGCAGCTCTGCCCACTCTACATTCTCCTCTGAGCCTGGTCTCTGCTCCTTGAGGGAGGGGACAGCCTGCCCGAGTGCTGAGCCACACTCCCTGCTGACCTGAGCATGGGAGCAAAGTGCTGCACTTGCTCTTTTTACCAGGTGGTTTCCAGAGACAATGTTCCTCAACGAAAGGAAAGTGTCCTAGTGATTGGAACTGCACCTCGAAGAGCTTGAGTCTCAGAAGGAGAATCACTGGGCCAAGTGTGATGGGAGTAGGGCCCTGGTCCCAGCTCTTCTAGTGACCAGTGTTGTGGGTGAGCCACAATTATCTGGACCGGTGGCATGGGGGTAAAAGAATTTACCAAGACAGTTGTAGATAAAGAAAGGCAGATTTGTTTGTTTAAAAAAAGCATGAAAATATGTTGCAAGAAGGCAACGGGCAGCCAGCAGAAGAGCAGCTGACAGCCAGGAGGCAGAGGCTTGCTGGGGATTTTATAGGATGGTGCTTGTGCTGTGTGCTGGAGAGGGCTGTGTGTGGTACTGACAACGCCAAGGTTGCAGTGAGCCAACTTGCAGGTGTCTGGTGATACCTGGGCACAGGAAGATTGTGAGTTATTTGCACAGGAGGGCTGTGTGTCTGGACCATGAAGAAAGGCAGACTTACAGCTTACCTGTTTCCCCTTTTTGCTTTCCCCTCCTCCCACCAGCCTGACTCCTTTTTACTAATTAGGACTCCAGACCCAGCTCTGTCCCTGTACTCACCTCACCCTTCTCGGCCTTATCCGCTTCCTCTGTGGAATAAGGGGATCTGCCACCAGATTCTCACGCTATCTGGATGATAGAAGCCCCACATGCCACTCGGTGCATGTAGCAATATGACCTACTCAGCACATTGTGGATTTCTAAATAAATTTAGAATAATTTCTAAATAAATTAACTTTTAGGATAAGAAATAAAAAGAATTTTTTCCAGCAAAGAGAGGGGGAAATATAGGCCTTATCTTTATAGTCAAATACCAAACAAGGGACCTGAGCCATTGGAGGGGAAGAGGGGCAGCTGTTGATCACAGTTCGTCTGTCCCAGGGTCTCACCTAAGAGTCATCTGTTGCCTATTCAGTTAGAGAGCATAATAGGTACAATGATTTAAGAAAAATATACGGGAGGGCTGGGCACAGAGGATCACACCTATAATCCCAGCACTTGGAGAGACAGAGGTGGGAGGATCACTTGAGCCCAGGAGTTCAAGGCCAGCCTGGGCAACATAGTGAGACCTCCTGTCTGCAAATAAAAGAAAACAAAAATAGCTAGGAATGGTGGCATGTGTCTGTGGTCCCAGCTACTCAGGAGGCTGATGTGGGAAGATTGCTTGAGCCTGGGAGGTCGAGGCTGCAGTGAGCCATGACAGCACCACTGCACTCCAGCCTGTGTGACAGAGCAAGACCTTGTCTCAATAAAATAATATTAAAAGAAAAAGAAAAAAAATAAGTGGGAGAAAACTCAGAATTGAGAAAATCGTTCTTATTAACTTTCTTCCTGTGACTTGGGGGAAAGATTGGCTGCTAATTGATTGCAATTCTGGAGCCAGAGAAAACCCATTTTCTAGGCTGAGGATCACTTGCTAGACAGTCTCCAAAGCTCCTTCCACCTGTTAAGTGTCTAAGATTCCACAAAGTGACACCTACCTCCTCCAGGGGCTAAAGTCACCTGAAATACTACAGCGTGGGCTCCCAAGGCGAGGCTGCCTCCCTAGAAGCGTGAAATGAAATGAATGGCTTTGTTTTATTTTTTAATTAAATAAAGTCCTTGGGCAGAAGCTTGAAACAGATGAGACATCTAAAGAGGCAAGCTATGCTCTTCTAAGGGAGCCAAAGGAGAGTGTGTGGAAGGGCCAGCTAGACCTTGCAACCTCAGAATGAAAGTATTCGTGAAGAGTCAGGCATGCAAACCATCCCTTAGGCAGCAGAGCGGGAAAGATGAATTGATGGCCCTGCGGTCTCCACCACCCTTTCCTACCTGGGAAGTCTAGTGTCTGTAATTACTCCTGTTGGCCTCTAGATGGCAGTCGGGGAAAACAAAACTCTGATGGGGCCGAGCCACAGAAACTAACAAAAGGTTGGAATAAAGCTACAAAACAAATATGATTTTTTAAAAATACAGCAGAATAAGGGTAAATAGATAAAATGTGAAGAAAACTAACCAATGACTTCCTGCATATAATACACAACCAATGCTTTAGGAGAAATCTCATTCAAAGCTACTTAATTTAGAATTCTGAAACCAAATTCACAGCTTACTTGGGTACGTTTTTAATAGTCCACAGTCACAATGCCAATATTTATGCTTCACTTTATGCAATAAATGTTATTGTACTAAGCAGCTTTTGAAAGTCTCTCTAAATTCTAAAGATCCCCTGAATATGCTCTTTTATTTTGCAGTGGGGGGCAGGGGAAGGGTGAACTACACCTTGATTTTTTTTTTCAACTTTTAAGTTTGGGGTACCTGTGCAGAATGTGCAGGTTTGTTACATAGGTAAATGTGTGCCATGGTGGTTTGCTGCACAGACCATCCCATCACCTAGGTGTTAAGTCCAGCATCCATTAGCTATTCTTCCTGATGCTCTCCCTCCATGACTTACCCACAACAGGCCCCAGTGTGTGTTGCTCCTCCCAAGTGTCCATGTGTTCTCATCATTCAGCTCCCACTAATAAGTGAGAACATGCAGTGTTTGGTTTTCTGTTCCTGCATTAGTTTGCTGAGAATAATGGCTTCCAACTCCATCCGTGTCCCTGCAAAGGACATGATCTTATTCCTTTTTATGGCTTCATAGTATTCCATGGTTTATATATACATTTTCTTTATCCAGTCTGTCACTGATGAGCATTCAGGTTAATCCCACGTCTTTACTATTGTGAATAGTGCTGCAGTGAACATACGTGTGCATGTATCTTTATAATAGAATGATTTATGTTCCTTTGGGTACATACCCAGTAGAGGGATTGCTGGGTCAAATGGTATTTCTGCCCCTAGGTCTTCGAGGAATCACGATGCTGTCTTCCATAATGGTTGAACTCATTTACATTCCCACCAACAGTGTAAAAGTGTTCCTTTTTCTCCACAACCTCACCAGCATCTGTTGTTTTTTGACATTTCAGTAATAGCCATTCTGACTAGTGTGAGAAGGTACATTATTGTGGTTTTGATTTGAATTTCTCTAATGATCAGTGATATTGAGGTTTTTTTCACTTGTTTTTTGACCACATATATGTCTTCTTTTGAGAAGTGTCTGTTCATGTCCTTTGCCCACTTATCTTTTTTTCTTACAAATTTGTTTAAGTCCCTTGTAGACTCTGGATGTTAGACCTTTGTTAGATGGATAGATTGCAAAAATTTTCTCCCATGATTCCCTGAATACACTCTTGATAAGCAGAATATGAAAATTCAGCTTTTGCAATTTGAATCATATTTTCCAGTAGATTTTAACACGATCTTTATATTGATTGTTCTAAGCCCTGCAGTTCTAGCCCTTTGGAACTAATATTTGAAATAAGCTCAGGGATATTCTCTGGATCCACGCTCTCATAGGAGAACCTGTTGGTGGTTCCATTTTCTCCCCTGGGAGGCTCCTCTGGGGGGTGTTGGTGCTGCAGGAGTGACAGGTGTGTAGCAGGTGTGGGTGAGCTGTGCTGACAGCAGTGGAGGGACCTGTGTGTCCTGAGTCCTCAAATGAGGCAGCAAATCTGCTAGATGCATCCTGGGATGCTGAACTGCGGAGGACTTCTTCCCAAGTACCGGCCCGCAGCCCAGTAACACAGCGCTTGGGCCGCCCAAGGCCACTTCCTGTTGGGGAAGAGAGAGAGACTTCAAGTGCAGAACTTGGTGACAGAGCGCTGAGGCCAAGTGGCTGTTGGGACTGATACCCAAACAAAAAGAAGGCAGACCTCACATCTCAGGTCAGTCACCACTGACACAACCCAGCACCTGACGGCACCTGGGACATCTGACAAACGCAGAAGCCAAAACCCAAATGACAGACGTTCAGAGGGATGAATTCCTGCTGGCAACTTGTGCACCGAAAACATCAGAAATATGCAGCTCAGAAAAAAAAAAAAAAGGTGATTGACCGTCCAAAGTGTCTACTTTTGAAAATTATTTCTTAAAGTTAACATTTTTCACAAAAACATAAATTCATTGGGTTAGAATCGACCCCAAGAAATCACCTGGTCTAGTGTCTAATTCTTACCTCCAGAAGGAGCAGCTCTTAAGCCATGCCAAGCAAAACAAAACAAGACCAACAAAACCACCTGCCCCTTCCCTTTCTTCGAGTTTCTAGAGGAGATTTGACCAGGAACCGCTGCTTTTTTCCCTTCGCCATTAGTACATCGTTGTTAACGTCTGACTGTGGATTAAAACAGACCTGGATTAGAATTCATACTTCTCCATGTACAGGCTGTGCACACTTAAGCACTACCTAACTCTCAGAGCCGCACTTTCTCCATCTGTAAAATGAATACCAGGATATGCACCAATTAGAGGTGCTGCAAGGCTTGAATAAAAAAAATATGTTAACAGCTATACGTGATGCTTGGCCACTATGAATAGCCAATCCATAAACACTTGGCCCCTTGTCTTCCCTCCTCCCTGTCAGGAATAGTTGGGTTATCATAATAACTCCCCCAATATCATAATAATTGGGGGAACACTACTAAAGTTTAATGGTCAGATGTTCCACTTTGCTTATGTCAGCCCTGTAAAGTGAAAAATCATCCCATGTCCTAGACGATTTCCAAGTATACAGCTGAACATTCATACAGGTGAAAAACCCACAGGTAATGATCTCAGCCCAAACACAAATTTTGCAGACAAATGTAGGCATTTTTTGTTTTATTTTATTTTATGTAGAGATGGCAGTCTCGCTATGTTGCCCAGGCTGGTCTCAAACTCCTGGCCTCAAGGAATCCTTCTGCTTCAGCCTTCCAAAGTACTGGGATTACAGGTCTGAACCATCATGCCCAATTAGGCCTTTTTATTAACATGGTTATAAGTATATGACATTTTCTCGTACATTTTGTTGTCAATCAAGGGTAGACTTTTTGTGTGTGTTGTTTGTAACTTGGCCAAGAATTGTTGACAATTTTGTAAAATCAGATTAATAATGTTAATGCCCCCAGAAGTATATAAATCATGAACACAGCATACCTATGTCAGTACATATTGTAGTGGTTAAGTTCCTGAAGATTCCTCACAGAGAGAAATGGACTCTACTGATTCCTTATGTCACAGTTGTTGCACTGCATAGATTTAAAAATAAATTTTGGGTTGCAATTTCAAAATAGTAAAAAGACTTTTTAAAAAATATTGTATTGATAAGCAAATGGGGTCACTGGGTGTGACAGGGCTGAGGGCCCTTGCAGTTGCAAAAGCTTGGACTTCCCAGCCAACCAGCCCTGGAAGGTTCTCCGTGGCCTCCCACTCCATTCATTCATTTGCAGGAGCAGCCCTTCATTGGGGGGATCCCAGGGGCTGCCCCTAGGGGCCCCTCTCATGCACCATCGGCATCAGGCCTTGATGCTTAGAAGCAGCCGGCTCTGAGTGAGTGTGGATGTGGCTGCCTTCCCTGCTGATCCCCAGGGAAATCCCCTAGCATTCCCCACTCACCTGAACTTGACTTTCCCTCCAGCCACAGGCCCTAAGAGAAGCCAATGATCTTCCTCCTCGCTGCCTGTCGCTGAGAGGGGAAGATCGCCAGGGGATCCAAGGCCAAAGCCCAGTGCTCTGGGGCAGTCCCAGCTGGGATCCCACTTCCTCATTTGCTCTCTTCCGTTCCCCTGCCAGCTAAGGTTGTCAGGCTTAGCAAATACATCTGCAGTATTTGAGATATGCTTCTACTAAGCCATGCGATGTTTAAGATATCTAATACAAAAAAAAAATTGTTGTCAATCTGAAACTCAAATTTAACCAGCATCCTGTATTTTCTCTGGCACTCCTACTCCCCATGCCTCTCTGGAGTTGAGAGGTAAGAGGCCAGCAGGGAAAGAGGTCTGGCAGTCACCTGCCTCAAACTTCGGCTGAAGAGGCAAGAGCTGCCCTGGGGGGCCTGTTGCTCTCTTCATTCCCAGAACCAAATGCTGTCCTCAAGTTATCCCCAGTCCCCCCTTCTCCTGAGTAAGGAGCATTATATTTAGGGTAGGAAAACACCAGTATGACTTTTATACTGATGATCTCCAAGATCTTCTAATTTTAAAGTGAAACAAGGAGATACATAACCTTTGTGATCCCAAGAGAATGGCTGCATGAAGCTGTATGGATTCCCTGATAATGCTAGTCTCAGAATCAGGGCACAATGGCAGGATCTTAGGGATCATCCGCTGCACCAGCCCATCTTACAGGTGAGCAAACTGAGGCCAGAAAAACCAAGTGACTTCCTCTTGAGTCCCAGAACAGCATTCTTTCTAGGCTGCTATATGAATAAGACAAAGGGGGGGGTCTTTTCTTCATGGAAGTCCCTTCTCTCTCACTAGAGCGAGAGCTGTTTTCCTTTCTCTGTCTTTTGCCTATTAAATCTCTGCTCCTAAACTCCTGTGTATGTCTGTGTGCTAAATTTTCTTAGCACAAGATGATGGACCCAGGTATTTACCACAGACAACATAGCTGCTTCACTGACATGTCAGCAAAAGGGACACAACTGGAGATACTGGTTATTTTACCAAGGCTTTGACTGGAATGGTGAAATTTGCTTTAAGGAATCAAACTTGACTTATAGAGCCAATACAAGCTCCTTGGGAAAACTGGCCTCACACCTTGTCTACACAGTCCCTGTACAGGGTTCCTGACCTTTGGCTGACACAGCAAGAAAGCCCTCACCAGATGCTGATCCCTCAGTCTTGGACTTCTCAGCCAACAGAACCATGAGCAAATAAATTTCTGTTGATTATAGATGGAAAAAAAAAAGGCAAAGGGGATCCTACATTACAGTCCCAGTGGGCAAAGCAGTCAGCCCCTAAACTTCCTATGCAACTCTTGAATCTCCAAAAAAGTTATAAGCAGATGCATCACAAAGAAAACTCTGTCTATGGGGCAATAATCAGCTATCAGCAAATCTTGATACTTTGAAGGTGGAACCCAGGGACTGTGGAAATAAATAAGGATCTTCTAATTCTAGATTTTCTTGAAGGCAAAAACTTTGTGAGGCTTACATAAAATGTGTGACATGGAGTACATGCCCTCTGCTTTCAACAGTGAGGGTCTCTTCAATCTTGTACTAGTCCCTGGAGGGCTTTAGCACCCTCCCAGTGGCTAACTTACGACATTGTATTTCCTAGAATCTAGGCAGGTGTCTCAACCTTAGTGCTGAATAATTCTTTCTCACAGGGCACTGATAATTCTGTGTCTTGTAGAATGTCTAGCAGCATCCCTGACCTCTACCCATTAGATGCTGGCTGCATCCCCACTCAGTGACATTCAAAAATGTCTTCTAAACATCTGCACTAATATGTTTATCACAGCTCTATTCACAATAGCAAAGATATGGAATCAACCTAAGTGTTTAGCAATGGAGAATTGGACAAAGAAAATATGATATATATATCATTATACTATATATAGAATAATTATATATTATTGTACATATAATTGTATATAAAATATTTAACTATTATATATAATATATTAATATAATATAGTATATATAGTGTATACATAGTATAACATATAGTATATATTTATATATTATATTTATATATTATAGTAATATAATAATATATAATATATAATTATTATGTATATAATATAATATATTGTTTATATAATGTAATATATTAAATGTTATTATATATTACATAATATATTATGTACATGTATACTAATATATAATATATTATATAATTATATATAATATATACACACATCATGAAATACTATTCAGCCATAAAAAAGAATGAAATCATGTCTTTTGCAGCAACATGGATGGAACTAGAGGCCATTATCCTAAGTGAAATCACTCAGAAACAGTCAAATATGGAATGTTTTCATTTATAAGTGGGAGCTGAAGAGTGGGTACACATGGACACACAGAATAGAATCACAGATATTGGAGACTACAAAAGGTGGGAGGGTTGGAGGGGGTGAGTGTTGAAAAATTACCTATTGGGTACAATGTTCACTATTCAGGTGATAGGTACACTAAAAGCTAAGACTTCATCACTATGCAAAATACACATGTAAGAAACCTGCACTTGCACCTCTCAAATACCTAGGAACAAAAAATAAACTTAGGCCGAGCTGGGGGTGGCTCACATCTGTAGTCCCAGCACTTTAGGAGGCCTAGATGGGTGGATTGCTGGAGCTCAGAAATTCGAGACTAGCCTGATCAACATGGCAAAACCCCGTCTCTACCAAAAATGCAAAAATTAGCCAGGTGTGGTGGCTCACGCCTGTAATCCCAACTGCTCAGGAGGCTGAGGCAGGAGGATTGCTTGAATCTGGGGAGGTGGAGGTTGCAGTGAGCCTTGATCACGCCACTGCACTCCAGCTTGGGTGACAGAGTGAGACCACAACTCAAAAAAAATTGAAATAAAATATATAAAATTTTAAAGTCTTCAAGCCTGGCATGGTGGGACACCTCTGTAGTCCTAGCTACTTGGGAGGCTGAGGCAGAAGGATCACTTGAACCCAGGAGTTGGAGGCTGCAGTGAGCCAAGACCCTCTCTCTAATTAATTTTTTTTTAAAAAGTCTTCAGACATTACTTATTGCCCTCTGCCCATTGAGAATCACAGATCTGAAGCATTGGACCAGTTCTTGCTGTACTGCTGAGTATGACATCCTGCCTGGGTCCTTGTGATGGCCAAAGAAACACACTTGGTTCAGCCTCACCAGTGAGTCCTTCAGGCAAAACTCAAACCCCAATACTCCAGCTGTCAGGACCAACACCCAGATGTGCCTGAGGAGACACGATCATCTCAGTGGAAGTCTTTGCACACAGCCACCAAAAGCTTATAGCCTGGTAAACCCATCTGCTCACATCACTGGCCACAAAAGCAAGTGCGAGCTACAGACTCCATTGGAAGCAATCATCTCTGGCCTCCTCTATGTCTTCCATTGCCCAAGACCCTGGACACCTCGCTCCAGACCACAGCTGCACAACTGCCGCTGCGCTTTTCATTTTGGTCACTCTCCAGATGGTCCGTCTAGCTTCTTGGCCTGTAACATTCTCATATCTAAGCCCTCCTTCTGGCTACTGTGCCTCCTTTGACTCAAAGGAGAGACTCCTTGCTCCTGTCCCAGCCAGCCACAACTCCCCGAAAAGCAAGGGTGTGTGGGATTCAGACAGAGTTTAAGAAACCAGCAAGAGTACACAGGTGCCCCAGCAGTTTCCATTCCTGACACCGGTAAACAAATCCAGAGGTTCCTTCTGAGCTTCCCACTCGGCTTCAGAAGGGCCACCGGGACTGGGAACAGCTCCAAGAGGAAGAACGGAGGGGAAATGAGAAGAATGTTTGTATTGTTTCATGTTTCACAAAGACCTGTCAGGGTGAGCAGTAACCCACGCCAACAGGGCTTAGTCAAGCAACCAGTACCGGCCAACGGACAGTGAAACTGAAAGGAAAACTTGCAGAGCTTTCGTGGAAAGTCCATCAGTGAGAATGTCCTGGATGAATACGGTGTAAACTGTCTCCCAGGCCCTGTTTCATTTTTCCTTAGATGTCAATGGGAAACCACACATTTGCAGAATCAATTGTTTCTGCTTTCTAGAAGAAAGCGTCCTTTGAGATTAGCAGCATAACAATAAATACGTAATTAAATAAATAAGGAAAAACAATTCACAGGTTCCAAGGATTAGAAGGACAAAAAATAAATAGTGGCTGGATGTGGTGGCTCATGCCTGTAATCCCAGCACTTTGGGAGGCTGAGGCGGGTGGAGACCATGAGACCAGCGTGGTCAACATGGTAAAACCCCATCTCTACTAATAATACAAAAATTAGCTTGGCATGGCAGTTTGCACCTGTAACCTCAGCTACTTGGGAGGCTGAGGCATGAGAATTGCTTGAACCCGGGAGGTGGAGGCTGCAGTGAGCCAAGATTGCACCACTGCACTCCAGCCTGGGTGACAGAGTGAAACTGGGTCTCAAAAAAAAAAAAAAAAAAGACAAAAAATAAATAAGAAGAATAAATTAAAAAATAATAAAAGAAAGAGATTAGCAGGGTGGAAGCAGACGGCACAGAGAAGAGGGGGCACCGGCCCCCAGATGGGCTGTGGGAGCAATGCCAAGGTTGGAGGTGGTGGGAGAAAGGCGGAATCTCTATAGCCTGATAGAGGTTGAAGATGCTTTTGCAAAGCTAGTGTACTTAATTAATTGCGGGAAACAAAGGGTCTTTCTGATCCATACAAAGTATACTTTCATTGGGTAACCTGATCATTAAAAGAGATTTCAACTAAGACAGATGATGAGGACCTTCCAAAAGTCAGTCACTCGACAGACGTCCAAAGTGCCAGTGCCCAGTAAGAACGCACGCTGTCTCGCCCAGGTGGCATGAAACGCCATGAGGCCCTGGAACAAGGGTTACAATTATTTTCTTCTTTAAAAAATTTTTTATTTGTATAAATGTATGTGGTGCAAGTGTAACTTATTACAGGGATATATTGCATAGTGGTAAATTCGGGGCTTTTAGTGTATCCATCACCCGAATAATGTACACCGTACCTATTAAGTAATTTCTCATCACCCCCCTTCCTCTAAGTCTCCAATCTCTATCATTTCACACTCTATGTCCATGTGTGTACATTATTTTATTATTATTATTTTTTGAGACAGGGTCTTTCTCTGTTGCCCAGGCTGGAGCACAGTGGTGTGATCACAGCTCACTGAAGCCTCAACTTCCCAGGCTCAATCAATCCTCCAGCCTCAGCCTTCTGAGTAGCTGGGACCACAGATATGCACCGCCATACCCCAAAGAGATGGGGTTTTGCCATGTTGCCCAGGCTGGTCTTGAACTTCTGGGCTTAAGTGATCTGCCCGTCTTGGCCTCCCAAAATGCTGGGATGACAGGTGTAGCCACCGTGCCCAGCCCTGCACACATTATTTAGCTCCCACTTATAAGTGATCTCAGCCCTTGTTGCTGCTGTTTCTTGAGAAGGGAAATTGAATTTCTAATATGCAGGGGATCTCTTCCCTAATTTCCTGCACTGTTATGGAGTCTTTTCTGTTTTTCATATTTCTTCATCAATTCATCGGAGGTCTAGAAAGGAGATGCCTTGGGCTATCATTTTACTCAGAAACTGTCTTTTTTTTTTAATCTTTTATCAAAATTCCTCTCTTGTCTGTTGACTTCTGGGTAGAATCCCAAGCTCACAGGACAGACTACATGGATCATTAGATTTAGCCAAAAAGAAAAAAGGACTTGTGCTGGAAAGTCAGGAAAACAGACTGAAGGGCTATAGCAGGAGGATGTGGGAGGTAGCTAGGGCCCCCTACTGGCCAAAGTGGGGATAATGTAAAAATCAAACCAAGTGGTGTAGAACAAGAATCCATGAGTTCATATTGATATAAACGAATAAATGAAAAATAAATAATAAATTGATTAGGGAGAGGGAAACCCTTCCTTATAGCAGCGTGCAAGCTGATAAATGTGGAAAGAATGAAGGAATTAGAAATGTATTAATACCAAATGCTGGGCCAGGCACGGTGGCTCATGCCTGTAATCCCAGCACTTTGGGAAGCTGAGCCGGCAGATCACGAGGTCAAGAGATCAAGACCATCCTGACCAACATGGTGAAACCCCGTCTTTGCTAAAAATACAAAAATTAGCTGAGTGTGGTGGCATGCGTCTGTAGTCCCAGCTACTCGGGAGGCTGAGGCAGGAGAATCGCTTGAACCCAGGAGGTGGAGGTTGCAGGGAGCTGAGATCGCGCCAGTGCACTCCAGCCTGGGCGACAGAGCGAGACTCCATCTCAAAAAAAAAAAAAAAAAGCTAAACCTGGTGGGTGAAGTTTTGATACGAGCAAGATATTTACTTAGTCTCAAAGTATTGCTCCACAAGTTACTTTTTAATTTTTTTTGTGTGTGTGTGTGTGTGACAGGGTCTGTCTCTGTTGCCCAGGCTGGAATGTAGTGGTGAAAATATGGCTTATGGCAGCCTCGACTTCCTGGGCTCAAGTGAATCCTCCTGTCTCAGTCTCCCAAAGTAAAGAGGTTACAGGCATGAGCCACTGCGCCAGGCCTACTTTAAATTATAAGGGAAAAAAATTAGTGACTTTATTTGGAAGAAAGCTAACGAACACTACCTTTACACAAAAGAAGATTTTTTGGCTTGATAAGGTGATAAGGTGAGCAAAAGGCCAGGTGGAGCTTAGAAAAATGTATAAGAAGGGTTGCATCAGTAAGGACTTGTAATTAAATCTCTGAAAATAGCAGAAAAACAAATTAAACAGAGGCCTCTTCCCTCTGGCGCTCCAGATAATTGAATCTTGCTGCCCAAGCAAGCTGAAACAGGGCAGCATGGAATAAAACCACTTGGCATGTGGGTAATTCTGTTATTTCCAAAGGACTTTCCCAAATATCATCTTGCTTTATGCTATTTCTCACAGCAATTCTGTGATGCAAAGCAGCTATCTCCCGTGTAAGCCATCTCCTGATTTACATATGAGCACACTCAACCCAGAGGGTACGTGACTTGCCCAAGGTCACACAACAGAGCCAGGATGTGACCCCATGCTGCTGGCACCATGGCCAGTGTCCCACCGCACTGACCCGTCACTTGAGCTCACTTGCACCATCCCTGAAAAATGTCAGGTGATTCCTACATCACAAAGAAAAATATTTTTGAGGGGGTAAGAAAAACCCATTAATATCGCTTTTTAGTCCCGTTTCATCCATACACTTAATCTGGATCACTCTACTCCTTTTGATAAATTGCCTGAAAATAGGGAACTAACATCAGAAAGGTAAAACTCATGAACAGAAAGAGTCTTTCCTGAAATGCTAATGAAGCCAATTGTGAAGGAGTAAAAAGCTTCGGAGATTGTATCTGGAAAAGCCAGGGAGACAAACACCATTCAAACGCCGCTCCATCTCTCCTCTCAGGAGCCCAGGGATGTTCCTCTCTGCTCTTTTCTTTGGTTGTGGTACAATGTGCACGAAGCAGTTGGTGGAAAAATCATCCTCGTGGGTACTTTCCTGCTTGTCTTCATTGTTCATATTTTCATATTGATCACAAATCAATCCCTTGCTTTTTGAAGTTAATGTCATGGTTGATTTTTTTTTTGTTTTTTGAGACATTGTCTACACGATCAGTTGACACCTTGAAAGCAGGCTGGTCTTGAAAGTATGAGTTCCCTTTTAACTGATGGCCCTTTCCTGGGATAATGAATGAACTCAACTTCGGGTTCGAGTTGCTCCAACAACCCACTTCCAGCCACAGAACTCCCATGAGAGCCTCTGCAGCCTGGGCCCCTCCAGCTCATAGGGATGCCCACCCAAGTCAAGTGCTTCTAAATGAGCGACCTCCTCAAAAGAAAGCACAGGAGAAAGCAGGAATCAGTAAGACTTTTCTGGTTTTCTCTTCAAATATTAACAAGTTGACACTTAAGAAGATAAGGCAAACTCTTAGAGCCAGAGGATAAAAAAGGCTCCTTCATGCTGCTTTCAACTCATTAGAACACGTGCCACTTACCATGCAGCCTTCTGCTGTCTCTCGTCAGCAGTACAAGCCTCAGCCCCTAATCCTGCCTGGCTGCTGAAGGATTAGACCCAGCACTTAGTATTTAACCTGCTCCTCCCCTGCAGATCTTGTGGATTTGGTTTTTCTTTTATGGGTTGCAAAAGCAAAATAATAATCCCAGATACCTGTCACTTCAGCCAAGGGAGATTTATTACTTTTAATCAAAGGATATTTGTTATAAAAGGAGTTATGTATACATGAATACACACACAGATACACTCATATTTATGCATGTGTACAGACAGACACACATCAGCAAACCTAAGGCCCCATGTGGGGGACTCAGGGCACTGTCTGTTCCCCTCCTCCACTGATGGATTTTTGTTCACAGTTTGTCATCTGTGTCCTGGAGGCCACCAAAGGCTCATGTGCCCTCATAGCGTGGTGACATCTTAACCTCTAACACTTTTGTGTGATCATTTGAAAAGGTACTGAAAAACTGGAAAGTCAACATTGAAAAAAAAAATGACAGGCCAGGCGTGGTGGCTCACTTCTGCAATCCCAGCTACTCGGGAGGCTGAGGCAAGAGAATGCCTTGAGCCTAGGAGTTTGAAATTGCAGTGAGCGATGATTGCACCACTGCACTCCAGCCTGGGTGACAGAGCGAGACCCTGTCTCTATCAAAAAAAAAAAAAATCCCTCATCACTTATTCCTGAGTCTGTCCAAGCCAACGAGGTCATTGACCTTACAATTGCTAGCAAGAGGGGTGAGGAGAGGACAAAGGAGGAGCAAAGGCAATAAAGTCAGTGATTAGGTGGACACCAGGTGGGTGTCCAAGTCAATATGGAAGGTGAAGGCATTAAGAAACAAGAAATTGAAAATCTAAAAAGAAAAAAAAAATTTAAAGCACAGCCATTCTTTTGCTGACTTATTTATTTCTCTACCACCTAAGCCCCTCTCGTAGGGAAAAGAGGCTGCATCCCAGCACTCAGAAGCACAGACTTACCCGTCCTTCTGAGCACATGAGCCCTAGGTGTTTCAAACAGCCTTGCAGACAGCCATAGCACCTAGCACTGTGCTGAGCATGCGGTAGCCTCTCCGTAACTGTTTGCAGAATTGAATTTAATAGCCAAGTGCTAGAATTATGTTCAAGTTAAAAGGGGTTACCAACATAAATCAGAACTGATGCAGTGTGGCGACGATTGCTGGTCATCTTCTAATCCCAGCTTCCCATCCTCCTTGGTGACGGGCCACCTCTGCACAGCTGGAGGAATGGTACATCAGAGTGCATCTTCTTTTTATTTTATTTTTTAGAGACAGGGCCTCACTCTGTCACCCAGGCTGGAGTGCAATGGTGCTGTCATAGCTCATTGCGGCCTTGAATTCTGGGTTCAAGCGATCCTCCTGCCTCAGCCTCCCAAGTAGCTGGGACTACAGGGGTGAGACACTGCACCTGGCCAGAGCACCTTATTCTTGCTATTTCTTGCTCATCGGTTTGACTAATGTGATGTCATCAATATAGTGTGATATTGGTTTTGATTTAATGTCTTGGCCTGGGTGAGAGGGTGGTTTCAGTGCCATCCACTGGGCCTTTCCTATTATAACATTATTTTCTTGCTTTACAGATCAAGAGACCAATATGACAGTTCCACTAACTGGTAAGTATGTCCATTCCAATTATACATTCAGTAACTGGCAAACTGACCCCCAGGTGGGTCTGTGGACCTGAGCCAGGACTTCATTTATCACAGGCTCCTGTGATGGTTAATACTGGGTGTCAACTTGATTGGATTGAAGGATGCAAAGTATTGATCCTGGGTTTGTCTGTGAGAATGTTGCCAAAAGAGATTAACATTTGAGTCAGTGAGCTGGGGAAAGCAGATCCACCCTTAATCTGGTGGGCACAATCTAGTCAGCTGCCAACAAATATAAAGCAGGCAGAAAAACATGAAAAAGAGAGACTGGTCTAGCCTCCCAGCCTCCATCTTTCTCCCATGCTGGATGCTTCCTGCCCTCAAACATCAGACTCCAAGTTCTTCAGTTTTGGAACTCGGACTTGTTTTCCTTGCTCCTTAGCTTGCAGACAGCCTATTGTGGGACCTTGTGATTGTATAAGTTAATATTTAATAAACTCCCCTTTATATATATGTATATGTATATATATACACACACACACATATATGTATATGTATAAACACACACACACACACACACACACACACATATATATATATATATATATCCTATTAGTTCTGTCCCTCTAGAGAACCCTGACTAATATAGTTCCCATATATCCTTAACTGAACAGGAAGACCTATATTGCTTTGAGTGTCAACCTTAATATTCTAACAGCATTAGAGAAATCTGGGCATTCTGCTTTCCCCATTGCATGGTGATCTGAGTACATGGCTATAGATAACTTTGGGGAAGGTCTGGGGAAATTACCTCTTTCTACATCTGCCATAGGATGGCAGGTGTTTCCCACAGGGACCCAGCCTTTCCTTCAATAGATGGGTTCCAGGTGCAAGAACTGGCTTAGGTCTGGAAAGCAAGCAAGGGATCATGACTTTCCATTTGGGGTAGCTGACCTCATCCTTCTGCTCATCCCTGCTTGGTCTTTAAGATCAACATGACACACATTATAATATATTTATTCCAACTTTTGTTGGCTACCCATCTCTCTTGCTCCTACTAATATCATTTTCTTTTGCTGTCTCCATAGATCTTTGCAGATCAACACTCCCTGGATACGTTTTCAACCTTTCTATTCATTAAGGTGACTTGCTTCTGATGGTTCAGCACTGCAGGTGGCCTCTCCTCTTCAAGGACCCTTTCATCCCTGTTGCTGTTAGAGGCTCCAGTTCTGTAACAGCATCTCCTCTCTAGGGAACAGCCTCCCCCCACCCGCTCTGAGCTTCTCTGCAGTGCTGGCGCTCCCAAAAACTCACTCCTTGGTGTCTTGGTACACGAGTCTCCTCCAGATCCTGCCGAGAATCAGGCTGGGGAGAGCAGATCCAACTGGCACGCTCAGTTCTCTAGGCCTTCCTCCACAGTCTGCCTGGAAACTTTTTCCAGGCTTCCAACTGTCATATTAGAACAGGCTCCCAGGAACTAAGAAAAGGTCTTTAAAAGATATAAAATCTTTCAGCCTCAGAGAAACACATACAAAAAAAAAATCAGTTATTAACTCCAAGAAACAAAACTTACACCAAAGTTTAGGCTGACCAATGTGAAATTGCCATCTTCATAAGTCAAAATAGATGGATACTGACCATGTCAAGTAGTTTAATCAGATATCATCAGAGGACATTACTACTTGGCTTACCAGTGACCAGCATTTACTTATTAAATTTTCAAAAACTTTAACGAAGACATCAGCACATTAACATTAAACAAAAATTGTGCTATAACAATACAGGGGGAGTTGGGCATGTTGGCTCATGCCTGTAATCCCAGCACTTTGGGAGGTCGAGGTGGAAGGATCACTTAAGGCCAGAAGTTTAAGACCAGCCTGGGTAACATAGCAAGACCCTATTTCTCTAAAAAAAAAAAAAAAAAAAGGGATAAAACGAAGTAGAAAAAAACTAAAACGGTCAATTATTATGATAGGAAGTCAAAACAATGCATATTGGCATATTATCTAAAAGGTATGAATCAGTAAGTAGATAGCAGAAAATAAGTCCAGAGGATTCAGTCTTTTAATGCTATTTGATGATGTGTGTGTGTTGCTGTAATAAAAATAGTCTTTTTTTTTTTTTTTTTAAGAAATGATCATCTTATGGTGGGGCTAGAACAATACCTGTAACCACAGGGTAAAGGAGATTCTATCCCGTAATTCATGAACCTGGTGCTGAGGAGCTCAGGGGAGCTCACGGGAGGAAGGCCCTGCAGCACATTTCTGGGCTCTGCTGCCTGTCATAGCCTGGTCATAATCTGGTGAAGCGGTTGTCCTTATCCAACCAGAAGCTCCCCTGGCAGATCACAAGGTCTCTTTAGACCAACATCCAATGACAGAGGCTGGGGGATGCTGATGCCTAACTTCAGCTCCATCTCTGATGAAAAGATGCTTCCAGGCTGGGCACAGTGGCTCACGCCTGTAATCCCAGCACTTTGGGAGGCCGAGGCAGGCAGATCACCTGAGGTCAGGAGTTCAAGACCAACCTGGCTTTCAACATGGTGAAACCCCATCTCTACTAAAAATACAAAAATTAGCTGGGCTTGGTGGCATGTGCCTGTAATCCCAGCTACTTGGAAGGCTGAGGCGAGAGAATCGCTTGAACCCGGGAGGCAGAGGTTGTAGTGAGCCAAGATTGTGTCACTGCACTCCAGCTTGGATGACAGAGCCAGGATCCATCCTAAAAAAAAGAAAGAAAATGCTTCCAACCTTTGGGGGAGGTCCCTTGCCACAGTTCTGAAGGTTGGGGAAGTTCATAAATCATGTTTTTCCTCAAAATAATTTATGCAACATATCTCAGAGGAGGCAGCCTTTTAAAGACTCTTTCCACCTGTACAGGAAACTAACATTCTGATATTGCTGGAGGAGGGCCTGGGGAGGGTGTATAGGTTTCCTTTGGGGCTGTTGGAAGGTGTGCTAGAAGCACGTTGACCCAGTTTGCTGTGCAACTCTTTGCTCCAGCCATCGAGGTCATCTTGCTGTTCCTGAACACACTACAGTCTTGCCACTTAGGTCCTGACTATGTCCACACTGCTTGCCTTCCCTGGAATGCTCTTCCCTTCTTGGCTCTTCCCCTAAATGCATCCCCTTCCTTGAAGGTTTTGTAACACAGGGATTCAAGGCTTTAGATTTGCTCAAATCTGGGTTTGGATGTAGAAGGGCAAATCCCTTAATCTCCTTGAGCCTCACTCCCCTCCTTTGTAAAATGGGAATAAAAGCTGCAGCTCTACCATGAGGCTACTGTGTTGATTAATATGAAAATCATGTCCAGGAAGTGCTCAATGAGCACTAGCTGCTTTTAGCCAAATCCTTCTTTATAGAGAATAATCAAGGTGGGAAGGAACCTCAGGGAGATCATCTTTCCTTTTACAGATTAAGAAATTGAGGCCCAGAAGGCTTGAATGGTTTACTTAACACAACTGGTTCTAGACCCCAAGTCCAACAGCAGTTGGTGCGGCCATCAGCCTCGTGAGGTCATACTGTTTCTTCTTCATGAAGAAGTCTCTGTCCTCTTCATTTCGCAATAGCACCCCTCTCTGGAATCTGGGCATAACAACTGCATCCCTTTGTTATTATTGACATTATCTTTTTTTTAAAAGGACTGCATCACTTTGAAAACCTGAATTATCATATTTATATTCATACGCATCTTCCCAGGTGCATCAAAAGTTCCTTAGGAGCAGGTCCATGTCGGATGCATCTTTGGATTCACTCACTGTGCCTAGGACAAGGCTAGCACTTAGAAGGAAATCAACAAACTCTCTCAATGTTTGACGAAATCAAGCTGTGAAACCAGTTCCAGAACAGAATCTGGTTTCTCCATTTCCTTGAGGTTAAGTCTGGGCCAACAAGAGGCACTAACATGCCCACTTCTCTGTAACAGCATGCACCATTTTGAAAGGTCCCTGCTCACTCAACACATTGAAATCACAATAGGAGAATGGCTTCCTTCCGTTGAAATCAAACTGGGTGGCTCACCTGTGCTTTTTGTATTCACATTTCATAGAAAACACCTTTATCACTGCTCCTGTGACTCTCTTCGGGCAACCACAGTGATATTAAATCTTGCAGAGTTCCATTTTTAGAAACATTACTAAAGGCCAGTGTCATTTGCATAAACTCTGCACAGTCCTATTATGTCCTCAACTTAAGTTAAAAGAAGGAAGTTTAGGAAAAGCACACTTCCATATCTGTGCAGAAAGTTGTCATGAGGAAAGTAAAGGCTCAAGAGAGGAGTGTGCCAACCCCATGCAGGACCCATGAATAGAAGGCTCAGCTGAGTGGCCAGAGTAGGCCGTTGGCACTGACCTGGCCAATCTCCCTAAACCTTATTTGGATAATAAATTATTTCATCTAATCGCCTGGGGCTGTTTACCTCGGGTTAAATAATTTCATTACAGTACTATGATTTCTGCATTAGCATTTTTTTTAGGTTAATTAAATGATTTACCACATTGCGTCCAGGCACGGTGGCTCACGCCTGTAATCCCAGCACTTTGGGAGGCCGAGGCGGGTGGATTGCCTGAGGTCGGGAGTTCGAGACCAGCCTGACCAACATGGAGAAACCCTGTCTCTACTAAAAATACAAAAAATCAGCTGGGCGTGGTGGTGCATGCCTGTAATCCCAGCTACTCGGGAGATGGAGGCAGGAGAATCACTTGAACCCGGGAGGTGGAAGTTGCGGTGAGCCGAGATCACGCCATTGCACTCCAGCCTGAGCAACAAGAGCAAAACTCCGTCTCAAAAAAAAAAAAAAAAAATTTACCACGTTGGTATCTTTACAAAACTATCGACTCAGCAAACTGCAGCCCCTCTCTTCATCATATATGTAACAATAAGGCAGTACAGTGTTTTAGTGCATGGACTCTGGCCACACAAACCCACATTCAACTCTTGGCTCTAATACGTACTACTGGACAGCCCTTGAAGAGTTTATTTAATCTCTCAAAGACTCAGTTAACTCACCTATTAAGTGGGAATCATAATACTACCTACCTCAGCGGATTGTGAGAGGAGTTAAGGAGATGTTGTATGTTGTGGGTATGACTGGCTGGGGACAGTTTCATGGGCAGCAAAGAAAGTTACCAAGACAGTTGTAAGTAAAGAAAGGCAGATAAATTAGAGAAAGTATGAGGATACGTTTCATGGGTACAATGGGCAGCACAGCAGAAAAGAGGCTGTCTACAAAGAGTCAGTGACTGGGGGAAGTTTTATAAGGTTGTGCTGGACACGCTATGTGCAGATGAGGTTGTGCTGCTGAGGCTACATGTGGAGTAAGGTATTTGGGAACAGGATTTGGGTTGTCAGTGATTAGCCATCTCTTGGAACGATTGTTCTCTCCTACCTGGGACGCCTTCCTCATTGTTGCTTACCTATCTTATCAGGACTCCACGCTGAGGACATGGCATACTCTCTGCATGTAGTGAGTGCCCAGTCAATACCAGTTTTGGTGCCGATGATAATGATGAGGATGAGGATGAGGATGCATTTGTCTAACAAACACAGAGGATGGTACCAGTCTACCAAGAGTAGGGCATGTGCTCCCAGATGTGTTTCTGGCTGTGGTGATAGTGATGACGATTCCCAAATTTATCCCCACCTTTCTTACCAAGTAACTACTCTTGTTTATGTCCACACGAGAATCACTAGCAGCAGTTAGAGAATGTCAAAGTGGCTGTCTTAGTCTGTTTGGGTTGCTATACTATAATAAAATGCCGTATATTGGGTGGCTTATAAGCAATAAGAAACTTACTTCTCACAGTTCTGGAGGCTAGGATTTCCAAGATGAAGGTGCCAGCAGATTTGGTGTCTTGTGAGGGCCTGCTTCCTGGCACCTTCTCACTGTGTCTTCACATGGTGGAAAGGATGAAGGATCTCTCTCAGGCCTCTTTTGAAAGGGCACAAATCCCATTTATGAGGGCTCCACCCTATGACGTAATTATCTCCCAAGTGTCCAATCTCCTAATATCATCACTTTGGAGGTCAGGATTTTGTTTTTTTTTTAGACAGAGTCTCGCTCTGTCACCAGGCTGGAGTACAGTGGCACAATCTCGGCTCACTGCAACCTCCACCTCCCAGGTTCAAGGGATTCTCCTGCCTTTGTCTCCCAAGTACCTGGGACTACAGGTGCGTGCCACTATGCCTGACTAATTTTTGTATTTTTAGTAGAGACGAGGTTTCACCATGTTGGCCAGGATGGTCTTGATCTCTTGACCTTGTGATCTGCCCACCTCGGCCTCCCAAAGTGCTGGGATTACAGGCATGAGCCACTGCGCCCAGCCGGCGGTTAGGATTTTAACATACACATTTTAAGAGGACACAAACACTCAGACCATAGCAGTGGCCCATCACAAAGTAGAATGTCTATTTGCAAAATTGTGGTCCATTACTTTTAACTTCCTTATATATTTTGCTCACCTCAAAACCAACTCCACCATGGTAGGCTGATAGAATGATGGATAAGCAGTGGATGATAAGTATACGCATGCATCTGCTTCAGGCTTTACATATTGACACATACTGTTGAAAGTCAACCTGTCAATAAAAACACTGAACCAGGCGAGGCACAGGGGCTCACACCTGTAATCCCAGCCCTTTGGGAGGCTGAGGTGGGTGGATCACCTGAGATCAGGAGTTCAAGACCAGCCTGGCTAAGATGGTGAAATCTTGTCTCTACTAAAAAATACAAAAAATTAGCTGGGCATGGTGACATACTCCTGTAATCCCAGGTACTCAGGAGGCTGAGGCACAAGAATCACTTAATCTGGGAGGCAGAGGTTGCAGTGAGCCGAGATCATACCACTGCATTGCAGCCTAGGCAACAGAGTAAGACTTCATCTCAAAAAAACAAAAAACAAAAACCAAACAAAAAAAACCACTGAACCATACAAAATGTTTATTCCTTTTACACATACCAATTTAGTATAAGTATAAATAATTACAAAGATAATAGTCAAATATACAAAACTATTTTCAGCAGAAGTATTAATATTCAAGAACTGTAAACAACATATAAATCCAACAATTACAGAAGCTAAGTAAAGTATGGGATATTATTTGATGGAATTGTATTCAACCATCAAAATTATAAATATGAAGACTACATGTAAAAACGAAATGGTCAGGATACAGGATCAATATACAAAACCAATTGTGCTTTCATACATTTACAATGACAAATTCAAAAACTGCATTTAAAAGACAGCTCCATCAGGAACAAGGCAAGGATGTCCCCCCTCATCACTCCATTTCAACATCATATGGGAATTCCTAGCTAATGCAATAAAGCAAGAAAAGGAAACAAAAGGTATATAGATTGGGCAGAAAGAAGTAAGTCTGTCTTTATTTGCAAATAACATAATTATCTATGCAGAAAATCCAAAATAATAATAACTTTTAAAAACCTCCTGGCTCTAGCAAGCAACTACAGTAAGATTGCAAGCTTGAAGGTTAATATACAAAAGTCAATTGCTTTTCTATATACTAGCAATAAACAAGTGGAATTTAAAATTAAAAACACAATACCATTTACATTAGCATCCAAAAAATGAGATACTTATGTATAAATCTAGCAAAAACACGTACAAGACCTATATGAGGATAACTACAAAACTGTGATTAAAGATGTGAGAAGAACTAAATAAAGAAAGGGATAACCCATGTTCATGGATAGGAAGACTCAATATTTTCAAGATGTCATTTCTTCCCAACTTGATCTATAGACTCAATGCCATCCCAATCAGAACCTCAGCAAATTATATTGTGGTTATCGACAAACTGATTCTAAACTTTATATGGAGAGGCAAAAGGCCAAGAATAGCCAATGCAATGTTAAAGGAGAAGAACAAAGTATGAGGACTGACACTACCTGACTTCAAGGCTTACTGTAAAGCTACGGCAATCAAAATTGTGTTATATTGGTGAAAGAATGAACACATAGATCAATAAGACATAATAAAAAGCCCAGAAATAGATGCACATAAATATAGTCAACTCATCTTTGGCAACAGAGTAAAGGAAATATAATGAAGGAAAGATAGTATTTTCAACAAATGGTGCTGTAAGAACTGGATATCCACATGTTAAAAGATAAATCTAGACACAGACATCATGCCCTTTACAAAAATTAACTCAAAATAGACCTAAGTGTAAAATGCAAAGGTATAAAGCTCCTAGAAATTAACATAGAAAATCTACTTGATCTTGGGTGGGTGGTGACTTATTGGATACTACATCAAAGCATAATTTATGAAGAAAATAATTGACTTGATTTTAAAATGGGCAAAAAGATCAGTGGCTGGTGGGGAAAGGCATGAATCAGTGAAGCATGGAAGATTTTTTAGGTCAATGAAAATATTTTTTGTAAAATTATAATGATGGATATGTATCATTATAAATTTTTTAAACCAATACAATATACACCACAAACAATAAACCCTAATGTATACTGTGGGCTTTGGGTAAAAACGCTATGTCAATGTGGATTCATCATTTGTAACAAATATGCCACTCTGGTCCAGGATGTTGACAGTGGAGGAAACTGTGCGTGTATGGGGACAAGGGCATCTGGAAACCCCTGTACCTTCTGTTCAATTTTTCTGTAAATCTAACACTGCTCTAAAAACAAAGTCTGGGCTAGGTGTGGTGGCTCATACCTGTAATCCCAGCACTTTGGGAGGCCAAGGCAGGCAGATCACCTGAGGCCAGGAGTTTGAGACCAGCCTGGCCAACAAGGTGAAACCCCATCTCTACTAAAAATACAAAAGTTAGCTGGGGGTGGTGGTGCGAACCTGTAGTCCCAGCTACTCAGGAGGCTGAGGCATGAGAATGGCTTGAACCTGGGAGTCAGAAGTTGCAGTGAGCTGAGATCGCACCACTGCACTCCAGCCTGGGCGACAGAGCAAGACTCCATCTTAAAAATATATAAATAAATAAATAAAAATTAAGTTTGTTAAACAGCAGCTCCCAATTACAATAACATCACAAAGAGTAAACTATTTAAGAATATTTTATTAAATAAAATTATTTTGTTTCTGAGACAGGATCTCCTTCTGTCTCCCAAGCTGGGATGCAGTGGTGTCATCGTGACCTACTGCAGCCTTGATGTCCTGGGCTTAAGCCATCCTTCCACCTCAGCCTCCCAAGTAGCTAGAACGACAGGCATGCACAACCACACCCAGCTAATTTTTGTATTTTTTGGTAGAGATGGAGTTTTCCCATGTTGCCCAGGCTGGTCTCAAATTCCTGAGATCAAGTGATCCTCCTACCTCAGCCTCCCAAAGTGCTGGGATTACAGTTGTGGGCCACCTGCCCAGCCAAAATATTCTTAAATACTGGAAATATTGGTGACACATCCCAGATCCTTGGGAGGCTGAAGTGGGAGGATCACTTGAGCCTAGGAGGTTGAGGATGCAGTGAGCTGTGGTTGTGCCACTGCACTCCAGCCTGGGTGACCGAGCAAGAGCCCATCTCAAAGAAAAAAAAAAAAAGAATAAATTTAACAAAAGAAGTTAAAAAGTTCTCTGAAAACTATAAAATATCATTGAAAGAAATTAAAGAAAACCTAAATAAATGGACTAACACCCCATGTTTGTGCTTCAGAAGATTTCCTGTTGCTAGGAGGGCAATACTGCCCATATTCATATAGAGATTCAATGCGGTCCTCAGCTGTGTTTTTGCAGAAATGGAGACGATGATCTGAAAATTCACATAGAAAGAAATGCAAGGAGCTCAAAATAGCCAGAACAATCTTGAGAAGGAAGAACAAACTTAGAAAATTTACACTTCCCAATTTTAAAATTTACTACAAAGTTACAGTAATCAAGACAGTGTGATACTGGAATAAAGAGAGACATATAGATGAATGGAATGGAAATAAGAGTCCAGAAATAACCCATACGTTTATGGTCACCTGATTTTCAACAAAGATGTCAAAACTATTCCATGGGGGAAAATACTCTTTTTACCAAATGGTGCTGAGACAATTGATAATCCACATGCAAAAGAATGAAATGGCACTGGGTACGGTGGCTCACACCTGTAATCCCAGCACTTTGGGAGGCCAAGGTGGGCAGATCTCTTGAGCTCAGGAGTTCAAGACCAGCCATGGGCAATATGCAAAACCCTGTCTCTATAAAAAATACAAAAATTAGGCCAGGCATGGTGGCTCACGCCTGTAATCCCAGCACTTTGGTAGGCCGATGTAGGCGGATCACTTGAGGTCAGGAGTTTGAAAGCAGTCTGGCCAACATGGTGAGACCCAGTTTCTACTGAAAATACAAAAATTAGCCGGGCATGGTGGTGTGCGCCTGTAATCCCAGCTACTTGGGAGGGTGAGACAGAAGAATCGCTTGAACTTGGGAGGTAGAGATTGCAGTGAGCCGAGATCGCACCACTGCACTCCAGCCTGGGTGACAAAGTGAGACTTCATCTCAAAAAAAACAAAAAACAGAAAAACAAAAAAGCAAAAATTAGTGGGGCATGATGGTGAGTACCTGTAGCTCCAGCTAATAGGGAGGCTAAAGTGGGAGGATCTCTTAAGCCTGTGAGGTCGAGGCTGCTGTGAACCATGATCTGGCCCCTGCACTTTAACCTGGGAAACAGAGTGAGACCCTATCTCAAAAGAGAAAAAAAGGATGAAATTGAACTGCTTCCTTATACCATACACAAAAATGAACTCAAAATGAATCCGACCTAGATGTAGGAGCTAAAATGATAAAACTCTTAGAAGAAAACACAGTAGTCTTCATGACTTTGTGTTAAGCAATAATTTCTAGGACACGACACCAAAACTACAAGCAAACAAACAAAACAATAGACAAATTAGACATCAAAATTAAAAACTTTTGTGCTTTCAAGACCACCAAGAAAGTGATAGGACAACCCAGAGAATGGGAGAGAATATTTGCAAATCTTATATCTGTTAAGGGACTGGAATCTAGAGTACATAAAGAACTCACACAACTCAATTGTAAAACCACAACCCCCAGCACTGTGGGAGGCTGAAGCAAGAGGATCGCTTGTGCCCAGGAATTTGAGATCTGCCTGGGCAACATGGTGAGACCTCGTCTCTACAAAAAAAAAAATTTTTAATTAGTCAGGTGTGGTGACGCATACCTGTAGTCCCAGATACTTGAGAGGCTGAGGTGGGAGGATCACTTGAGCCTGGGCGGTTGAGGCTCTAGTGAATTGTGGTCATGCCACTTCACTCCAGCCTGAGCAATAGAGCAAGACCCTGTCTCAAAAAAAATCAAATAAAATGACAACTCAATGGACGAAAGATCTAAACAGACGTTTTTCAAAGATAAACAAATGGCCCATGAGCACATGAAAAAGTACTCAATATTGTTATCCATCAGGAAAATGTTAATCAAAACCTTGCCACTTCATACCCGTTAGGATGGCTATTATCAAAATGACAGATTTCAACAATTATTGACAAGAATGTGCCGAAGATGGAACCCTCATAATTGCTGGCAGAAACAAAATGTTACTGGAAACCAGTCTGCTAATTCCTCAAAAGTTTAAACATAGAGACACCCTATCACCAGCAATTCCACTGCAAGATATGTACCCAAGAGCAATGAAAGCACATGTTCATATAAAAATATATAAACAAATGTTCAGAACAGCATTATTCACAACAGCACAAAGTGCAAACAACCCAAATGTCCATCAACTGATAAATGAAATGCAGTGTACTTGTACAATGGACTGTTCAACAATAAAAAGAAATGAAGTACTAATAGATGCTGCGATATCAATGAACCCTAAAAAATTATGCTAAGTGAAAGAAGCCAGACACAAAAGGCCATATATCATATGATTCCATTTGTAAATGTCCAGAATAAACAAATCTGTAGAGACAGAAAGTAGATTTGTGGTTGCCTAAGGTTGAGGGAATTGGGGGAAAGTGGGGAAAAGACTATAAGTACATACAGGGTTTCTTTTGGAATGATGAAAATGTTCTAAAATTGATTGTGGTGATGGTTGCACAACTCTGTGAACATACTAAAATCATTGAATTGTACTCAAAATAGGTGAATTAAATGGTATGTGAATTATAGCTCCGTATAGCTATTATTAAACAAATGGAATGGTAACAGCATAAATTTTTTAAAAGCAACATAAAATTACACCAACTATATAACAACTATATAGAAATTCAACAAGGCATGTAGCACAGATAAAGAATGGAACACCTAATAGTGAGAAACAAATTCACCCCTCCAAACCCAAAGAACGAACTCAGAGACCTGGAGAACAGCAAAAGTGAGATTTTTAAGGACAGTCTTGCAAGACTGGGTATCTGATGGGCAGGTACACTTAGCACAATTGCAACAAGCAATTTATCCCCTAGTGCACAGGTCCCTCCCCCAGTTCCTTATAGGCTGAGTATCATGGGGTCACAGTCTTCCCAGATGTCGCCTATTGGTTGTTGGGTAGGGGTTGTAGGTGTTTTCTTCAGGGTTGTCCTGCTGCATTTTGTTGCAGCCCATAATATGTTGCAGTCTTAATTAGCTCTGGGGCTCTCCAAGTATTTGACTTACGACCTAAGTAGCTGGGCAGGCTGATAAGAACAGATGAAGCAAGCTATTTTGCAGGCTAGTAAACTTTCATCTTAGACTAAACTTCTTGGTTTGGGTGAGGGCAGCTAAGGGTGGGGAGGACAAGCAGGTGTCGGCTATCCAAGCAGGGGTCCTAGTATGCCCCGTTTCTTCCGTAGTTTGTTGCTTCATAATTCACTTCACTATTATATATTTCACTATCATTTTCACTATTATATTAGGTGTAAATCTAACTTTCTTCCCACAGCATTTCCTTGGCCTATCTGGAATGCCTCGATGCCAATTCAAGGCACTTTGCCTTGGAAAAGGATGTGCATTATTTCCTCAACTCCCTCCTCTTTTTCTTTTTACTCCTATTGGTCCCAATTCCAGATTTATTTTTGTGTCCTTTGCTCCTCAAATCATTTCAAGAGCTATTGACTCTCTTCATCATAAGAGAGTAGAACTGATTTAGTTTCTAATAATAGTTGACATGTTATGGGCATTTGTTTGTTGATGGCTGTTTCCATTAATTTGGGGGTTAACCCTCTAACACAGGGGATAGTGCGATGGCCTACAGCTGTTAGGACTCCAGCCACTATTGCAGGGGATGTTAGAATGGAGGCTGCCATTCCTTTCCATTTCCTGAACTAACTTTCTAGCCAATCAGTAAATGGGTCATCAATTCCAACATTTTCCACCAATTCATTGACTAGAACAATTAACCCTTGTAATGCATTTGTGATGGTTCCATCTGGGGCAGTATTGTTAGGAATTAAAGTGCAACACTTTCCATCCAGCATGATGCATACGCCCCCTTTCTCTGCTAAGATCTTATGCAGTGCAAGTCTGTTCTCCCAGGCCATTTGGCTGGTGGCATCTAACTGGTTAGCCACTCCCTTGAGAGTGTATCGAGTATAGCTGATGAATCTTTGTTGATTATAATAGATGTAATTAATCCAATCCACGTTTTTATTAGTAGTTGACCACCAGAAGAGTGCTGATTCAAACCCAACAGCTATTTGGTTTCGGGTCTTAAATTCATCAGGTACTCCTCTAGGAACTCCTGTTGAGTCAATATAAACGTTGGGATCAAAATAATTTGTTAGGTCTCTCCGACTTCAGTGGCCATGTGGATTCTTGGGAATCTTACAGAATGCCAGGATGAATGGAATGGCCAGTTGAACTAAGGCACAAGTGCAGATCCAGTTGGATGGTAATAGGTCATGGAGGTCCCTCTTTCCACAATACCACCAGACATCAGCCCGGGGTATATGAAGAGCTGAGCAGTTGCCTTTGTTTGACTCACCAGTAATGTTTAGGATGTGGGTACAAGTCGAGGGTTCTCCCACAGGCTTATTGAACTCTGCCCCCTGCCTAGAGAGGCAAGAGGAGTGGTTCATATACCCTATGGAGAATGAGGGGATTGCTCTAGGGTCTGACCTCCACAAGGCAGTAAAGAGCAATGATAGATTTTGCAAGTCTCATTTCCCTATGCATCCCTTTCCTGGTATAGAGCCAACATGCAACACATTCCATCGGGATTGGTATCCCATCCTGGGGCAAATGGAACCACCTGTGCCTGAGGCTGCCCAGCAGAGCATGCGGAACAGTCACTCTTATGAAGAGCTAGTACCAAAAATCTGACCCATTCAACCCAGGCATTTACATTCCCATATCCAGTCTCAATTTCTAAAGTCTGCCTCAAGTCAGTTACCTTAATTATTTTTACTCTCTTAGGGTCATTGTCTGGTTAAAGGAAGTAGTGGGACTGGGAGTTATAGTAATCCTGGGTGGGCTCAGAGTAGAGTTGGTGACTAGCCTAAGAGCTAACCATCCTATTGGATCCCTTCCTGAGGTATCTATTCCTGACCCATACCTCTAAGGTTCCTGGTCTAGAGTAGCTGGGTTGTTTATGGTAATTAATATAGGATTGCATTCTACATTTCTACAGTCAGGTGACAGGGGGCCCCTATACAAATGTATTTTCTTCTTAAGGGTTTGTTTTTGGAAGAATGGCTCAGCCTCGAAATTGGGTGGTCCACCAGACCTCATTCCAGCTAGCGCAGGGCTTTCCCCAATAGCGACCTGTTTCAGGACATAGATGTTTGTTTGCTTGTGACAGCTGCCTTTGGTTCCCTAAATTCCCACAATGTACGACTTAGGAGGCATCAAACTTTATGGTCTAGGGGGTGGAGGTTCTAGTTATGTTGACTACTAGTTTGATTGGATATTCTTCTACCGGGCTCCATCCAATAATTGTGTACCCTCTCACCCCTGGTAGTAGGATTAATCCTAACCACATCCACCCCCAGTGATGGAGCCTGCTCATAGCTTCCTTCCAGGTTTTCCTTAGAGTTAATTTTAAGGGTTCCTTAGGTGATCTATACACTTCCCATTCACCCTTTTCCCTTCCTTACGGGAGTTCTTTTACCAGTCTCTTGACCTGAGTGTAATGTGTTCACACCTTTCAGCTGTTCGTAGGCTGTGTCAGTGATTAGGAGCACCCGATAGGACCTCCCCAGCTTGGGTGGAGCTTGTCTTCTTTCCAAGTCTTAATCAGCACTGAGTTGCCAGGCTGGAAGTGGTTAACCATGAACTCAAGAGGCAGGGTTTGAGTCAGGAGTCCTTTGAACCTCAGGGATGACAGGGAGGAGGATATGCTCAGTATATAATTTCTTAAAAATTGGTCTTTGGTTTCCATAGTAGAAAGGCCAGTAGTCCTACCTAAATACGGGAGTCCATATAATAGCTCGTAAGGAAAAAATCCCAAGTCTTTCCTTGGGGCCGTCCTAATCCTAAGGAGTGCTATTGGGATCCATTTGGTCCAAGGCATTTTAGTTTCTAAGATTAGTTTAGTAATATGCTTTTTGAGAGTCTGATTCATTCTTTCTACTTTTCCAGAGGAAGGGGGATGCCAAGGAGTGTGGTAATCCCATCTGATGTGTAAACCTTCCATAATTCTCCTTAGCACCCTTGAGATAAAGGGGCTCCCATCATCTGAATCAATATTTTCTACTAGGCAAAATCTGGGTATAATTTATTCTAAGATTATTTTGACCACATTCCCTCAGTGGCAGTTGGGAGGGTGTGGTCCCGGGACGTGCACTCTGCAAGCTTCGCTCCGCCCGCCATGCTGAAAACAGACTACGGAGAGGACTGGGAGGGAAGGCAGGGAGACCTGTCAAGGGGATACTGTGGTAGCACAGGTGAGAAATAATCACGGTGAAGAGGAACCCTGTATGGTAGGGGAGTAAGTCCTCCAAGGCAGTTCTCGATATTCTATGGAGCTAGCAGGGCTCAGGTGCTCCAGAGAGCCCACCCAACAAGGTAGCTATGAGCATGGGACATCCGCACCCACCTTGGTCTGTAAGTCACACAGCTGGGATGTGAAGCCTGGCTCGGATTCTGTGCAGCCGTGTGATCTAGACAAGCTACCAGGCCTCTCTAATCATCGTTTTCGTCTATAAAAAGGGATCGGCCGGGTGCAGTGGTTCATGCCTGTAATCGCAGGGTTTTGGGAGGCTGAGATGGGTGGTTCACGAGGTCAGGAGATCTAGACCATCCTGGTCAACATGATGAAACCCTGTCTCTCCTAAAAAACAAAAATTAGCTGAGCGTGGTGGCACGTGCCTGTAGTCCCAGCTACTCAGGAGGCTGAGGCAGGAGAATCACTTGAACCCGGGAGGCAGAGGTTGCAGTGAGCCAAGATCACCCACTGCAATCCAGCCTGGGCCACAGAGCGAGACTCCATCTCAAAAAAAAAAAAAAGGGGGGGGGGTGGGGGGGCGGATCAGAGCTCATATCATCACGATGTTTTTGAGAGAAATACACAAAAGAGGAAAGCACATCGTCCATGCCCAGTAAATCATTGCATTCTTTCAAACGAAATCTGTATTCAACCAACATTTCCCGATTAGGTTCTCTCCCAGGCACTGTCTCCCTTTTCCAGGTGAGGCCAATGAAGCCCAGCTTTGGGATTCAAACCTTCAGACTCACAGGGACTTTAGAAATATCAGTTCAGAGATCTCTAGCTGCAAAAGTTCACAATGATACTCACCTCTTGAGGACTCATTTTTCTTTAACTGTAAATAAAGAAAACGAATCATGCATTTATTCTGCATTTTCTATGTAAACTGTCCCTCAGGGTAGCCAAATAGTTGATGAGGGAAAGTTTCTTTTTAGAAGTATTTTGACTAATAAATGAAGAAGAAATGATAGAATAACATCATTTTGCAAATCCCTATGACTTAATGGATTGAAGCAATGACTATCAATGGCTGCTGAAGTCACAAAAGAGAGACAACCAAGCAGTGTGCATGGAAAGACCCCACGCCACCAGGGGAAGTTTTTGCTAAAAAAACTGAACCTGAATCTAATCAAAATCCTGGATCTACCTACTGATTTACAGAATACACGTAGGAGAGAAAAGCTGTGATAAATAACCCTACAGCACGCAATGAAGAAAGTCAGACCACAGAAATTCTGCAACGCAAATGCCCAGTTCCTTCAACGAAAAAAAAATTGCAGTGAAGGAGATGGGGAAGAGGAGAGAGAAGAGGAGGAGAAGGAAAGAAGGAAGAAAGAGAAAGAGAGAGATGGGAGAGGAACCTACAGATTTTTTTAAAAATGTTAAAAACTTATGGGGCCCAGCGCAGTGGCTCATGCCTGTAATCCCAGCACTTTGGGAGACCAAGGTGGGTGGATTACCTGAGGTCAGGAGTTCGAGACCAGCCTGGCCAACATGGCGAAACTCCCTCTCTACTAAAAATACAAAAATTAGCCGAGTGTGGTGGCATGTGCCTGTAATCACAAGTACTGGGAGGCTGAGGCAGGAGAATCATTTGAGCCCAGGAGGTGGAGGTTGCAGTGAGCTGGGATCACACCACTGCACTCCAGCCTGGGCAACAGGCAAAAAAAAAAAAAAAAAAAAAAAAAAACAACTACTTATGGATTTTACTTAGGTAATGATTCAAACTGTAAAACTTTAAATTATAAGAAACCCAGGGAAATACATAAACATTCAAGATATTTGCTGACACATGCAATTATTAATATTACAGTTAATTTTTAAAATGTGACTGTGGTATTACTATTATTTTTAAAGGGTCTTTTTTTGAGACTGGGTCTCACTCTGTCGCCCAGGCCAGAGCACAGTGGCAAAATCATAGCTCACTGCAGCCTCGAACTCCTGGGCTTAGGTGATCCTTCTGCCTTAGCTTCCTAAGTAGCTAGGACTACAGCTGACAGCCACCACTCCAAGCTAATTTTTTTTTGTTTTTGTAGAGACGGGGGTCTCACTATATTGCCCAGGCTGATCTTGAACTCCTGGCCGTAAGTATTTTTTAAACTTAAATATTTAAGATTAAATATTTAATATTTATTTTTAAATATTTAAGTTTAATTTTAAACTGAAATATTTTCAGGCAAAATGACAGGATGCAGAGTCAGAAGCAGCGGGGAGAGGGGCGAGATTGGCAAGCATGGAGGAGGTGATAAGATTGGCCTTGTGCCCCTGGTCCATGGTGTTAAAAGGAAGGTCCTTACTTTGGGAGGGATATTGACTAGAAGTGGGCAGAGAGAATCCTCCAGGGTGCTGTGACATTGTATCTTTTGATCTATGTGCTGATTAAATAAACTTTTTAATTTGTGAAAATTTACAAGCTATACAACTATGATTTATGCATTCTTGTATACCTTTATAATTTTATGTTCTTAATAAAAACTTCACTTACAAAAATTGGCCATAAGTCAATAATAGTTTGAGCTGGGTGATGGATACATAGGAGTTATAAAGACAATTATCTATGTTGACTTGTGTTTTAAATTTCCTATTAGAAACTAAAATTTTTATATTGTTAGCAGCAGCCAATCTGCACAGGTCTGCAGCAAGTCAATTCTTTCCTCCTCAGAGGACAGACTTCATCCAAGGGGCATAAGGCACAGTGAGAAACCAAGGCAAGTTTTACAGCAGGAGTGTAAATTTATTAAGAAGTTTTAGAGTAGGAACAAAAGGAAGGAAAGTACACTTGGAAGAGGGCCAAGTGCGCTGTTTGACCTTTGACTTGGGGTTTTATACATTGGCATGCTTCCAGGGGGTTGCATCCCTTCTCCCCTGATTCTCCCGTTGGGATGGGCTGTCTGCATGCTCAGTGGCCTGCCAGCACTTGGGCGGGACCGCATGCGCAGTGTGTTTAGTGAAGTTGTGCATGCCTAATTGGTGCGTTCTTCCCTTACCAATTGAGTGTTCCTAGAGGAAGGTCATAAACCAGGTAAACGCCACCACTTTGCCTGTTAGTGCTCATGCTTGAGCCCACTCGCCCAACTCCTGGGATCTTACCAGGAAGCTGATCACCAGCTTCAGGTGTTTTCTATCTGTTCGGAGCCTGCCTTTCCCTGGTGCCAGCTGCAACCAATTATTATTTTAGAGCGATAGTTTAACAACTGCCTGATGGGCCGGGCTCGGTGGCTCACGCCCGTAATCCCAACACATTGGGAGGCAGAGGCAGGTGGATCACCTGAGAGGTCAGGAGTTCGAGACCAGCCTGACCAACGTGCAGAAACCCTGTCTCTAATAAAAAAAAAAAAATACAAAATTAGCCGGGTGTGGCGGCACACGCCTATAATCCCAGCTACTCGGGAGGCTGAGGCAGGAGAATTGCTTGAACCCTGGAGACAGAGGTTGCTGTGAGCCAAGATCGCACAATTGCACTCCAGCCTGGGCAACAAAAGCAAAACTCCGTCTCAAAAAAAAAAAAAAAAAAAAAAAAAAGCCGAGTTTAGTGTGGGGGCGCCTGTAATCCCAGTTACTCGGGAGTCTGAGGCGGGAGAATCGCTTGAACTCAGGAGGCGGAGGTTGCCGTGAGCTGAGATCGCACCACTGCACTCCAGCCTGGGCGACATATGGAGGCTCCGTCTCAAACAAAACAAAACAAAACAACTGCCTGATCATCACCTGATAATCGCTTGACACTCCTGGGGGAGTCGGGCTATATCCTGGCCTGCTCATGTCTGCTTAGCTACCTACTCTAACAATATTAAGTAGTATGTAAATAAGATTTGGCACAAATTTGATCTTAAAAAATCAAACTAACAAGGACAAAAATAATGTATCGCTTCTCGGCCATTTGGCTAAGAACAAGTGCAAAAATAATTTTATTTAACACAATGTAAGTTAAAATCATATCCATGCACTAATTCTTAGAATGAATGAAATGAATCCTGAATAGATCTATAGCATCATTTGCTGCACTTTGATTGTTTGCTGAATTTTCACAATGAATCCATAAAGTGGGTCATGTTTTGCTCAGAGAGTTTCATCCTTTTCTCTGTGGGCCTTCTGTAATTCTTTGATACCTATGGTAAAATCACATGCTTCGAAACAACCTATGACATCATCCTTGTGGAATTTTCTCTCCTTCTATTGCTGACTTGGTCTAACTCTGCCAGATCCTCATTTGTCAATGACATTGCAGATTCTTTGAGCCATTCTCCAAACATCAATTTCAACACTTTCGTGAAATCTCACTTCTTTTGCAAGATTTGAAATTCTCTTTGTAGGCCGGGTGCGGTGGCTCACGTCTTTAATCCTAGCACTTTGGGAGGCCGAGGCGGGCAGATCACCTGAGGTCAGGAGTTCAAGACCAGTCTGGCCAACATGGTGAAACCCTGTCTCTACGAAAATACAAAAATTAGCCAGGCATGATGGCAGGTGCCTGTAATCCCAGCTACTCGGGAGGCTGAGACAGGAGAATCGCTTGAACTGGGGAGACAGTGGTTGCAGTGAGCTGAGATCATGCCACTGCACTTCAGCCTGGGCGGCTGAGCGAGACTCTGTCTCAAAGAAAAGAAAAAAAGAAAGAAATTATCTTTGTAGTAATGTTCATTTTGTTTGGGCCCTGCTTGTGGAATTTTGCAGCATCAAGCAACAGGAAAATGGAGACCCACAAAACAGTGGGTGGGGACCAGTTCTGCTTCTTTAATTTTAGATAAGGAGAAAATGCCTACATAAAACGTAATAAAAATATGTGTTTTTTTCTTTTTTTTTTTCTTTTTTTTGAGACAGGATCTTGCTCTGTTGCCCAGGCTAAACTATAGTGGCACAATCATAACTCATTGCAGCCTCAAACTCCTGGGCATGAGTGATCGTCCTGCTTCAGTCTCTCAAGTAGCTGGAATTACAAGTGCACACCACCAGGCTTGGCTAATTTTTTATTCATTGTTATTTTTGTTGAGACAGAGTCTCGCTCTGTTGCCTAGGCTGGAGTGCAGTGGCACAATCTCAACTCACTGCAACCTCTGCTTCCTGGGTTCAAGCAATTATTCTGCCTCAGCCTCCAGAGTAGCTGGGACTACAGGTGCGTACCACCACGCCTGGCTAATTTTTGTATTTTTAGTACAGACAGGGTTTCACCATGTTGGCCAGGATGGTCTCGAGCTCTTGACCTCAGGTCATCTGCTCACCTTGGCCTCCCAAAGTGCTGGGATTACAGACGTGACTCCCTGTGCCTGGCCTAATTTTTTATTTTTTTAGAGATAGGGTCTCACTATGTTGCCTAGGCTGGTTGCAAACTCATGGCCTCAAGACATCCTCCTGCCTCAGCCTCCTGAGTAGCTAGGATTACAGGCTCAAGCCTCCATGCCTGGCCTAAACTATGACTTTAGAATAAAAGTGGGGAGAGATGAGCTAGCTCTGACTGATTTTATGTGTGGTCAGTGCATTCCTGAATATTTTCATGCTGGTTAGATTGGGCTTCCCTCAATACACTGGTAGCTGCAGGAACTCAGATAATATAAAAAAACTTAGGCTGAGTGCGGTGGCTCACTCCTGTAATCCCAGCACTTTGAGAGGCTGAGGCAGGCAGATCACCTGAGGTCGGGGGTTTGAGACCAGCTTGGCTAACATGGTGAAACCCCGTCTCTACTAAAAATACAGTTAGCTGGACATGGTGGCGCATGCCTGTAATCCCAGCTACTAGGGAGGCTGAGGCAGGAAAATCGCTTGAAACTGGGAGGTGGAGGTTGCAGTGAGCCAAGATCATGCCATTGCACTCCAGCCTGGGTAACAGAGCAAGAATCCATTTCAAAAAAAAAAATCATAAATACTTATTGAACAAGCACTCCTATGTCAAAAGCAGAAGAATCCACTTGCCCAACAGGATTAGCAAATGATGAATAATTTCCTGAGTTTTTGAGGAATCTGAGCATGCAGTGTATAGCTGTCTCCTACCTTGCTAAGTTCCCAGTCTCTACAAAAACAGGAGGCTTTTCTTCTCCCCCTCATGGTGTACCCAGCTCTTTTGATCCTATTTTCCTCCCTTTAACTTGGCATCTGGCCCCTCCCCAAAATGAAGCTAAAAATCCCCTCCCCTCTATTACATAGAGGAATTCAGCTTGGCCCCAGCTACAGTTCTCCAATTGCACACGCCATTCATCACAACTCTCAGTACAGAGAGACCCCCCACCGAAGCCACCAGCACCATCTCTCCTCAGAGGGGAGTTCAGCCAACTGGATGTTTTGAGTCTATGAGTTTACTCTTTGAGATTTCCTGACACCACAGTTTCCAATGTTCCTTCCAGACACAGACAATCCTCTCCTCCCAAGAAACTCAGGTGTGGCTAGGCATGGTGGTGCACACCTGTAGTCCCAGCTACTTGGAAGGCTGAGGTGTGGTGGTACACATGTGTAGTCCCAGCTACTCCGGAGACTGAGGCCAGAGGATCGCTTGAGCCCAGCCAGGAGTTTTGGGCTGCAGTGCGCTGTGCTGATTGGGTGTCCACACTAAGTTCATCACCAATATGGTGAACTCCCTGGAGCCGAGGACCAACAGGTTGGCTAGGGAGGGATGAATTGGCCCAGGTTGGAAATGGAGCAGGTCAAAATTTCCATGCTGATTAGTAGTGGGATGGTGCCTGCGAATAGCCACTGCACTCTGGCCTGGCCAACATAGCAAGACCCTGTCTCTAAAAAAATAAGTAAATACAAGAAACTGGTGTAAACTGTTCTCTTCACTCTGTTACATGTAAATGTAAGGAAAGAGAATGGAAAAACTATTTTAACATGGATTATCTCAAAGTGGTGAAATTGTGAGAGTTTTTTACTTTCTTCCTTTTGTTCATCTGTATCGTCTAAATGTTCTATAAGATGAATATCTGTTTAATACATTTTATCTTTCTTAAAAGATTGTGTTGATGACTAAAAAGTTAACATGTGTAACAATGCCAGCAAAGCTGAATTTTTACTTAAAAGTTACAGCCGGGCCAGGCAAGATGGGTCATGCCTGTAATCCCAGCACTTTGGGAGGCTTTAGTGGGTGGATCACCTGAGGTCAGGAGTTGGAGACTAGCCTGGCCAACATGGCAAAACCCATCTCTACTAAAAATTCAAAAATTAGCTGGGTACGGTGGCAGGTGCCTGTAATCCCAGCTACTTGGGAGGCTGAGGCAGGAGAATCACGTGAACCCGGGAGGCGGAGGTTGCAGTGAGCCAAGATTGCGCCATTGCACTCCAGCCCGGGTAACAACAGTGAGACCCTGTCTCAAAAGAAAAATTACAGCTGGGTGTGGTGACTCATACCTGTAATCCCAGCACTTCAGGAGGCAGAGGCAGGAGGATCACTTGAGCTCAAGAGTTCAAGACCAGCCTAGGCAACAAAGTGAGAACCCCCTCCCGTCTCTACAAAAATAATAATAATAATAACAATAATAAATAAAACTGAAAAAATAAAAATATATATTTTATGGAGAAAGGTGTACACATGTTATCTAAAAGTGAAGAAGCATAAAAAGTTTCATATTCATTTTGTTTCTCTCTGTCTGTTCAATTCTTATAGCTTCATTGTTTAATTTCCTCACATCTTTTTTGGGAGAATGTTATTTAACAAGGATTCTGGTAACTGTAGCGGAACTGGCAAAGGGGCGGTTTGTAATCAGCACATTGCTTGTATAATCCACGGGGTTGTAACCATTCAGGAAGGAACTTCCTGTCCTTTATTTAATTAAAGCAACTTTTCTTGAAAAACAAAACAAAACCTCTTTTCTAACTAGCATTTACATGAAGAGTTGCCTACGTTAAAAGACACAGCAACCTGTGAAGAGAAATATTTAAGCTAATGTGTTCCATCGTGCTGGTGAGCACTTTCAAAGGAGTGCATGAAAGATATCACAGCCTCACAAATGCAGAGAAAAGCCTCCCTTGGCCACTGCTGATCAGGAAGTGAGACTTTGTCCTCCCCACAGTGGTAAGAGCCTCTGGGAAATTTACTCTGGGCTGTGTATCTATCACTTGCTCTAAATCAACAAATTTGTAATTGATTATGTCACATTTCAGCTATACCTAGCCGGCTGGATTATCTTCCTCATGGCCAAAAGGAGACTAGACATGGAAGGCAAATTGCAGTTAGATGAATTTAACCAGCTTTCTCTACACCGCATGAAGCCAGCGACTGTGAGGGCTCTGCTACGCGGCTGAGCGGGCTGTGCAGGCATTGCCAAGGTCTCCTCCCTTGTTGACGTTCCCTGCTCGTCTTCACGTGATCCCATCTCAGGGCTCTGCCGTCCACGCCCTCACCAAGCTGGATCCTGGAAGTCATGCAATTCCTTCTTCCTTACTTCTGTAAACCAAAAAGTGTCTGAGACAGATCTCAGTCAACTTAGAGGTTTATTTTGCTGAGGTTGAGGAAACACTCAGGAAAAAAGAAACACGAGTTACAATAGGATTTGTGTTCTCTGCTTTTTTCCAAGGAGAGTTTTGAGGACTTCAATATGTAAAGGGGGAAGAGTGGGCAGGAGGAGAAGGAGAGAAGAAAAAGAAGGGGGTAGGATAGGCAATGAGCCAGGTGGTCACATTCTCATGAGGCCTTGAATAGCACTCACTGAATCCACACTTTACATGTGAAAAGATAGGAGGGAGGGGAAAGTCATATAATTATCTTGCTGAGTAAATCTACATTTTACGTAAGATAAAGTCAGCACATGAAATTACAGCTATCCCTTGGGAACGAAAGGAACACAGTTTTGCTTTGTTTTTCTCTTGTCTCAGTTCCCAAGCTTAACTTTTCCCTTTGGCATTGTGAGTTTGGGGTCTTGAGATTTTCTTTTCCTTTCACACTTCCCCCACCAATTAATGGTAAGTCAGCCAGTTTAGCAGACTAAACATTTCTAACTTACCTCTTTTTCAATTTCTGCTAACACTGCGCTAATTCACTTCCTTATTCTCTAGGACAGGGGTCCCCAACCCCCAGGCCATAGACCAGTACTGGCCTATCAGGAACTGGGCCACACAGCAGGAGGTGAGCAGCAGCAAGCAAGCAAAGCTTTATCTGAATTAACAGCCGCTCCGCATCACTTGCATTACTGCCTGAGCTCCACCTCCTGTCGGATCAGCGGCAGCATTAGATTCTCATGGGAGTGCAAAACCTATTGTGAACTGAACATCTGAGGGAGCTAAGTTGCATGCTCCTTATGAGAATGTAATTCCTGATGATCTGTCACTGTCTCCCATCACCCCCAGATGGGACCTTCTAGTTGTGAAATGGCTCCATTTTCTGGGGTATATACCTTGACTCTTGGTCTCGGTTGAGAAGGAATTCAGGACACAGACACACATGAGGAGTGGGTTTTGGAGCAGAAAGTTTAATAGAAAAAAGAAGAAAAGAGGCCGGGCACGGTGGCTCATGCCTGTAATCCGAGCACTTTGGGAGGCCGAGGTGGGCGAATCACTTGAGGTCAGGAGTTCAAGACCAGCCTGGCCAACATGGTGAAACCCCATCTCTACTAAAAATACAAACATTAGCCAGGCATGGTGGCAAGTGTCTGTAATTCCTGCTACTTGGGAGGTTGAAGCAGGAGCATTGCTTGAACCCAGGAGGCGGAGCTTGCAGTGAGCCGAGATAAGGCCACTGCACTCCAGCCTGGGTGACAGAGCGAGACTCCATTTCAAAAAAAAAAAAAAAGGAAGAAAAGAGAGAGAAAAAGCTTCCTCATGCTAAGAAAGCCCAAAAGAGAGTCTCCAAGTGGGAAAAAGAACCAGCTGGTGCAAATGCGTGGAGTTTTATAGTCATGTTTGAGGAGGCAGTCTCTGATTTACATAGGGCTCATAGATTAGTTTGATCAGTTATGATGTCTACATAGTGTTTGGGGAAGGCTGGTTGCCCCACCCTAATCTTATCACACAAATGGCCATTCCAGTTGATCAGTGCCATTTTGTCTGCTTCTTACTGGACACGTGGCTGACAAAAGAAGGGAAGATGGAGCCGCCATCTTGAATATAATCGGCGCAACTGCCAGTATCAGGTCTGCAGCTCGATTTTACAGGCTGCTCTTCATTAGAAAGGAAAATGATTTGGGGCTGCTTTTCACTAAAAATAAAAGTTTTACCGAGGACTCCCATACTCTTACTATCTGCCTAAGTAATTTCTTCTTAACTCCTAAATCAGTTGCAGGAAAACAAGCTCAGGGCTCCCACTGATTGAACATTGCAGTGAATTGTATAAGTATTTCATTGTAATAATAACAGAATGTTATACATTGTACATTCTTAATGTTATACATTGTACATTGTTATACATATATACATGTATAATGTTATACATTGTACATTGTTATACATATATACATGTATAATGTTATACATTCTTAATGTTATACATTGTACATTATTATACAATGTAATACATTGTACATTATTATACAATGTAATACATTGTACATTATTAATACAATGTAATAATAATAGAAATAAAGAGCACAATAAATGTAATGCATTTGAATCATCCTGAAACCACCCCCACCCCAGTCTGTGGAAAAATCGTCTTCCACAAAACCAGTCCCCTATGCCAAAAAGATTGTGACCACCAATTGAGCAGATATACAAAGGTAACAGCCTCCCAGTCAGTGTTCTTGCCCCTCAAATCCACCATCACATCCTACATCATTATTGCTTCACTTAAAACCTTCCAACGGCTCTTTATGCATTAGGAGATGAAATTTCATTCCTTAGCCAGGAGTAGTGACTCATGCCTGTAGTCCCAGCACTTTGGGAGGCCAAGGCAGGAGGATCCCTTAAGCCCAGGAGTTCAAGACCAGCCTGGGCAGCACAGTAAGACCTCATCTCTACAAAATTACAAAATTTACTGGGTGTGGTGGTGCGCACCTGTAGTCTCAGCTACTCAGGAAGCTGAGGTGGAAGGGTTGCTGGACCCTGGGAGGTCGAGGCTGCAGTGAGCCATGATCGTGCCACTGCACTCCAGTCTGGGTGACAGAGTGAGACTCTGTCTCAAACAAACAAAAAAAATATTGCTCCTCAACATCGTTCTCTGGGGCTTCCAGCCACTGGCCAGGTGCACCCTGTCCGTGGTCTTCCCACCACATCCCGCCCCACACTGCACACTTCCTGCATACATCTGCTTCTGGGCACTGCGTTTTGGCTCACGTGCTCCTGCTCCTATCACCCCATGCACATCCCACATGCTGTTCACAACTAACTCCTACTTGTAATTTACCACTTAACTCAAACATCTCCTCCTCCAGGAAGCCCTTCTTATTTGCACACACCCCAAACACACTCATAGGCCTCTGACTCCCATAAGGCCATGTGCACATGCCTACTATTATACTTAGCATATTGAATTAACATTATTATTATTATTTCGAGATGGAGTCTCACTCTGTCACCCAGGCTGGAGTACAGTGGCACAATCTCGGCTCACTGCAACCTCCGCCTCCCCGGTTCAAGCAATTCTCATGACTTAGCCTCCCAAGTAGCTGGGATTACAGGTGCCCACCACCAAGCTGAGCTAATTTTTGTATTTTCAGTAGAGACGGGGTTTTGCCATGTTGGCCAGGCTGGTCTCAAACTCCTGACCTCAAGAGATCCACCTGCCTCTGCCTCCCAAAGTGCTGGGATTACAAGCGTGAGCCACCACACCCGGCCTGAATTAATATCATTTTGCTATCATCATCTTTCTTTCTTGAAGGCAGAATCTATTTGGATTCTCATGGCCTAGCATAGAGCCAAATATATAGAAAATTCTCAATGAATATTTAGTGATGGAATGCGTGAATGTAAAAGAGCCACATGATGTTAAAGTTTGTTTAAATGAGGCAAGATTTTTTAGGTAGAATAAAATGAGTCTTTTTTCCTTTCTTTTTTTTTTTTTTTTTTTTTTTTTTTGAGACAAAGTTTCACTCTGTTGCCCAGGCTAGAGTGCAGTGGTGTGATCGCAGCTCACTGCAACCTCTGCCTTCCAGGTTCAAGCAATTCTTCTGCTTCAGCCTCCCGAGTAACCGGCACTACAGGTACACACCACAATGCCTGGCTCATTTTTTTTTTTTTTTTTTTTTTAGTAGAGATGGGGTTTCACCATGTTGGCCAGGCTGGTCTCAAACTCTGACCTCAGGTGATCCACCCGCCTCGGCCTCACAAAGTGCTGGGATTACAGACGTGAGCCACTGTGCCTAGCCGAAAAAAAAAAAATGAGTCTTAAACGGAGGATGCATTTTGGTAATGAACTTTCCGGGATAACTGATATGCAAGAAGTCTGCAGTTAATTTTCCTACCATGCAATTCTGCTTTTTTTTATCACATTACCACCCCTATAATACTGAAGACAGAATTTGATACAGAGATTTGTGTAAATGATATCTATAATTTCAGACAATTATTATAATATAAAAATTGTATATTTAACTCTTGGGAGAAAATTAAGGAAAATATTAAGAAATCTAAATATTTTTCTTTCCTAATTAAGGGATATCTTCAAGAAAGCAAAAAGAGGGGCCGGGCGTGGTGGCTCACGCCTGTAAGCACTTTGGATGGCGGAGGTGGGCGGATCACCTGAGGTCAGGAGTTCAAGACCAGCCTGTCCAACACAATGAAACCCTGTCTCTTCTAAAAATACCAAACTAGCCGAGTATGGTGGTGCATGCCTGTAATCCCAGCTACTCAGGAGGCTGAAGCAGGAGAATCGCGTGAACCTGGGAGGCGGAGGCTGCAGTGAGCCAAGATCATGCCATTGCACTCCAGCCTGGGCAACAGAGTGAGACTCTGTCTCAAAAATAAATAAATAAATAAATAAATAAATAAATAAATAAATAAATAAATAAATAAAAATAAAAAAGAAATGAAAAAGAGGAAATAATAGGTCTACATATGGAAGAACTACAAGAGCATCTATAGAGCATAGGAAATTTCAACATACTGGTATTACCCCAAGTAGAAAGGAATTTGTGCAGCGTTAACATATCTAAAAAGTACAAGTTGCTGTAAGAGAAACTGGAAACAGAAGAGACAAAATAGAAGGAGAAGAGAGATCAGAGACAAAACTGGAATGACTGAGGAAATTCTTTTCATTCGGTTTTCAGGAAAAATAAGTTGATGATATGTTAGAACAGAACACCAGCACTGCTCTATTGAGTCTTTAGGAACTCTGAGTGGATGGATGCTCTGGTCTGATTCTCTTGCTGATTTTATTCTACATTGGCATAATCTGTGTTCTTCTCAACAGTAAGCAGTTCCTTTAGTTATATTGGTTATCTGTGGCTGTGTAAAAAAAATACCTCAAAACCTAGTAGGGTACTGTTCGTGATACTATGGGCAGACAACTTGGGCGGGGCTCAGCTAAGCAGAGTTTTGGCTGGTCTCAGCTGGGGTCATTCATGAGCTCACTCTAATCTGATGGATTGCCTGGGATGATTGGTCCAAAATGGCCTCAAGTGCAGGAGTTCAAGACCAGCATGGAAACTATAGTGAGACCTCGTCTCTACAAAAAAAAAAAATTTTTGCCGGGAGCAGTGGCTCACACCTGTAGTCCCAGCACTTTGGGAGGCCAAGGTGCTCAGATCACCTGAGGTCAGAGTTCAAGACCAGACTGACCAATGTGGTGAAACCTTGTCTCTACTAAAAATACAAAAATTAGCCAGGTGTGGTGGTGCATGCCTGTAATCCCAGCTACTTGGGAGGCTGAGGCAGGAGAATCACTTGAACCCAGGAGGCGGAGGTTGCAGTGAGCTGAGATTGTGCCATTGCACTCCAGCGTGGGCAACAACAGCAAAACTCTGTCTCAAAAAATAAATAAATAAATAAAAAATAAAAATTAGCCAGGCATTGTGGTGTGTACCTGTAGTCCCAGCTACTCAGGAGGCTGAGGCATGAGAATCACTTGAACCTGGGAGGCAGAGTTTACAGTGAGCCAAGATCACACCACCGCACTCCAGCCTCGGTGACAGAGAGAGACTCTGTCAAAAAAAAAAAAAAAAAAAAAGTGTGGGCTGCACGTAGTGGCTTCCTTTCAAAGTGGAAAGGATGTCTGTTGGATGAGAGGTTGTTGTTAAATAAATAAATAAATAAGAGACAGTGTAGAAGATGGGAAGGGGAAGGGGGGAAGTCTAAATTTATAGTGGCGAAAACGACAAGTACTGCTTTGGCCAGGTCGTCCACGTCAGCCTCAACAGTGATGAATTACATTGATAATGTGTGCTCTTAATATGATGTGAGGAGAATGGTACTTTACTTGTATGATCTGCCTCCTCAAAATCCATAACTCCAGTCTAACCATGAAAGAAAAACATCAGACAAACCCCAACAGAGAAACATTCTTTAAAATACTTGACCAGTACTCCTCACAATTGTCAAGGCCATCAAAAACCAGAAAAGTCTGAGACTGTCACAGCCAAGTAAAGCCTAATGAGACATAAGAGGCCAGGTGTGGTGGCTCATGCCTGTAATCCCAGCCCTTTGGGGGGTCCAAGGTCGGAGAATTGAGGCCAGGAGTTCAAGACCAGCCTGGGCAACAGGCTTTTCAGAAATTAACATATCAATCAGAAAAATATTAACACAACTAAAGTTTAAAATTTATGGTAGGCCAGACACAGTGGCTCATGCCTGTCATACCAGCACTTCAGGAGGCTGAGGTGGATGGATTGCTTGAGCCATGGAGTTTTTTCTCTATGGAAAAAAAAAATAAGTTAGCTGGGCGTGGTGGTGCATGCCTGTAGTCCCAACTACTTGGAAGGCGGAGGTGGGAAGACCACTTGAACCTGGGAGTTCAAGGCTGCAGTGAGCCATGATTGTGCCACTGGACTCCAGCCTGGGCGACAGTGAGACACTATCTCAAAAAAAAAAAAAAAAAGACATAACAAGTAAATGTAATGTGTGTCCCAAATGGGATACCAGAACAGAAAAAGGATATCGGGTAAAATCTAAGGAAGTCTGAATAAAGTATGGACTTTAGCTGATGGTAACATACCAACATTGGTTCATTAATTGTAACAAATGTGCCATACTAATGGGCGATATTTATAAAAGGGAAATAGGTGCAGGACATATTTTGACTTTTCTATAAATTTAAGACTGTTCTCAAAAATAAAATATATATCTAAAAATGTATAAAAATATACAGAATGGAATAGAATAAATATGCAGTCTAATATGTGGATTACAAATTAAGGCCACATCTTTTTTTTTTTTTTTTTTTTTTGAGAAGGAGTTTCACTCCTGTTGCCCAGGCTGGAGTGCAGTGGCACGATCTTGGCTCACTGCAACCTCTGCCTCCCAAGTTCAAGCGATTCTCCTGCCTCAGCCTCTGGAGAAGCTGGGATTACAGGTACAAGCCACCATGCTCGGCTAATTTTTGTATTTTTAGTAGAGATGGGGGTTTCACCATGTTGGCCAGGCTGGTCTTGAACTCCTGACCTCAGGTGATCCGCCTGTCTCGGCCTCCCTAAGTGCTGGGATTACAGGTGTGAGCCACCGCGCCCGGCCTCAAGGCCACATCTTTTTTAGTATCAAATTTAGTGGCTGCTAGTGTCCATGGGTAATCACGAAATTATCTTTTCCTTCCTCATTTTCTCTTCCTTAGAAACAAAACCTGGGGAAATCTGACCACCCCGCAGAGCACCGTTTGGCTGTGTGATTCTCTTGCAGCCATGTGGGAGCATTGCTGGCAGTAGCTGGCCCCATAGCCCAGCATCGCTCTTGACCATTGGCAGAAGCAATGGTCCCAGGCACCACCTTTAGCAGCCCTAAGGTCCTTGAATACTGCTGATTCCTAGGCTTCCCCCATTGCTCACATAATAGGTCAGGGGGAAGGGGACTCTCCTCACAGTGTTGTGCTTGGTTCCAATAATACTGATAATAATGGTAATCATAATAGCTCACATTCACTGAATGTCAGGCACTATTTTAAGTGCTTTGCATACATTAACTCATTTAATCCTCCCAGCAATCCTAAGGAAAGTCTCATTTTATCCGTCAGTTCGGACTTTGCTTATTGCATCCATCCCCATGATCTTTTTTTTTCCTTTTTGAGATGGAATCTCACTCTGTCACCCAGGCTGGGGTTCAGTGGCTTGATCTCAGCTTACTGCAACATCTGCCTCCAGAGTTGAAGCGATTCTCCTGCCTCAGCCTCCTGAGTAGCTGGGATTACAGGCATGCACCACCATGCCTGGCTAATTTTTGTGTATTTTTAGTAGAGACGGGGTTTCACTGTGTTAGCCAGGATGGTCTTGATCTCCTGACCTCAGGTGATCTGCCTGCCTTGGCCTCCCAAAGTGCTGGGATTACAGGCATGAGCCACCACGCCCGGCCACCATCATCGTTCTTAAGGATGCTCCAATTTTCCCCCACGTGGCCAGAGGAAACCTCTTCCTTTTGGCTCCTGAGTCTTTTGGACTGACGTGAGTGGTTTTGATGGCTTCCTTCCTTCATTTAGGACAAGATGCCCAGACTCATCTTGTTCATTTCCTTTCCTAGAGCCAGATTTGGTCATTTCTCCAAGGAGCCCTCATTCCTCATCAGCCACATAGGCAGTTCCCCCTCTATTATTTTCTGGGATAGCACGGGATCACTTCATAGAGCTCAGCGTCTTGTAATTATCTATTTGTCTACTTACTATTATTATTATTATTTTTGAGACAGTCTCACTCTGTTGCCCAGGCTGGAGTGCAGTGGTGCAATCTTGGCTCACCGTAGCCTCTGCCTCCCAGGTTCAAGTGATTCTCCTGACTCAGCCTCCTGAGTAGCTGGGATAACAGGAGTTAGCCACCACACTAGCTATTTTTTTTTTTTTTTGTATTTTTAGTAGAAACAAGGTTTCACCATGTTGGCTAGGCTGGTCTTGAACGCCTGGCCTCAAGTGATCCTCCCACCACCGCAGCCTCCCAAAGTGCTGGGATTACAGGCATGAGCCACCTTGCCCATCCTATTTGTCTACTTATTTGCTACCTGATTCCCCCATCAATCCAATAGCTTCTTTTTCTTTTCTTTTGCTTTTTTCTTTCTTTCTTTTTCTTCTTCTTCTTTTTTTTTTTTTCTGAGACAGAGTCTCACTCTGTCGCCCAGGCTGGAGTGCAGTGGCGTGATCTCGGTTCACTGCAAGCTCCGCCTCCCAGGTTCATGCCATTCTCCTGCCTCAGCCTCCCAAGTAGCTGGGACTACAGGAGCCCGCCACCACACCCGGCTAACTTTTTGTATTTTTAGTAGAGACAGGGTTTCACCGTGTTAGCCAGGATGGTCTCGATCTCCTGACCTTATGATCCACCTGCCTCGGCCTCCCAAAGTGCTTGGATTACAGGTGTGAGCCACCATGCCCGGCCTTTTTTTTGTTTGTTTTTTGTTTTTTGGGTTTTTTTTAAAGTCATGGTTTCGCTCTGTCTCTGAGGCTGGAGTGCAGTATTACAAACATAGCTCATTGCAGTTTCAAGCTTCTGGACTCAAGAGATCCCCCTGCCTCAGCCTCTTGAGTAGCTTACATCTGTAGGCATGCGCCAGCACACCCAGCTTAATCCATTAGGTTCTTGAGGCAAGGGCTATGCTTTCTTGCCATTATCTACTTAGCAAGTATTTTTTGATAAGTGAAATAGTGTACCACTTATCAAAATATAGATAATAAATATATAACATATTAAAATACAAACATCTTTTATATTATTTGTAAATATATATTTTTACATGCATATGTAAATTATTAGAAAGGGCTATTAAATTAGCAGTGGTGGTTATATCTGAACTGGGGTGTCATATGTTCATATGTCTTCTTTTCATTTACAGCACTTTTCCAAAATGTTGAGTATAAATGTGCATTACTTCTGTAGTAAGAGAAACAAGTATGGCCAGGCATGGTGGCTCATTCCTGTAATCCCAGCACTTTGGAAGGCCTCCACACTTGAGGTCAGGAGTTTGAGACCAGCCTGGTCAACATGGTGAAACCCCGTCTCTACTAAAAATACAAAAATTAGTCAGGCATGGTGGTGCGTGCCTGTAGTCCCAGCTACTCGGGAGACTAAGGCAGGAGAATCGCTTGAACCCAGGAGGGGGTAGGTTGCACTGAGCCAAGATCATGCCACTGCACTCCAGCCTGGCGAAAAAGCAAGTCTCCATCTCAAAAAAAACAAAACAAAACAAAACAAAAACAGAGAGAGACAGGGAGAGAGAGAGAGAGAGAGAGAGAGAGAGAGAGAAACAAGTGCATATATTTCTAAACCATGAAAGCTCTAGAAATGCTTCAATACTTTTGGAGAGTTAGTTTCTGGCTCCAGACTGGGCATTCCAGCCTTCAAACTGGATGCTCAGTGTGGCAGAAACTCCCATGCATCACTAGGTTGGGTCCCCAGACTGATACACACAACAAGATGCCTCCTTGCTCACAGTGGATCTTGGTCCCCTCCTGGGTCCAGGGCCATCTAAGCAGGGACGCTTAAGCCATGACACCCTGCTGGTGACCCTCTGGCTGTTCCTCCCTAGGTCTCAACTCTTAAAGGTCTTGAAGCTCTTGAGTAGGTCCGTGGTCTCTTTAAGAGGAACAAGTGCTTCTGCCTGTCCCAGAAGTCTGGTGACCCCAAGGCTTAGTGCTTCTCCCAGGACAGCTCTGGATAGTGCAAGAAAACTCCAGGAAAGTGGCCTCACTGCCACAATCAGAAAGAGGCAGTTAGGGGCAGGTGCGGTGGCTCATGCCTGTAATCCCAGCACTTTGGGAGGCCGAGGTGAGCAGGTCACCTGAGGTCAGGAGTTCCAGAACAGCCTGGCCCATGTGGAGAAACCCTGTCTCTACTAAAAATACAAAAATTAGCTGGGCGTGGTGGCATGCGCCTGTAATCCCAGCTGCTGGGGAGGCTGAGGCACAAGAATCACTTGAACCCGGGAGGCGGAGGTTGCTGTGAGCCAAGATAGGACCACTGCACTCCATCCTGGGTGACAGAGTGAGACTCTGTCTCAAAAAAAAAAAAAAAGAGGCAGTTAGGATTCCTTCACACAGAAGGAATAGAAAAGAGAGCCATGAATTTCCAAACACCCAGGCTGGCCACAGTGGGCTTGTTCTGCTGAGGTCATTCAATTCTGCAGCTCGTTCTAGGAGACATCGCATCCTGCTTCTTGCCCATGCAGAGTAGGCTATGAACTCAGAAAAGAGCGCAGGCTTGTGGAGCTTTGTAAGAAGCCAATTGGCCTTCTTCAAAACCCCCAAACAGGACCTCAGTTATGGAATGTACTTTCCCAAGCCCACCATGAAGGACTCACATAGGTAGACAGGAAATGCAATCTCCAGCAGGGGCTACAGAGAGTTTCATTCTGACTTCCAGTTGAAAGAGTGAACAGGCAGCAGAATCACTAGTAAAACTCCTGGGATTTTTTCTGGGAGTTGGAGAAAAAAGATGTTACACCTGAAACTATGTGTTTTCTCTATTTTGTGATTTCAAAATATGGAAGGGGAGAACTTTCAAAGGGGAAGTTCCTGTAGCTTTTTGGGTCAGAAATGGAAATTTACTAGGGCTGACTAATAACTCTCCGTGCTTTGACCTCTGAGACAGTAAAAACTCTGACAGTTATGTAAAGATAGCAATTGGGAAAATGTTAGCATTTTTACTGCAATCTAGGGCAAAGGCCAAGGCTCCCCAAAATCTGCACTAAGTGAACATTCGTGTTAGGTTGCCAGAGAGGGGACAGTGACTCATCAGGTTTTCAGATGAGCTCCGGCTCTTCTTAAGCCAACAACGTTCTATTTCACTCGTCAAGCTAGACCTGGAAGTCAATGTCATGGTACCCCACGTGATGTTGAAGAAATGGTGAAATGTAGACCTGCCAAGAATTGACAGAGCCGTGTAGCTGTTTGCCTAGCTGGCAATTGATCTACGCAATGATTGATATCATGAGTAGATTAAGCAACAAGCAAACAAGAGCATTCAAATGACCCTGGTACCATACAAGGATGACCTGTCCAGTTAGGCATAGTAAACAAATTCCCACAAACACACCAAAAGGGGCAGTGGAAAGGAAAAGTACATATGTTTTGTGATTTGAGCCTGACCTGGTTCTCTGATGTCCAAAACCTGATCGATCCTCTTTGTGTCTGAAGGAAAACAGGGCTCAAAATGTCATGCATGTGATGGTTGAAGGCTGTGACAATGTTTAGTCTGGAAAAAAGCTCCTTTTTTCCAGTTCGATGGGATTGAAGAGCTGCTCAAATGACGGAAGAGCTATCATGTGAACAGGAATTAGAGCGCACTCCGAGGGGGGAGCAGGGGCCAGTGTGAAATGACAAAGTGACATTTTAGCTCTCCACGTTTTCTAGCAATTAGACCTTTCCTGAAGTGGAAGGGGCTGCCTGGGGAAGCAGAGCATTTCTGTTGCTGGGAGTTTTCTCAGAGGCTGATGCACATCTTGGGGACTGCTGAGGCTCCATTCAATCCCACCGGAGACACAAATGGGAATTCAGCCTGTGCCTTCCCGTGTATTGGGCACTGGGTGATGCCAGCCTTTGGATGTAGGAGTAGAATCCTCCCAACAAGCCTGGGATTCATCATCACTCCCATGTTGCAGATGAAGAAACTGAGGCTCACAGAGGCTAAATAATCCACCTAAAGTTGCCTAACGAGTATTCAAACCCTGGTGGATTTGGCTTCAAAGCCAATGGTTTTTTGCCTGTATCGTATACCCTCCATCATGCTAAATAAGTTCTTAATCCTTAAGCCCTAATTAATAAAATGTATTATTTTGCAATGTTATCAAAATCCCACATTCCTAGAGGCTTAAATAAAATTCTCCCCAATATAAAACCTAATTATTCCCTAAGCGTCTGCAGGCATGCCAAAGGGCCTCTTTGCTAGAAATTCCACGATTTCCTGATTAACAAAAGGAAATAGCATTGAGGCTCTCTTTCTGAAACTTCTACTAGGAATCTCAGAAATGAAACTTGCGGTATTCATACCATAAAATCAATTCAGATAGCTGAATTCTTATATCTGCTTTTTCATTCAATCTCTTGTGGAATCATAAGTCATGGAACCTCTGCAAAAAGCTACCACAAAGAGATGAGAATGTGAGTGAACAAGGCAAAGAATATACTCATTTTAAAATTATTTATGGGCTGGGCATGGTGGCTGACACCTGTAATCCCAGCACTTTGGGAGGCCAAGACGGGTGGATCACGAAGTCAGGAATTTGAGACCAGCCTGGTCAGCATGGTGAAACCCCGTCTCTAATAAAAATACAAAAATTATTCAGGCATGATGGTGTGCACCTGTAGTCCCAGCTACTCGGGAGGCTGAGACAGTAGAATTGCTTGAATCCGGGAGGTGGAGATTGCAGTGAGCTGAGATCACGCCATTGCACTCCAGCCTGGGCAACAGAGTGAGACTCTGTCTCAAAACAAAACAAAACAAAACAAAAAGCATAATTGTATATGTGACATGTGTTTATGAATTAAATATCAGTTTAACTCACAGCAATTTGCCTGAGTTTGCTTTGAATTTCATGCACCATAGAGATGTTTACCTGCCTTCTATTTCAAACTCTTTATATCCACCCTGAAGACATCCCTCTAATAGCATCCAGAAATCTGAAACCTCCCATCCCACTGGGCTCAGCTGAGGTGTCCTGAGAGAATGGCAACCCAGAGGCCTGGCCTTCTGGGCGTGGCCTAGAAATTGTACTTTTGTTTCTCAGTTTTGTAGATGACACTAATTGTTTAAGGTTGTAAGCTATTACTTGAACATTTATTTCCCTTATCTCATGGGTACCTCTCTGTGACTTGGGCTTCTTAGTCATCTGAAGAATGTATCATTTTAATTGTGAAATCATTGAGTCACTGATATTTCTTGTTATTCTATATACCATAGTCAAGAACTATGACAGGTCTGAGACTATACCCTATTTGCAAGCTAATCATTCAGCGTGACCCAATTTCATGGATACTGACAGAAGACATGAGACTCCTGGGTCAGAAACAAAGGACTTCATTGCTCACAGCAGTAGCAGTAGCCAGTGTCAACATTTGAGCCACTTCCCTGAACTCCATTTCCCAAACGATGATGTGAACAGGGCCAAATGATGCACACATACAGGATTGCCTTGCAGTAGAGGAACATTGAATTTGGGAAACTCAAATCTCTTATAGTGGGCAGTAAACCTGCCTGGCCTTTGCCCCAGAAGAAAACATTGTTTTTATCATACTGGACAATAAACAAACCTGTCCTTTGCTCCAGAAGGGAACACTATCTCAATTTTCCAAGGCTGTCTGCTATATAAGCATCTGTGAATACATAGATCAAAATAAAGGCAATTAGCACCTGGGCAGACAATAGAAATGCAAGAGACGATGGAGAACTGTCTACCAGAAACCACTGCTTTCATTTATGCACAGTACCTGATTTTGGACCCAAATTTGCACCATTCTAATTTCTTTGACACTTGATAATTTAAGAAATATTTGGTCTTGATTCCTGGTCAACATTTTCCGGTCTTACAAATCCAGACCATACATAACTCCTTCTCCTCCATCTATTCATGAATGATTACCCTTTTGCAGAGTTCTCTTGTTTGTTTTTCTCTTCCACCTAAATATCATCCAAGACAGGTATTGGGACAGTCTTGTTGTACCCACACAAAAAAATACAGAAAAAAATTCAATATCAGAGATATCAAAGTAAGAAATGAAGGTGGGGGCAAAGGGTGGGCACTACAAAGCAAACACCTCCCTAGAATGAAAGATTCATTCTACGGAGTCCATTGGAGGGATACGTATAAATGGTTCTCTGTCCTTGCATGGTGGTATTTTCTTACTATTGTGTACAGACATTTTCTCCTAAACCAAAGAAATAGGATGTTGAACCCAATATTCACCTTTAAAGTCCATTTAAATTTCCGGAAGCAGGGCCAGGCACTGTGGCTCATGCCTGTAATTCCAGCACTTTGGGAGGTCGAGGTGGGAGGATCACTTCAGGTCAGGAGTTTGAGACCAGCCTGGCCAACATGGTGAAAACCTGTCTCTACTAAAAATACAAAATAAGCTGGACGTGGTGGTACATGCCTGTAATCCCAGCTATTTGGGAAGCTGAGGCACAAGAATCAGTTGAACCCAGGAGGCGGAAGCTGCAGCGAGCCGAGATCATGCCACTGCGCTCTAGCCTAGGCAACAGAGTGAGACTCTGTCTCTAAATAAATAAATAAATGAAAGTAAATATATAAATAAAATTTCAGGGAGTATCCTAAAGGACTGTCAATAGCAATTTCTTCTGGGAAAAACAACTTTGGTTTTTTCCAGGGGGAAAGGAGGGAAGACCACTTTGATCTATTGCATTCTATTCTGTTTGATTTTTGTGATGAAGATAGTTTAAAATTTTCATTTTGTGTTTGCTTTATTGTCCACTTTTTGCAAGCTACTTGGTCAAGCATTCACCAAACTAAAACTGTCCTTCTTCTCCATCTTGACCTAGAGGCTCAATTGGAAGCTCAGTAGGGTCTTCGGCTGCATGCCATCTCCAGTGCCCAGCAAGAGATACCAAGAATGTCCAAAAGCAGAATGTCCTAACACAACAGATGCATTGGAGCAAGCCTGCCATCTGAAGTAGGCTGAGTAGGTTGGCCTGGATACTCTGCTTTAACAGTCTTGAAAAAGAAGAGAACCCTACCAATATCAGGGCATGGAAGGTGTAAATACTAGACCAAAATATGTATTTGAGACAGAAATTCTGTGAATTTCAAAGTACCTCTTGGAGGGAAGAAACTGGTATGCTGATGGTCCTTGGAGGTTGGAGAGGAAAGTCTAGACTCATCCACATTTTTTGTCTCCTATAAATCAATTGCGTTCACAGCAGATAGAGCTGGGAGTCAGTAACAGCTGGGTTTGCAAACCAAAGTTACCGTTACCCAGCTGTGTGGCCTTAGGAAAATTGCTTGAACTCTTTGAGTCTCAATGACTCATCTTAAAAAAATGAGGATGAGAATACCTATCTCTGTGTGATTGTTGTAAAGAGTCTGGCACGTAGTGGGTGTTCATTAAGGTGTCACCATGTTAACAGGCAGGGATCTATCATGACTTATTTGTTCTCCACAAATAAGTTCATGTTTACTGATGGTAACCTGTGCCCCAAATCGGAACTCAATGCCTACTTAGAATGGGCTACAGAGCTTGCTGTTGGGAGTGTGGATTCTGGAGTCACACTCCCTGTGTTTGAATCCCAGGCTGACCGTTTTCTAGTTGATGATGCCAGGCAATTTCAAAACCTCTCTGATGTGTTTTCCTTGTCTGTAAAATTGAGTGGATAACCTGCCTTGTTCAGTACGATGTTAGATTATCTTCCAATTAGAAAACACTAAATCATAATACAAATAACATTACTAATTTGTATTATTAGAAGGGCAAGTCTGGGGGTCAAGCAGAATCGCCCCCCACCCACAAAACCTGAAATATAAAACTAGTCAGGAAATACAGATGCCATTTTTAGAAACAGAGGATTCCCAGCAATACAAATATTTAGAGGAACTTTCTGATAAGTGGCAGCTGCCAGAACGGAAGGGCTAAACTCTGAAGTTTCCTGTGTTCTTATTTTGTGGAGAAATAAACTGATGGTCATTACAGCAAACTTTCAATATCTCAGTCCATGAGACTCATATTTATACAGTAGGTACTTATCAATCAAATTTTTTCATGTGCTTTTCAAAATACAGCAGTAGAAGAGCTTAACCCCTTGCCTGGTGATGAGAGGAAGTCTCTTTGGAAACAGCACTAAACTCAAATACAGTCTTCCATGAATAATCACATACTAGACAATGACATAATTATATAATTGTGAGACCCACAGATGCCAAACAAATGACATTAGAAACAATTTCAGGCTAGGCACAGTGGCTCACACCTGTAATCCCAGCACTTTGAGAGGCTGAGGTGGGAGGATTGTTCAAGGCCAGGAGTTCAAGATCAGCCTGGACAACATAGCAAGACCTCATTTCTAAAAACAAAATATTAACAAAATAGTCGAGCATGGTGGCTTATGCCTTAGTCCCAGCTACTCAGAAGACTGAGGCAGGAGGATCACTTGAGCCCAGGAGTTCAAGGCTGCAGTGAGCTATGATGGCATCACTGCACTGCAGCCTGAGTGACAGAGCAAGACCCTGTCTCTAAAATAATAATAATAATAAAATCTGCACTTTAGTGAAAGCTTAGCTGATCATATGAATGAATCTTTATAGTTACTCCCAACCAATAGCAATAAAAAGATATTGCAAATCTGTAAATGTCACACAGTAACTGATACCATTTGATGGAGTATCTAACATACTCCAGGTGCTTCCAGTATTATTTCTGATCCCTCCAACAATGCTGTAAGACCATTAGCTTCATTCCATAGATAAGACAATTGAAGTTTAGAAAGATTAATTACTTGCCAAAGGTTACCCAGCCAGGAACGGCTGAAACAGGCTGTTCCACTCTAACTACCCACATCCTTTTGTTTGTTAGGTCACATGGTCTTTTAATAATCTTCACTTAACAACTGGATCTGAACACCTGCTTTGCAGCTTGCCCCAGGTTAGGCATTCATGCCCCAAAGATGCACCACATACTGTCCCTGACTTGGCAGAGATGAGCCTTCCAAGCTCATTATTTACTTTTTCTTCCTCAGAAGTCATCAATGACGCAGGCCACAGTTTCTCATTCTCCTGATTTATATACTCGAAGAATTGTTTGCCTCATTAGCTGTTGTCGTGCAAAATACATTACCACCTTCCAGAATGAATTCCACAGCACCACATAGTTGTGGATAAGGAATAGGGTTTATTGGGGAAAAGGAAAATTAAATATGCCAAAGGACAGCAAAAGAAGAAAGGCATGAGACTGTGCTTAAAGAAACTGCTATATACCGTTGCACCACAAGGTCCTAAAAAAAGAAAAAAGAAACAGCTACAAATAAACAGAACAAATATAAGCATATTTCATAGAGAAAATAGGAAATCCAAAAGTTTTGGAGGATTAACTTTCCAAAAGCTTATTAAATAATACAAATAACTAAATTCAGGGCATGTCTGCAACATCCACATTTCCCATAACTGTCTCAAATCAGTGGCTCAGCCAACAGGACCAAGAATAAAGAATTCACTCTGCTTCGACCCCTAGGTCTCTCTGCAAACAATCCCATCACCCCTACCAATGAGCTTTGCCTCTACTCACCCATCTGAGCTCCAGCCTTCGCGTGTGACTCCGAACGGTGGAGTTTTCTCCTAAATCCATTCATCTTGCCAAAAGTAAGTGTATTTCATTGTTACTTTTTACTGGCTTCACCTTCCTGGGATTAACCATTATGCTTTTGCTATTTCCCCATCTCCCTGTGTAAGCCCATGCTTCTGTATTATTTCATATTTTTAATGCCTTGATTTCACAACCCACCCTTTGAAAAACAGATTTATTTATTTATTTATATATTTATTTATTTATTTATTTATTTTGAGACAGAGTTTCTCTCTTGTTACCCAGGCTGGAATGCAATGGTGCCATCTCCGCTCACTGCAGCCTCTGCCCCCCGGGTTCAAGCAATTCTCCTGCCTCAGCCTCCTGAGTAGCTGGGATTACAGGAGTCCACCACCACGCCCCAGCTAATTTTTGTATTTTTAGTAGAGACGGGGTTTCACCATGTTGGCCAGGCTGGTCCCGAACTCCTGACCTCAGGTGATCCGCCCGCCTCAGCCTCCCAAAGTGAGAGCCACTGTGCCCATCCAGAAAACAGATCTGTTTTAAAAACTCCATGTGAGCAAGAACTATGTGGATCCCGTTCTCCGTCCTATACCCAGTGTTTGGGGAATGCATCTGTTGACTAAGTTAATGAATAATGAAATGAGTAAAAACCACATAAGGACATCTTAAACTCAAAATCCAAGGAGTAGGCAAATTTCCCCACCATGTGGAGCAGAGTTGGGCTTTGGGGGTTAATTCGTTTTCTTTATATCGTGCATTAAAAATAAGGAAATAGGCTGGGAACACTGGCTCACGCCTGTAATGCCAGCACTTTGGGAAGCCAAGGCAGGAGTATTGCTTGAGCCCAGAAGGTCAAGGCTGCAGTGAGCCATGATGGCGCCACTGCACTCGAGCCTGTGAGATAGAGTGAGACCCTGTCTCAAAAAAATAAAGAAATAAAAAAAAAGGATGGGGTGGATAAAAGTTGATTTTGGTTTCCCACTCTGATATCTTCCCATATGTATTCTCTCTTCCCAAAACAAGTTTTTGGTGGAGAACTGGGATATTCAAGGTTAATAATCACATCTTTAACCCAACTCAGAACAGAAGCCCATCAGTCAAGAGTCCACCTTTTAGGGGTACAGTATGAACACAAAACAGACGAACACGTCCAGGTAATGCTGTCACAGATGCTCATCCGCAGGGGTGGGCTAACGTGGTCAGGCCATGATACAGAGGAGCGTTCCACACGACTTCTCCAGGGGCTTCCGATTCTATGAACTTCAGCACACGTTCTGCGTGGCTGTGGCTGAGGGGGCACCTTAGACCTTTTCCTTCCCAGGGTTGTGTTGGCCATGGAGACATGAATGGTGCAACAGCGTGCCTGCATTTTTACAGTTTGTCACTAGATGGCAGCACACATTTGTCAAGACGGAGACTCGGCTCTGGTTTCTGTCACTCATTTCTAATTAATGAAACACCATTGGATTTTTTTCTTTTTTTTTCTTTTTTGAGATGAAGTCTCGCTCTGTCACCCGGGTTGGAATGTGTAGTGGCGCGATCTCGGTTCATTGCAACTTCCGCCTCCTGGGTTCAAGCGATTCTCCTGTCTCAGCCTCCTGAGTAGCTGGGATTACAGGTGCGCACCACCACACTTGGTTAATTTTTGTATTTTTATTAGAGATAGGGTTTCACCATGTTGGCCAGGCTGGTCTCAAACTCCTGATCTCAGAAGATCCACCTGCCTCGGCTTCCCAAAGTTCTGGAATTACAGGCGTGAGCCATGGCGCCCGGCCACTTGGTGCAGTATTTTCTTTGGTGGTTGGTGAACTGTTGTGACTATTTTCTCAAAAGTAGTTCTAGAATCAGCAACATTTAATCCCGAAGCAGGTGCAGGAGAATTCTGTGAGAGTCCAGCATGCAAAAATATGATCCTGGCCTATGATCTAACCAAGAAGCAGCTCCTCCTAAACCATGATTATCAAATTTCTATGCAGGTCAGGTGAGGTGGCTCACGCCTGTAATTCCAGGGCTTTGGGAGGCTGAGGCAGGTGGATCACTGAGGTCAGGAGTTCGAGACCAGCCTGGCCAATATGGTGTAATCCCGCCTCTACTATAAATACAAAAATTAGCCAGGCGTCAGGAGAATGGCGTGAACCTGGGAGGCGGAGCTTGCAGTGAGCCGAGATCACGCCACTGCACTCCAGCCTGGGCGACAGAGCAAGACTCCGTCTCAAAAAAAAAAAAAAAAAAAAAAAAAAAAAAAAAAAAAAAAAAAATTAGCCAGGTGTGGTGACCCATGCCTGTAATCCCAGCTACTTAGGAGGCTGAGGCAGGAGAATCGCTGGAACCAGGGAGGCAGAGGTTGCCGTGAGCCTATATCTTGCCACTGCACACACCAGCCTGAGTGACAGACAGAATGAGATTCCATCTCAAAAAGAAAAAAAAAATTCTGTGCAGTCCCCTTTCATGCGCAGATTTTGAAGATTAAAAGCAGAATAATCTATGCAAACAAAAGAACAAAAAATCCAGCTCAGAGTAACAGCATACGGTGCTGGAGATTTGTGATATTTGCAGTGTTGCTTCTGTGCCTTTCTGTGACAATAGAAAAAGTGAAGATTTCAATTGAGTTATGATGCTTGGGTTATTGTTTCTGGGTTTTTTTTCTTTGTTTGTTTTTTGTTTTTTTTTCTCCTCTCCCTCCACATAGACCTTGGAATGGACAATTTCAAGTGCATGGGATAAATCCAAAGACTTGAGTCTCTAGCAGCCAGCTAGACTTGGCCTCTCCTTGACTTTGGGCGGTGGGAATAATACTCACCAAATAAGCGACCAGCACAAACTATCTTTTACTCTGAAAGTCTTTGCTTGCGCCTCTCCAAGCTAAAAATAGTAACAGCTAATGCTTACTGAGCACCTACTGCATACCTGACAATGTAAAGAATCCTCTGTTGCTTTGTACAAGAAAACTTTAAAGAAGGTATCATTAACATCACACTTATTTTATTGTAAATGAAGAAAGGCTTATTCACACAACTTGCACAAGGCCTCCCAGCTAGGAAGCAGTAGCTCTGGATTCAATCCAGATTTAAGTAACACTACGTTAAACCACTGCCACCTCGCCCCCACCCACCAAGACCAACAAACTTCCAAGAAAATGTTCTAAAACTCTTCAGGGAGTTTTCCTGTAATACTAAGAGGATCATGGAGACTAGTGGGCCAAGCTGATCCTGGAGCTCTTCTGCAGTCCGCTATGTGGCTCCTTTATAAAAGAACATGTTATGGCCTCTAAGATAATCTGTTCCCATAGAATTGGGAAATTGACTCTACACTATGGGGCACAGAACACCAAACACATGCATGTGATTTCTGGTAAACCAACTTGATCCAGATGTAAAAAAATCAGACTTAAGCAATAGAGTGGGCCGGGCACAGTGACTCATGCCTGTAATCCCAGCACTTTGGGAGGCTGAGGCAGGCAGATTACCTGAGGTCAGGAGTTCAAGACCAGCCTGGCCAACATAGTGAAACCCCATCTCTACTAAAAATACAAAAATTAGCTAAGTTTGGTGGCGCATGCCTGTAGTCCCAGCTACTCAGGAGGCTGAGGCAGGAGAATCGCTAGAACCCCGGGAGGCGGAGGTTGCAGTGAGCCAAGATCCAGCCACTGCACAACAGCCTGGGTGACAGAGCTAGACTCTGTCTCAAAACAAAACAATAGAGTGTCTTACCTCAGTATAAGACCTTGCACTTTTCAGAATACTTCCTCTTACTCTTCACAGCATAGCTGCAAGGTAGGAAGAGAGATACCATCCCTGTAGAACATACCAGTTAACAGCTCTGGGCAGGGCCAGCTTGAGTAACCGGGATAGTCACTCAGGGCCCCACATGTTCAGAAAGTCCCAGCATTTGGAAGTTTTCACATTCCCCTAGCACTTGGGGTTTAATTAATTATTCATTTAAAATCTTACTAATTTGATCTTTGACTTTATGTTTTGTTTGTTGGTTTGTTTTGAAGCCAAGGTCATGGTCTGTTACTCAGGCTGGAGAACAGTGTTGCACCCATGGCTCACTGCAGCCTGCACCTCCTGGGCACAAGTGATCCTCCAGCCTCAGCCTCCCAAGTGGATGGGACTATAGGCGCAAGCCACCATGCCCAACCTTGAATTTGTGTTTTGTAAGCGAAGTCCAGCGGGACAATGGAACGTGCACCAGGATTGGAGCCTCAGTCCTGCACCCTACTGCCTTCTTGCCTCCCAGCTTTTGGTCACCTGGTCCTCCATGGCCACTGATCAGCAACCTCTACTGCCTCCCATCACCAGGGGACCCCTGGCATGGGCACAGAAAGGGTCTTTTCTTAAGAGAAGATAAGAATCCGGCCAGGTGCAGTGGCTCATGCCTGTAATCCGAGCACTTTGGGAGGCCGAGGTGGGTGGATCACTTGAGGCCAGGAGTTCGAGACCAGGCTGGCCAACATAGTGAAACCCTGTTTCTACTAAAAATACAAAAATTAGCCTGGTATGATGGCGTATGCCTGTAATCCCAGCCACTTGGGAGGCTAAGGCAGGAGAATCACTTGAACCCAGGAGGCAGAGGCTGCAGTGAGCTGAGATCGTGCCACTGTACTCTAGCCTGGGCAACAGAGTGAGACTCTGTCTCAAATAAATAAATAAATAAATAAAAAGAAGAAGAGAAGAATCCACAGTCAGCTTTCCTTAAGTAACAGTCACCCCCTGGGAGTTGAAAAACCTCCTTTCATTAATAAAAATGTATTTGTGCACAACTTGGACGAATGTTCACCAGGGCAGGGATTGATGTCTGTTTTGGTCACTGCTGTATCTCAAATGCCTACAATAGTATCTGGCACGTAAACATCTGTGTTGAATAACTGAATGAATTCCTTTTCAGAAATCCATTTGTCAAGAGGTGTTCTCAGGGAGGCAGGGCCTGTGTCTCTTCTCATTTTCGAAGCACAAAGCTGAGCATTTGAGAAGAACTAGCTTCATTCTTGCTAGTGGCACAATTGGTTATCTCATTGAACAGGCAAAAGTAAATGGACCATAGATGCATGTGTCTTTTTTTTTTTTTTTTTTTTTGAGACAGAGTCTTACTCTGTCACCCAGGCTGGAGTGCAGTGGCATGATCTCGGCTCACTGCAACCTCTGTTTCCTGGGTTCAAGCAATCCTCCCACCTCAGCCTCCTGAGTAGCTGAGACAACAGGCATGCACCACCATGCCTGACTAATTTTTGTATTTTTAGTAGAGATGAGGTTTAGCCATGTTGGCCAGGCTGGTCTCGAACTCCTGACCTCAAATGATCTGCCTGCCTCAGCCTCCCAAAGTGCTGGGATTAGAGGTGTAAGCCATCACGCCCGGCCAATATGTGTGCATGTGTCTTTATAATAGAAAAATTTACATTCCGTTAGGTATATATCCAGTAATGGGATTGCTGAGTCAAATGATATTTCTGTTTTTAGGCCTTTGAGGAATTGCCACACTGTCTTCAACAACTAGTGAATTAATTTGCTCTCCTGCCAACAGTGTAAAAACATTCCTTTTTCTCTGCAACCTCGCCAGCATCTGTTATTTTTTGACTTTTTAATAATAGCCACTCTGACTGGTGTGAGATGGTATCTCATTGTGGTTTTGATTTGCATTTCTCTAATGATCAGTAATATTAAGCTTTTTTCATATGATTGCAGCACTGTTCACAATAGCAAAGACATGGAATCTACTAAATGCCCATCAATGGTAGACTGGATAAAGAAAATGTGGTACATACACACCACGGACAACCATGCAGCCATAAAAAAGAATGAGATCATGTCTTTTGCAGAGACATGGATGGAGCTGGAGGCCATCATCCTTAGCAAACTAGCACAGGAAGAGAAAATTAAATACTGCATGTTCTCGCTTATAAGTGGGAGCTAAATGATGGGAACATATGGGCACATAGAGGGGAACAACATACACTGGTTCCTATCAGAGGATGGAAGGTGGAAGGAGGGAGAGGATCAGGAGAAATAACTAATGGGTACTAGGCTTAATACCTGGGTGATGAAATCATCTGTACAGCAAACCCCATGACACAAGTTTACCTATGTAACAAACCTGCACATGTACCCCTGAACTGAAAGTAAAAGTTAAAAAAAAAAAGGAAATGGACTATTTTTTTAATCCAGTGAAGTCTCGCTCACTGTTGAGTGAGCTTTTACCTACGTTTCCGCACATCCGATCACTGTCAAGGGCCCCCAGTCATGTTATGAACGTTGCTCAAATACTCACCAATGAATGACCACGAAATAAGTGGCGAGGGTAAAACCACAGCAAGAAGGAACATGAGGAGCAGACTCTTCCTTTTGCCTCTCTCTGGCCAGGTTCCTTATTTTCTTCGGGTGGAGGACTCAGGCCAGGCGCACCCAGCCACTGGCAGCCTCCGAGAGCCGCGGCGCTGGGTAGGAAGACAGGAAGTGGCGGTGGTGAGCAACGGTAGCTCGACTCGGGCAGCACTCACAGATTTCACGGAACGTGGACGAGGCTCTCGTCATGGGCTGACCACAGAGCCACAGCAGCATGCGTGCTTTGCCCGAGTTACCTGAAACATCGCGCCCAGGAGCCAGTGACGCACAGGGAGAGTTTCAGCAAGAATGCTGGGCGGGCAGCACCTGTCCAAGACCTCATTAAGTGCTTTATTTCTATCAGGGCACTTTCAGTGACAGAGAACTTCCGAAATAAAGCTTTGGTCATTCCACACCCAACCACCCCCACAAATATACGGAATTATGTTCTCTACCACTGGAAGAATGAGGTTGCTTCAGCAAAGCAATGTTTTAAAGAGCTGCCTTAACATCATTTAGGTATCTAAAAACGTAATTGTTGTTAAATGAGAAAATTGTCAAGCAACTGTTCTCCATATTCACAAAGGGCAAAAGGGAGGGAAACAGGTTAACATCTGGGGAAGAGGCATTGATTAGACTGCATGAGTGTTTTTTATTTATTATTATTTTTTAATGGTTTAAAACTTTACTTTTTTTTAAAGACAGGGTCTCACTCTATTGCCCAGGCTGAAGTGCAGTGGCATGATTAGCCTTGAATTCCTGGGCTCAAGTGATCCTCCTGCCTCAGCCTCCTGAGTAGCTGGGACTACAGGTGCGCACCACCAAGTCTGGCTAATAATAATTATTATTATAGAATGATAAATAATATGTAATAATTATCATTATTTTATTTTGGTTTTGCTTTGTTATACAGGCTGGTCTCAAACGCCTGGATTCAAGTGTCCTTCCTACCTCAGCCCCACAAAGGGCTGAGATTACAGGTGTGAGCCACCACACTTGGCCCCACAGGCACTTTTTAATGTAAAGATGACTAATATATAAAACAGGCTTCCAAGAACAATTATAAAAACTCCCTCCCTAGAGAGACAAGACAAGGACCTGTGTATTCATTCAACAAGTGCTATAATGAACCCCTAACAAGCGCACAGCACTAAGCTAGACGCTAGGGCAGACATGAAAGAAATGCAAGAGTATCTGACAGGAGAGATGGAATTAACATGTGAAAAGCAGCCGTCACACATTCATCCAGCACACATGTGAGGGCCTCCACTGCGAAAGACACGTTGCAAGACTCCAGTGTATTATAAAATAAAGTGAGAGTTCTGCTTCTAGGAATATGGCAGACTAGACGTCCTGAAACTCTGTTATAAAGCCTTAAAATTTTAGAAAAAATACAAAGTTCAATATTTTGAAATGAATGGATAAGGTTGTAGGAAGCTCGCGTGGAACAAAGCAGAAATACAAGCTCAGGGGGCCAGCCTGCAATGATGCTGTGGCCGACTTTAAAATACCTTCCAACTCCAGATGGCTTTGGAAATCTTTTTATCCAGTGAAGTCTCACTTGATGTGTTTGTACATAAGTTTCTGCATATCTGATGGCTGTCAGGGGCCCCGTATAATGTCTTGAACATGCCTAAAATACTTTAAAATACCTTCCGACCCCAGGTGGCCTAACCTGTTTGAACAGCCTTGTTTATGGACACGGGAGATAAGCTTTGAGCTCCATTTGAACAGAAGTCAAATCAATGAACACTCCTCATCCCAAACACACACACACACACACACACAGCGCCCAGACCCAGGAAACGGTGAAGTGAGAAAAATTCTACCTCACTGGCTGGGTGTGGTGGCTCACCCTTGAAACCCTGTCTCTGCTAAAAATGTAAAAATTAGCCAGAAGTGGTGGTGGGCGCCTCTAGTCCCGGCTACTGGGGAGGCTGAGGCAGGAGAATTGTTTGAACCCAGGAGGCGGAAGTTGCAGTGAGCTGAGATCGCCCCACAGCACTTCAGCCTAGGCAACAGAGTAAAACTTTGTCTCAATAAAAAAAAAAAAAAAAAAAATTGACCTCACTGAAGCAGAGGGCAAAGAGACAGGTTCTATTTCTGCTTTGGCTCTGGGGTCATGTCTTTCAGTTCTCCCTGGGCATTCATGGACAATCTTCATGTTGATGGGGTCTGCGTAGCCTGGAAAGCCACAAGAGGAGACAACAGGGATCTGGCTGATAATGTCTGCAGTGCCAAGCAGACACAAACACAAATACTTTCTGGAAAAATGTACACTCAAACCAACTAAGCCTTAAGTATTAAATAATCCCCAGAGTAGAGTTCTAAATACTATGAGCTCAGCTGGGCACAGTGGCTCACACCTGTAATCCCAGCACTTTGGGAGGCCAAGGCGGGTAGATCATGAGATCAAGAGATCGAGACCATCCTGGCCAACATGGTGAAACCCCATCTCTACTAAAAATACAAAAATTAGCTGGGTCTGGTGGCACGCTCCTGTTGTCCCAGGTACTCAGGAGGCTGAGGCAGGAGAATCACTTGAACCCGGGAGACAGAGGTTGCAGTGAGGTAAGATCACACCACAGCACTCCAGCCTGCTGACAGAGCGAGACTTTTGTCTCAAAAAAAAAAAAAAAAATCATGAGGAAGAATGCACAGAAAGAAAAAACAATAGAACTAAATCCAAACTTCAACTAACACAACTAACATATAAAAAGATAATGACTACAATTAAAAATCGAAACGCAAACACCAGATTAGATACAATTAAAGACCAAATTAGTGGGATGGAGGATACTTTTGAATAAATTACTCAAAATGTACCCTACAGTGCCAAAAATAAAAATAAAAAATGAAAGTAATAAAGAGGTTAAGACACATAGCAGAGAAGGCCCAGCATGCATTGAGTCAGGAAAGCAGTAGCAGAGAATGTGTGTGAGAGGCAATATTAGCAAGGGTAGGACTCAGAATTTTGAGAATTGATACGGCCAGGTGTGATGGCTCATGCTTATAATCCCAGCACATTGGGACGTGGGAGGATTTTTTGAGTCAGGAGTTCAAGTCTAGCCTGGGCAACATAGTGAAACCCTATCTCAACAAAAAATACAAAAACGAGCCAGGTGTGGTGGCACATGCCTGTGGTCCCAGCTACTCAAGAGGCTGAGATAGGAGAATCGCTTGAGCCAAGAGGTTGAGGCTGCAGGAAGCTGAGATTGTGCCACTGCCCTCCAGCCTGAGTGACAGAGCAAGACCCTGTATCAAAACAAAGAAAGCAGGGTGCGGTGGCCTATACCTATAATCCCAACACTTTGGGAGGCTGAGGGGGGTTGATCACTTAAGGATGGGAGTTTGAGACCAGTCTGACCAACATGGTGAAACCCCGTCTCTACTAAAAATACAAAAATTAGCCAGATGGGGTGACATGCACCTGTAGTCCCAGCTACTTGGGAGGCTGAGGCAGGAGAAAACCTTGAACCAGGGAGGTGGACAGAGATCATTGATGTAATACATTCAGCAACTCCCACAGATCCCAAGCAGAATAATTGTTAAATGCATCCGGGGGCCAGGCACTGTGGCTCATGCCTGTAAGCCCAGCACTTTGGGAAGCTGAGGGTGATGAATCATCTGAGGTCGGGAGTTTGAGACCAGCCTGGCCAACATGGTGAAACCCTGTCTCTACTAAAAATACAAAAATTAGCCGGGCATGGTGGCGGGCGCCTGTAATCCCAGCTACTCAGGAGGCTGAGGCAGGAGAATCTCTTGAACCCAGAAGGCAGAGGTTGCCTTGAGCTGAGATTGCACCACTGCACTCCAGCCTGGGTGAGAAGAATGAAACTCTGTCTCAAAAAAAAAAAGAAGCATCTGGAAAGAAACAGCCAGAGAGAAAAGACATATGATCTACAAAGGAGTGAAAATAAAATGAACAGCTAATTACTCAGCAGCAAAAGTGAAAGTCAGGAAACTGTAGATTATTATCTTCAATATTAGTGCCGTGAGAAAGTGAGTATTGACAGGAAACTGCCTGCCCAAACAAGGCAATTCTTAAAAGAAAAAAGTAAAATTGTGACATCTTGAAGATGTTTTTGAAAGATTGTTTTTGAAAAAGCAATACTGAGAATAATTACCATTAACAGACTCTCAAAAACTCTAAAATATACAATTCCCAATAAAAGGAAATGATCACAGAGAAGTCTGAGATACAAGAAAGATTGGTGAATAAATAAAATGTGGGAACATTTTTTCTTTTGAGATGGAGTTTTGCTCTTCTTGCCCAGGTTGGAGTGCAATGGCGCAGTCTCGGCTCACTGCAACCTCCGCCTCCAGGGTACAAGTGATTCTCCTGTCTCAGCCTCCTGAGTAGCTGGGATTACAGGCGCCTGCCAACGCGCCCGGCTAATTTTTTTTTTTTTTTTTTTTTAGTAGAGATGGGGTTTCACCATGTTGGCCAGGCTGGTCTCGAACTCCTGACCTCGGGTGATCCACCCACCTTGGCCTCCCAAAGTGTTGGGATTACAGGTGTGAGCCACCGTGCCCTGCTATTTTTTTTTTTTTAAACTGAGTCTTAATCTGTTACCCAGGCTGGAGTGCAGTGATGTGATCTCGGTTCACTGCAATCTCCATCTCCCAGGTTCAAGTGATTCTCCTGCCTCAGCCTCCTGAGTAGCTGGGATTACAGGTGCCCTCCACCATGCCCAGCTTATTTTTGTATTTTTAGTAAAGACGGGGTTTCACCATGTTGGCCAGGCTGGTCTTGAACTCCTGAACTCAGGTGATCCACCCACCTCGGCCTCCCAAAGTGCTGGGATTACAGGCATGAGCCACCATGCCTGGCCTAAATGTGGGAAAATATAAATTCACTGATTATGTTAACCAATATAATGGTTAACATATATTGTGTTGAACATTATATGTGTGAAGTTGAACATTACTGGACAACAATGGTATGTTAACTGTGAGTGGAGAGATTGATGTTAAAGCATTCTGAGGTTCTTTGATTTGGGAGCAGAATAAAGTTTATTAGTTAACTTTGGATTAGGTAAAATATTCATGTGAAATATTAATAATCAATTGCAACCAATAAGGTAAGGAAAAAATGGCGGGGGGAAGGGAGTATCTCAATCAATGTGGTTAAATCTCAAAAACATAATTTTGTGCCAAACCAAGTTTACATAGTACAATAAAGCTTAAAAATAAGCAATATTCAGTAATGTATTTATTACTTAGAGATAAGTAAAAATTGGCAAAATTATAAAGAAAGGCAAAGAAGTAATTAATGAAAGGCAAAGAGGTAATTAACAAAATCAGGATCATAATTAGCTCTGGGAAAAGAATGGGAAAAGGTATTTGGTAATGTTTATTACTTAAGTTGGGTTAAAATATTTATATTCTTTTATTAGCATTTGTATTAATATTAGTGTTAGTATTATTTGAAATGTACATAGGCATTATAGAAACTGCTTCTTTATGGGGTTTTTATTTTTTATTTATTTATTTATTTATTTATTTATTTTTTTTTTTTTGAGACGGAGTCTCGCTCTGTCGCCCAGGCTGGAGTGCAGTGGTGCCATCTTGGCTCACTGCAACCTCCGCCTTCCAGGTTCAAGCAATTCTCCTGCCTCAGACTCCTGAGCAGCTGGGACTACAAGCATGTACCACCATGCCCAGCTAATTTTTGTATTTTTACTAGAGATGGGGTTTCACCAGTTTGGCCAGGATGGTCTCAATCTCTTGACCTCATGATCTACCCACCTCGGCCTCCCAAAGTTCTGGGATTACAGGTGTGAGCCACTGTGCCCAGCTTAGAAACTCTTTTAAAATTTGAAGTATGTTTGTACTTACATTTCTTTGCTATTGCAGGCCGGGCGCAGTGGCTCACACCTATAATCCCAGCATTTTGGGAGGCCGAGGCAGGTGGATCACCTGAGGTCAGGAGTTTGAGACCCGCCTGGCCAACATGGTGAAACCCAGTCTCTACTAAAAGTACAAAAATTAGCCAGGTGTGGTGGCACTCAGCTCACTGTGGTCAGCAGTGAGCTGAGATTGTACTACCGCAATCCAGCCTGGGCGACAGAGCAAGACTCTGTCTCAAAGAAAAAAAAGAAAAATTTGTTTGCTATTGCTGAGAAATACACTACAGACACCAAAACTCAGCGATTATAGACAAGAATCATTTACAACCACTCATATTTACACAGATGGTTTGGGGCTCTGCTAATCTAGGCTGGGTTGGACTAGGGGGCAGAGAAGGATACACTGCTTCTTGGGAGGAACTATAAAGTCACATGTGGCCGGGCACGGTGGCTCATGCCTGTACTCCCACCACTTTGGGAGGCTGAGGTGGGTGTATCATCTGAGATCAGGAGTTCAAGACCAGCCTGAACGACATGGTGAAACCCCGTGTCTACTAAAAATACAAAAATTATCTGGGGGTGGTGGTGCGCGCCTGTAATTCCAGCTACTCAGGAGGCTGAGGCAGGAGAATCACTTGAACCTGGGAGGCGGAGGTTGTGGTGAGCTGAGATCATGCCACTGAACCCCAGCCTGGGCGACAGAGTGAGACTTTGTCTCAAAAAAAAAAAAAATTCACCCTCGATATTTCACATAGGTTCTTTTCTATTTTCCCTAAGTGTCGGCCAGTCTGAGAAATAAAGGGAAAGAGTACAAAAGAGAGAAATTTTAAAGCTGGGTGTCCAGGGGAGACATCACATGTTGGCAGGTTCTGTGATGCCCCACAAGCTGCAAAACCAGCAAGTTTTTATTAGTGATTTTCAAAAGGGGAGGGAGTGTACGAATAGGATGTGGGTCACAGAGATCACATGCTTTCAGAGCAACAAAAGATCACAAGGCAGGAGGTCAGGGCGAGATCACAAGGTCAGGGTGAAACTAGAATCACTAATGAACTTCCATGCCCCACTGTGTACGCATTGTCATTGATAAACATCTTAACAGGGTTCAAGAGCAGAGAACCGGTCTGACTAGAATTTGTCAGGCTGGAATTTCCTAATCCTAGCCAGCCTGGGGGCGCTGCAGGAGACTAGGGCGTGTTTCATCCCTACCTACGTCTGCATAAGGCAGACACTCTCAGGGCAGCCATTTGAGAGGCCCCCCCGGGAATGCATTCTTTTCCCAGGGCTGTTAATTATTAATATTCCTTACTGGGGAAAGAATTCAGTGATACTTCTCTTACCCGTTTTTGGTAATAAGAGAAATATGGCTCTGTCCTGCCTGGCCCACAGGCAGCCAGACTTTAAGGTTATCTCCCTTGTTCCCTGAAAATCGCTGTTATCCTGTTCTTAAGGTGCCCAGATTTCATATTGTTCAAACACACATGCTCTACAAACAATTTCTGTAGTTAACGCAATCATCACAGGGTCCTGAAGCGACATTCATCCTCAGCTTATGAAGATGACGGGATTAAGAGATTAAAGTAAAGACAGGCATAGGAAATCACAAGTATTGATTGGGGAAGTGATAAATGTCCATGAAATCTTCACAATTTATGTTCAGAGATTGAAGTAAAGACAGGCATAAGAAATTATAAAAGTATTAATTTGGGGAACTAATAAACGTCCATGAAATCTTCACAATTTATGTTCTTCTGCCATGGCTTCAGCCGGTCCCTCCATTCGGGGTCCCGGACTTCCCGCAACAAACATCAAACTTGCCATGCTAACTATTTTTTTTTTTTTGGATTGCAGAAACGTATTAAAATTGAAAGACATTGTTTAATTAATCTTCTGTGCCATGAGAATCCATCAGGTTGTCTACAACAAAGACCACTGGAAGGCTAAGGATCACTTGAGCCCAGGAGTTTGGGGCTGTAGTGAGCTATGATAGGGCTACTGCACTCCAGCCTGGGTAACAGGGCAAGACCCTTTCTTAACCATTGTTAAGTGTACAGTTCAATGCTATTAAGAACATTCATGTTGTGCAGCCATCGCCACCATCCATCTCCAGAACTCTTTGCATCTTGCAGAACAGAAACTCTGTACCCATTAAACAATAAGCTCCCTGACCCATGTCCCCTCCTCCCCAGCCCTTGGTGACCACCATTGTACTTTCTGCCTCCCTCTATTAATCTGACACCTGTAGTGCCTTACATAAATAGAATTATATGGCATTTATCTTTTTGTGAGTAGCTTATTTCACCTAGCATAATGTCAAGGTTTATCCATGTTGTAGCATATGTCAGGATTTCCATTCTTTTTAAGGCTGAATAATGTTCCATTTATGTATATACCACATTTTGTTTAACAATTCATCTGTAGGCAAGGCATGGTGGCTCATGCCTGTAATTCCAGCACTTTGGGAGGCCAAGGTGGGTGGATCATTAGGTCAGGAGTTCAAGACCAGCCTGGCCAACATGAGGAAACCCCCCATCTCTACTAAAAATACAACAAATGGCCAGGCACAGTGGCTCAAGCCCGTAATCCCAGCACTTTGGGAGGCCAAGGCGGGTGGATCATGACGTCAGGAGATCGAGACCATCCCAGCTAACACGGTGAAACCCCAACTCTACTAAAAAAATACAAAATTTAGCTGGGCTGGTGGCGGGCGCCTGTAGTCCCAGCTACTCGGGAGGCTGAGGCGGGAGAATGGTGTGAACCTGGGAGGCGGAGCTTGCAGTGAGCAGAGATCGTGCCACTGCACTCCAGCCTGGGCGACAGAGCAAGACTCCATCTCAAAAAAAAAAAATTAGCTGGATGTGGTGGTGCATGCCTGTAATCCCAGCTACTCAGGAGGCTGAGGCAGGAGAGTCTCTTGAACCTGGGAAGCAGAGGCTGCAGTGAGCCAAGATTGCACCACTGAACTCCAGCCTGGGCGACAGAGCAAGATTCTGTCTCAAAAAAACAAAACAAAACAAAAAAATCTGTAGATGGACACTTGGGTTGCTTACACCTTTCAGCTATTATAAATAATGTTGCTATGAATATGAGTGTATATCTATCTGTTCAAGTCCCTGCTTTCAATTCTTTGGGTTATATACCCCAAAATGAAATGGCTGGATCATATAGTAACTCTTTTTAATTTTTGGAGAAACTGCCATACTGTTCTCTACAGTAGCTGCACTGCTTTACATTCCCACCCACAGTGCAGAAGGTTCCAGTTTCTCCCCATCTTCACCCACGCTCATTGCTTTCTTGTTGTTTTTTGATAATGGCCATCCTAACGGGTGGGACATGGTACTTCATTGCCATTTTAATTTGCATTTCCCTAAGGATTAGTGACGTTGGGCATCTTTGAGCATCTTTTCATGTGCTTAGAGGCCATTTGTATATCTTCTTTGGAGAAACGTCTGTTTAAGTCCTTTGCCCACTTTTTAACCCAGTTGTTTTCCCCTATCTTAAATGGGAAGTTTTTCCCCTATTTTCTGAGAGTTTTACAGTTTTAGCTCCACATTTAGGTCTTTGATCTTTTTTTATTTTTATTTTTTGAGATGGAGTTTCCCTCTTGTTGCCCAGGCTGGAGTGCAGTGGCACAATCTCGGCTCACTGCAAACCTTCACCTCCTGGGTTTGAGCATGTCTCTTATTTCAGCCTCCCAAGTAGCTGGGATTACAGGTGCACACCATCACGCCTGGCTAATTTTTTGTAATTTTAGTAGCGACAGGGTCTCACCATGTTGGTCAGGCTGGTCTTGGACTCTTGACCTCAGGTGATCCACCCACCTCGGCCTCCCAAAGTGCTGGGATTACAGGCATGAGCCACTGAGCCCGGCTTTTGATCCATTTTTAGTTATTATTTATATGTGGTATAAGGAAAGGTGTAGTGTTATATACACATGCATATGTTTTTGTCCATGGTTCCTGGCTCAGAAACCCCATAGCCCTTGTTAGAGTCTTTCCTTTTAATGTCGGGTGTGTTAAAATGAGCCCCTGGGGCAGGCCTCAGGAAACAGAATCTCTCTGTCCTACTCTTGCCTTCCTTTCATCTGCCCGAAGGCAGGACTCTAATTTTCCCCCACCTTTCTTATTGTGGGTCTTAAGGCCCGCCCCAGAGAAAGTCCTACCCTATATCCTGGGGAAAGGAATGCTGATGTCATGAAGCTTCCATAAAAATCCAAGAGAACTGGGTTCAGGGAGTTTCCAGATAGCTGAACACATGGAAGTTCGTAATAAACTGGTAAACATAAGTAAGTGTTTCCCTGAGTTCTGTGAGCTACTCTAACAAGTTAATTGAACCCAAAGAAGGGGTTATAGGAACCCCAACTTGAAGCCAGTTTGGTCAAAAGTTCCTGAGGCCCAGACTTGTAACTGAGGGAAAGGAGGGGTCAGTCTTGTGGGACTGAGCCCTCAACTTGTGGGATCTGATGCAATCTCCAGGTAGATAGTGGTGGAATTGAATTGGAGGACACCAGCTGGTGTCCACTGATTGTTGATGGGGGAGAAAAAATCCACATATTTGGTCACAGAAGTCTTCTGTGTTGATTGTTGTGATGTGAGAGCAGAGGAAAAATATGGATTTGAGAGTTATTCCCAAAACCAAAGGGTCCAATTTTGTTCTTTTGCATGTGGATATTCAGTTGTCCCAACACCATTTGTTGAAAAAAAAGTCCTTTCCTTCATTGACTGATATCGCCATCCTTGTCTAAAATTATTTGAACCATATATGCAAGGGTTTAGTTCTGAGTTCTCTATTTTGTCCCATTGATCTATATGTCTGTCTTTATGTCAATACCACACTGTTTTGATTATGGTAGCTTTGTAGTAAGTTTGAAGTCAAGAAGTGTGAGATCTCCAACTTTGTCCTGTAGATGCCAGCTACTGGCAGGGTTAGTCCCTAACCACCTACTGCTTGCTAAATCAACTTTAGAGATGGTAGAGAGTTGCAGGCAACATGTTGGTTTGACAGAATGGGCTCCCTTGCCTTTCTGCTTGTAGATTCCACTGAAGAAGCATTGGTAAAGTCTCTCTTCCCACTGCCATCATGTCTAAGTCAGAGTCTCCTAAAGAGACCAGACAGCTGCAGAAGCTCTTCATTGGAGGGTTGGGCTTTGAAACAACTGACAAAAGCCTGAGGAGCCATTTTAAGCATGGGGAATGCTCAACGAACTGTGAGATGCAAACACCAAGCATTCCAGGGGCTTTGGGTTTATCACATATGCCACTGTGGAGGAGGTGGATGCCGCCATGTATGCAAGGCCACACAAGGTGTATGGAAGAGTTGTGGAGCCAAAGAGAACTGTCTCAACAGAAGATTCTCAAAGACCAGGTGCCCACTTAGCTGTGAAAAAGATATTTGTTGGTGGCATTAAAGAAGACACTGAAGAATATCACCTAAGAGATTATTTTGAACAGTGTGGAAAAATTGAAGTGATTGAAATCATGACTGAAACGAGGCAGCAGCAAGAAAAGGGGCTTTGTCTTTGTAACCTTTGATGACCATGACTCTGTGGATAAGATTGTCATCCAGAAATGCCATCCTGGCTGGGTGCAGTGGCTCATGCCTAAAATCCCAGCACTTTGGGAGGCCGAGGCAGGTGGATCACTTGAGCCCAGGAGTTCAAGACCAGCCTGGCCAATATGGCAAAACCCCATCTCTACTAAAAATACAAAAAATTAGCTGGGCATTGTGGCACACACCTGTAATCCCAGCTACTCAGGACACTGAGGCCCAAGAATTGCTTGAACCTGGGAGGTGGAGGTTGTAGCGGGCTGAGATCATGCCACTGCACTCTAACTGGGGCAACAGAGTAAGACTCTGTCTCAAGAAAAAAAAGAAATACCACCCTATGAATGGTCACAACTTTGAAGTTAGGTAGGGAAGCTCTGCCAAAGCAAGAGATGGCTAGTGCTTCACCCAGCCAAAGAGGTCAAAGTGGTTCTGGAAACTTCGGTGGTGGTGGAGGGGGTGGTTTTGGTGGGTTGTGGAGGAAACTTCAGTCGTCATGGTGGCTTTGGTGGCAGCCGTGGTGATGGTGAATATGGGGGCAGTGGGGATGGCTATAATGGATTTGGTAATGAGGGAAGCAATTTTGGAGGTGGTGAAAGCTACAATGATTTTGGCAATTACAAGAATCAGTCTTCAAATTTTGGACCCATGAAGGGTGGAAACTTTGGAGGCAGAAGCTCTGGCCCCTGTGATGTTGGAGGCCAATACTTTGCCGAACCATGAAACCAAGGTGGCTGTGGCAGTTCCAGTAGCAGCAGTACCTATGGCAGTGGCAAAAGATTTTAATTATTGCCAGGAAAGAAAGCCTAGCAGGAGAGGCGAGCCAGAGAAGGGACAGGGAAGCTACAGGTTACAACACATTGTGAACTCAGCCAAGCACCATGGTGGCAGGGTCCAGCTGCTACAAAGAAGACATGGTTTTGACAAATATATGTATGGGCAAAAAACTCCAAGACTGTATTGATGACTAATTGCATAACAGATTATTTTCAATTTCTGTTCGTTGGAAAGCATAAAGCAGTCCAACAAAGGGCTTTAATGTAGATTTTGGTTTTTGCACCCATGCTGTTGATTGCTAAATGTAATAGTCTGATCATGACCCTAAATAAATGTGTCTTTAAAAAAAAAAAAAAAAAGAATGGGCTCTCTCTTACCAAGGCTGAAGCATTTGCCAGATCAATAGCTGCATCCTACAGACCAGCGTCTATGTTAATCTGCTCTAATGAAGATACTACCCCTGGCCTAGCAACTGCAGTTTGGGTTTACACTTGGGTACGTTTGCAGTAGGTCACTGTCATCTGTCATAATCCATTTATGTTATATAGAAGCTAGACAGGTAATGTGGGTGACTATGATGAGGACTGCTATTCTGACATCCTCTAAGTCTTTGAGGGTGGCATGGGTCACCATTCATCTCATGATTTCAAGGGCTTCTATTTGGCTTTTCCTACTATAATCGCCCTTACTGTAAAAATCAAGAAAAAAGTATAAGGGTTCTATGTGTTAGGTATGTTCATTTCTATCACACATTTGGGAATCCAGGAAATTTCCACTGGGTGAGCCCAGGCACTCAGTGCACCCATTGTGAGATGGACCAGACTTAGCAAGAGGGAACCCAACATGTAGCCTGCAACTCTCTGCCATCTCTGTGATCCCATGGTGCAAGCATTAGGGGGGATGAGGACAGGAATAGCTGGCATCTACTGGCCCAGTCATCCTGTCAACTTGGTTGTTCTCTTCTGTGGTGTGTGCTCTTTGGTGGGTATTAGCGAGTGATACAAAGGTTCTCAGCTGGACGCAGTGGCTCACGCCTGTAATCCCAACACCTTGGGAGGCTGAGGCAGGTGGATCTCCTGAGATCAGGAGTTTGAGACCAGCCTGGCTAACATGGTGAAACCCCATCTCTACTAAAAATACAAAAAAATTAGCCGGGTATGGTGGCTCACACCTGTAATCCCAGCTACTCTGGAGGATGAGGCAGGAAAATTGCTGAACCCAGGAGGCAGAGGTTGCAGTAAGCTGAGATTGCACTACTGCTCTCCAACCTGGGCGATAGAGCGAGACTCCGTCTCAAAAAACAAACAAACAAAACCAAAGATTCTCACACTTTTTGCTGCTTCCCATACATCCAGCCACATGTCTCCCCTCCAGACCTCTTATTTCCAATATTTCCAATGGCCAGGACTCCACTATCTCCATGTGCCCTACTCTGACACATGTCCAGGACAGCAAGTCTCAGCCTGACTCTGCCCTGTATCCAACAGTCCTTGAAAACATGGGCATACCACTTTCCTTAGTTATGGTTACCCAAGTAAATCCTTCGGGGAAAAGATTAGGGAAATAGCTACCCTATGCAATTGTCATGGTGCTGCAGAGCCCTTCTTTATGGTGACCTAGACCTTCCTTCAGCCAGTGAGTTTTTGGTTTAAGAGTTACGCCGGGCATGGTGGCACATGCCTATTATCCTACCTACCTGGGAGGCTGAGGCAGGAGGAATGCATGAGCTCAGGAGTTCAAGTCCAGCCTGGGCAACATAGTAAGACCCAGTCTCATTTATAAATATAAATAAATAAGACCCATTTCAAATCTGGAAATAGCAAAGGGGCTTTCCACTGTGGTGTCTAATCTCAACCTTCTGCTGACATGTTTTTATATCTCTTTTGTATGTATTGGGTAATACCTTTGAAAGTTTCCATCTCTCTTGCCCTGGGACCAGCATGTGCTATTGACCATCTTTATAGGCCACGGGGAACGAGGACCCTCCAGCTAGCTGCTCTTCCGGCTCTGCTTCCTGCTATGGCCTTGACACCCACCTCGCTTCTGCAGGTTAAATGCTTCTATCCGGCATTGCTTTTGCTACTAGAAATCCTGGTTCTGGAGCAGCATGTCTCACCAACCGTCCTGGCCTGCAGAGTCCAGCAGTACTGGTGCTCCCCTAACCCACATTCCTTATCCCCTTGTAAGCAGGGTGTCCTCCGGGGCCTCCCAATGTCGGCTGGTGGTCGTCCTGGTCTTATATAGCAAGTCCATTGCAGCAGGCCCATCTCTCTGAGTCTTCAGATTCCCTCCTCCACAGTAAGCCCATGGCATTTTTAGCATCTCTGCTTCAGCTGGTTGAGGCCCATCACTTATTCCAAGCCTGCAAAGCCATCCCACCAAGACTTGGTCCCTTGGGCCAATGCGATTATAATGGGAGAATCTCTCCATATTGACAAACACTTCCCTTATCCGGCTTTGCATGGACCCACCCTGATCCTGCACGCTCCAGGTCCTCTCCCAGAACGACTCTTGTTCCTGCCAGTACTCAGTAAGCTGGTCTTGCAGCTATTTGTAAGTATAATCCTTCTCCCTTAGCAAGGGTAGCACACTCCCAGTTAGGTCACACTGGGATTTCACCCTGGTGTTTGGTCTGGAGGCCAGGAGGGAAAGTGAAGGCAGAGACTCAGGAAGACAAATGTTATCTTACAAGGGCAACTGGCTCATTTAAGGTACTTGGTGGTGAAGTATTTGAAGCATCTCTTTAAAACCGAAAACAAGATGATGTCCGTTATCATCACTTCTGTCCATTGTATAATAGGTGTACTATCTTGAGCAGTAAGACAGGTTGCCAAAATGAAGGGAATAAGAACTAGAATAGGGGTGGGTGCAATGTCTCACAGCTGCAATCCCAGTGCTTTGGGAGGCCAAGGCAGGCAGATCACTTGAGCCTAGGAGTTCGAGACCAGCCTGGGCAACATAGTAAAACACCATCTCTACAAAACTTACAGAAAATTAGCCAGAAGTGGTGGTGTGTGCCTGTATCCCAGCTACTAGGGAGGCTGATGTAGGAGGATCACCTGAAACCAGGGATATAGAGGCTGCAGTGAGTCATGATTATGCCACTGCACTCCAGCCTGGGTGAATAACTCATTTTTTTAAATGTAAATTATTTAATATTTTAGATTTTAAAATTAAAAGAATTAGAATATGAGAAACAAAATTGTCATTTCTCACAGATAATATGCTTTTCCATATGCAGAAAATCCAAGACAATCAAAAAAGTAACAGAATTATGATATAAACCAGCTAGATTTTTTCTTTTTTTTTTTCTGAGACAGGGGCTTGCTCTGTCGCCCAGGCTGGAGTGCAGTGGCGCAATCTTGGCTCACTACAACCTCCGCCTCCCGGGTTCAAATGATTCTCCTGCCTCAGCCTCTTAAGTAGCCGGGATTACAGGGATGCGCCACCATGCCCAGCTAATTTTTGTATCTTTTGTAGAGACAGCGTTTAGCCCCGTTGCCCAGGCTGGTCTCAAACTCCTGGTCCCAAGTGATCCTCCTGCCTCCCAAAGTGCTGGGATTACAGGTGTGAGCCACTGCACCTGGCCCAGCTAGATTTTTTTTATGTAACATGAACATTCAAATATCAAGTCCATGCCTCTACACCAACAACAAAGGATTAGAAAATGTATTTTCAGAGACAACTTTTATAAAATAAAAAGACTATAAAGTAACAAGAACAAATTTTAAAAATACTTAGAAACCGTTTGTGCATAAAGTCATAAAACTTATTGACATCATCGGGATACTTGATATCAAAAGACAATTGAAGGCCGGGAGCAGTGGCTCACACCCGTAATCCTAACGCTTTGAGAAGCTGAGGCTAGAGGATCATTTGAACCCAGGAGTTTGAGACCAGCCTGGGTAATACAGCAAGACCCCGTCTCTACAAAAAATTTTTAAAGGGTTTGGCCAGGTGTGGTGGCTCACACCTGTAATCCCAGCACTTTGGGAGGCCAAGGTGGGGGAATCACTTGAGGTCAGGAGTTCAAGACCAGACTGGCCAACATGGTGAAACCCTATCTCTACTAAAAATACAAAAAAAAAAAAAATTAGCCAAGAGTTGTGGTGGGCACCTGTAATCTCAGCTACTCAGGAGGCTGAGGCACAAGAATCACTTGAACCCAAGAGCTGGGCATAGTGGTGCATGCCTGTGATCTCAGCTACTCAGGAGGTTGAAGTGGGGGGATCGCTTGAGCCCAAGAGTTCAAAGCTGCAGTGAGCTATGATAACACCACTGCACTTCAGCCTGGATGAATGAGACCCTTTCTCTAAGAATATATATAAATAAATAAGAAATATGTACATTATTAAATATAGTCCTTTGCCTCAATCTGCTCACAATTTTTTTTTTCTTTTTTGAGACAGAGTCTCACTCTGTCACCCAGGCTGGAGTACAGTGGTGTGATCTCAGCTCACTGCAACCTCCGCCTCCCAGGTTCAAGTGATTCTCCTGCCTCAGCCTCCCGAGTAGCTGGGATTACAGGTGCCCACCACCACACCCAGCTAATTATTGTATTTTTGGTAGAGATGGGGTTTTGCCATGTTGGCCAGGCTGGTCTCGAACTCCTGACCTCAGGTGATCCACCTTCCTCGGCCTCCTAAAGTGCTGGGATTACAGGGATTACACCCAGCTGAAGCTGCTCACAATTTAGTGAGGGAAGTCAGACATGTAAAACATAACCTATAATGCAAAATGTATAAGCAAATTATGCCAGGGGAAAAGGGACTAATTATAACTGAGAAGATCAGGGAAGGCCTGTGGCATTTGAGACGAGCCCTGAGGAGACTTTTAAGGTGTTGAGAAGGAAGGGAAGAGCGTTACTGACCAGGAGGAGGGAACCAGGATCAAAAGCAGAGAGGAGAGAAGGGAAGATCTACAAAGGATGCTGGGAAAATGAGAGAGAGGATACGAGATTCCACCTCCTGCATCTAGCTTACCTCCCACTCCCGTAGAACAGTGTCTGCCACTCCCGTAGAACAGTGTCTGCCTTGAGCAAACAATGATTCACAATTTTTTTTTTTGAGACAGGGTCTCTGTCACCCAGGCTGGAATGCAGTGGCACGATCTCAGCTCACTGCAACCTCTGCATCTGAGGCTCAAACCATCCTCCTGCCTCAGCCTCCCAAGTAGCTGGGATTACAGACATGCACCATCACACTTGGCTAATTTTTGTATTTTTTATAGAGATGGGGTTTCACCATGGCTGGTCCTGAACTCCTGAGCTCAAGTGATCTGCCCGCCTTGGCCTCCCAAAGTGCTGGGATTACAGATGTGAGCCATGGTGCAGGGCCATGATTCACAAAAATTAAAAAAAAAAAAAAAAGAGAGAGAGAGAGAAAGAATGATCTCTGCTGGATCAAGGGTCTACTCATTTTCTCCAGTGAAACAGAAAGAATGTAGCTTGGCCGGGCATGGTGGCTCACGCCTACAATCCCAGCACTTTGGGAGGCTGAGGCAGGTGGATCACTTGAGGTCAGGGGTTCAAGACCAGCCTGGCCAACACAGCAAAACCTCATCTCCACTAAAAATACAAGAAATTAGCTGAGCGTGGTGGTGCGTGCCTATAATCCCAGCTACTCAGGAGGCTAAGTCAGGAGAATTGCTTGAACCCAGGAGGTGGAGGTCATGGTGAGCCGAGATTGTGCCACTGCACTCCAGCCTGGGCAACAGAGTAAGACTCTGTCTAAAAAAAAGAAAAGAAAAGGAAAGAAAAGAAGAGATAGCTTTTGAGCATAGAGAAAGAGGGCTTTGGCTGGGTGCAGTTGTTCATACTGGTAATCTCAGCACTTTGGGAAGCCAAAGTGGGGAGACTGCCTGAGCCCAGGAGCTCCAGACCAGCCTGGGCAACATAGTAAGAATCCATCTCTATTAAAAATAATTTAAAATTTTTTTAAGTTAAAAAAAGAAAAGAAAAATGGCTTTGGTTTGCAACTCCACCATTCACCAATTCTATGCTCTTAGGCTGCACTTCATTCTCCTCCTGTGTCAGAGATACCACAGTTACCCCCACAGAGTTATTTCAAGATATGAAAAGTGTGGGCAAATATACCTTATCCTTATTACATTTCTGTCAAAGGCTTGATTTCCATATTTGGGACATAGAATTTCTAGCTTGCTTGAGCTCAGAGAGAAAGTGGCCTCAAACTCAACCCAGCCATGACAGGTATGACTTTAGAGAAAAGTTGTTTAACCTCTTAACCTCTCTAAGCCTCAGTTTTCTTAACTTTGAAAGCAAGACTGCTTCAGGGGCAGGTGATTAGGTTTCATTTCACTTGCCAACTTCTATTGATGGGCAATGGTTGCCTGGCACCCTGAGCATGGAAGATTTCTGAATCTTCTTTTAGTGTCTGTGGGAGAAAAGGTCCTGACCAGTTAGCATCTGGTCAGTGTGTTGAGAGCAAGGGCTGCAGCCTTAGTCCTATTCCAAATTCCTATGAAGCAGAGGTAAAGTGAAACAGCGGTCGACCATCCAGACAGTCTAAATGATCAAGACTGTGATGAATTCCCTGCTTATCTGGCATTTTCTTTAAGTGAACAAGTCAGTGTATGACATAGGCTGATTTCATCCCTAACATGAATATCACAAAAGAGATAAGTGTACTTTTAGGAAACGTCCCCTCGTAAGTTCATATCTAAGGTGACATCATGCCAAGGCCTCCTGATGGAGAGGAACATTTTCTGGAGGAAAGTTTTGACCTTTAGAAAGGAATCTTCATTTCAAGCAGGCTTTTGGCTTCCAGCCTTAGTAACCAATGCCCATAATAGTTAGATGTGAAACTCTGATTTAGTGTATGAGTCACTGGAGCCCAGGATGGGACCGGGGAATACCCTGTCCACTAGAGGCGGCCAACTTTGCTGAGGGAGTAGGGGTGAATCAGATAACGGCTACACTTGAGAATCTTTGAGCTGATATTTCCCCCACTGTCTCAAGTAACCCAGGGGCTTTTTCCTTTGTTTTTTTAAAAAAACAAACAAACAAAAAATAAAAAACAAAATAAAAGAATCCACCAATACACCAAGTGGGATTTCGGAAGCTAATTTTCAGATTGTTACATCTTGAATTCTTTTGAAGGCATCTCTTAGTTGTTTGTCTGTTTTAACTTTTTATCATGGGGATTTCAGAAATATACAGAAGCAGAGAGAATGGAACTCACTGACAGGTGCTGATCGCTGGCTTCAGCAGCTGTGAATTCATGGACGGTCTCATTTTACCTACACCCCCTCTACTTCCCATATTCCATCTCCTGGGTGATTTTGACGTAAATACCACACATCATATCACTTCATCAGTAAATTCAATGGTTTTTTTTGTTGTTGTTTTTTTATTTCGAGGAGACTTGCTCTATCACCCAGGCTGGAGTGCAGTGGCACAACCTCAGCTCTCAGCTCACCACAACCTCTGCTTCCCAGGTTCAAGCGATTCTCCTGCCTCACCCTCCCGACTAGCTGGGAATATAGGCGCATGCTACCATGCCCAGCTAATTTTTGTATTTTTGGTAGAGATGAGGATTCACTATGTTGGTTGCCCAGGCTGGTCTGGAACTCCTGACCTCAGGTGATCTGCCCGCCTCAGTCTCCCAAAGTGCTGGGATTACAGGCATGAGCCACCGTGCCTGGGCTCAATTTTTAAATCCGTGTTTCACAAATTAAACAAGCGAAGGCCAAGCAAGTTGGCTTTGCAAACATTAATAACCCATCTGCTATTATTTCACATTTACAGAACTTAACTTGTCCTGGCTCACCCAAGTAGTTAGTGACAGAGCCAGGACCTGAGCCTAGGCGTTGTAGCTCACACCAGCAGATAAAGTGTCTACACATGATACCCCTGTCAAATTGCAGCATGAAATACTGAATGTAGGAGCTTACTGGTAGCTTGCATAAGAGGCTCAACAAATATTTTATCAAGCACCAGCCATGTTCACAATAACCACTTACACATGAATGGTGTTTTGCAATGTACAAAACCCCTTTAAACTTCCTGATAGTCCTCTAAGAGTTATTATTGTGCGTACCTTATATAGAAAGAAACGAATGTTCTGAACAGCCAACTACATTTCTCAGACATTTGACAATAAGGGGAAAGTTTCAAACTCTTACTTCAAGATCAATGTTCCTTTTAATACAGGCTATACAAATTGCAATACACAAAGAAGATTAAAGTAAAAAGCACTGTAGAAGTGTAAGTTATTGTGTGTCTCTCTATCAAAAAAAAAGTGAGCAGTTTTTCATTAAGAAGAGTAAATAGTATATCAACTGAACTCCCTGCAAATGACTTGTGGGTATCTAAAGGGTTCTTGTATGGATGACTGTTCCAGCGTTTCATACTCTGGTAATAAACTTAAGGTCTGAGAAGATGAACCGTGCTCTAGAGAAAATAAGAGATCCGGCCGGGCGCAGTGGCTCATACCTGTAATTCCAGCACTTTGGGAGGCCAAGGCAGGTGGATCACTTGGGCTCAGGAGTTCGAGACCAGCTTGGCCAATACGGTGAAACCCCATCTCTACTAAAAATACAAATATTAGCTCAGCATGGTGGCATGGGCCTCTAATCCCAGCTACTCGGGAGGCTGAGGCAGGAGAATTGCTTGAACCCGGGAGGCAGAGGTTGCAGTGAGCCGAGATCGAGCCACTGCACTCCAGCCTGGGCGACAGAGTGAGACTTTGTCTGAAAAAAAAAATGAGAGAGAGAAAATAAGAGATCCTACAGAGAACTCTGAATTACTAAAGCCACTTATCTTAGACTGGCCCTGTCCACCCCAGGCCAGAGGAAAGGGTCTGTTTGGATGTTTGAAATCTAATACAAAGTCAGATAGAGAAAGTCTGTGTGAAGAGCAGCCTTGCAGAAACATACAAGCCATCAAATCACATTTCCTACAGTTTCAAGGAAAACATTCACCAGAGCTTGTTTCCTCACTCTGTCTTCCACAAATCCACTGGTGCCAGGAAAATGAGAGTGGAATGGGCTGTCCGTTCCTGGCATCTTCACTCCTGTAAACTCTGAAAAATCACCCATCATATTACTTGAATCTTATATTTTGAGGCCTCTTGATCAAAATATTGAAGTCACTCTATAAATTAAGCATTCTTTCTGCATGCTGAAAAACAATGTCTGTGTTAATTTTTTTTAATCGATGGAAAAAAAGTGTTTATTTATGCCAATGAAAAGGTGCTTCCTTGAATTCCTTTTGCATGTTTTTTTGTTTGTTTGTTTTTTGAGATGGAGTCTCACTCACTCTGTCACTCAGGCTGGAGTACAGTGGCACGATCTCAGCTCACTACAACCTCCACCTCCTGGATTCAAGCGATTCTCCTTCCTCAGCCTCCAGAGTAGCCCCTGGGATTATAGGCACCCACCACCACGCCCGGCATTCTTTTGCATGTTCTTCAAATATATTTCTAAACAATTAAATATCTATTGCAAACACATTTTAAAGTAATTTACGATTTAGGATAGTCTAGTGAATGATTTCCTATATTGTAGATTTAACCTAAGTGAGTTCTTTAAAAAGTCATAATTAGGCCGGCACAGTGGCTCATGTCTATAATCCCAACATGTTGGGAGGCTGAGGCAAGGGGATTGCTTCAGCCCAGGAGTTCAACACCAGCCTGGGCAACATAACAAGACTCCATCTCTACAAAATATAAAACAATTTAGCCAGGCGTGGTGGCTCATACCTGTAATCCCAGCTCCTTGGGAGGCTGAGGCAGGAGGATTGCTTGACCACAGAGGTCAAGGCTGCAGTGAGCGGTGATTGTGCCACTGCACTCCAACCTAGGTGACAGAGCCAGACCCTGTCTCAAAAATAAATAAATAAATAAAATAAAATAAAATAAATAAGGCCAATAAATAAGGCCGGGAGCGGTGGCTCATACCTGTAATCCCAGCACTTTGGGAGACCTGAGGTCAGGAGTTTGAGACCAGACTGGCCAACATGGTGAAACTCCATCTCTACTAAAAATACAAAAATTAGCAAGGCGTGGTGGTGCGTGGCTGTAGTCCCAGCTACTCGGGAGGCTGAGGCAGGAGAATTGCTTGAACCTGGGAGGCGGAGGTTGCAGAGAGCCAAGATCATGCCACTACATTACAGCTTGGGTGACAGAGCGAGACTCCGTCTCAAAAATAAATAAATAAGCATAAAAAGTCATAACTATTTTTTAATAAGTGCTAAATGCACAGCTTTCCAAATCATGGATCTTTGCCAAATTGTAATTTTTTAATAGTTTTAGCTTTTTCTTAGAGACAAGCCAGAAAAATCTGCTTACTCAGAAATACTTTTTAAAACTACAATAAAATTATCAATTTCAGAAAGGCAGATACAATGCATTTTTCCTTCTGGAAGGAACTAATGAAATTAAGATGTTTGTCTTTTATTCTAGAGGCCTAGGAACACTGTGGGGTAGGTAGAGAAAAATTAAAGCAGTGAGGCATCATGGGAAAGTCTACAAAGGATAATGAACCTTGTTTATGTGTGGCATGACCTGTTCCCATCATTGATTCTTGCTTCCAACCCTTAGAGGGTCACTCTGCTGTGTCCTTAAAACAGAATGTGAAAGCAATCCCCTTCCCAGAAAATTAACAGCCTAAAGTCAGTTTTGTTGTTGTTGTTGTTGTTGTTCTAAAAAAAAAATCTAACCAGACAGTTTTTTTTTCTCACCTGAGCTTAGTAAACAATTATTTGCTGCCGGACTGTGGTTCACCTGAGCTATAGAACCAGCTGAGGACAGACCTCATGTCCGGTGGATCTTAAAGGCCAATGAGTATTTAATGAGGATTTGGAGCTTAGATTCTATCTTAAAGTTTAGATGATGCTGACCACGAATTTATTTTAAAAGTATGCTCTTAAGTGATCGCCTAAGTCTTGTTTGTTTTGAAGAGCAAAGCTGTAATGACTAAACAAAAACATATATACTAGAAACACTTCTGCTTCAAAGGAACCAGAATAAAATTTCCAACCACATTTCCTAAACCCCCAAACAAGGAAATGAACGCATGATCTGGAGAGAGTGTCCCCTCTATAGCATTGATAACTAATTTTTATTTTTTATTCATTTATTTTTTTCAGACAGGGTCTGTCTTGGTCACCCAGGCTGGAGTGACTCACTGCAGCCTCAAACCTCCTGGGCTGAAGCGATTCTCCCACTTCAGCCTCCAGAATGGCTGGGACTACAGGCACTCACCACCATACCTGGCTAATTTTTGTATTTTTTGTAGAGTCGAAGTTTCACCATTTTTCCCAGGCTTGTCTTCAATGCCTAGGCTCAAGCAATCCTCCTGCCTTGGCCTCTCAAAGTTCTAGGATTGTAGGTGTGAGCCACCACGCCCAGCAATAACTACTTTTTAGTGAGGTCAGGCATATTCCCAGTGTTTCACACATATCACCTCATTTAATCCTCATGACAAGTCCTTGAGGCAGCTGTATTATCATCTTCATCTGACACATGAGTAAAATCAAAGCACAGAGAGGGTAAGGAACTCCCCAAGCCACAGAGCCACAAGTGCTGCAGTGGGGATTCAAACCCAGGCTGTCCGTTTCAGAGTCCGTGTTGCGAATTGCTTTTCTGCAACACCCAGTCCAATTGAGTACTTTCTCTGCAAAGTCCCCTGCTGAGCATGTAAAATGCGTTATCTCATGGATTTCCCTTGGCCGTCCTATGAATTGGCACCATCATCCCCATTTTACATGTGAGATTTTGATGGACTACATTTGTTTAATCAGCTGAATCAACCTTTGAAACCATGTTTATCCCACTCAAAACCCAGCTCTTAACCAAAGTACAAGCAATACACACTGGCCTTTGTGTACTTCTCGGATTCAGGCAACCCAACACCATATGCAGAGATGACAAGTGACATTTTTTTCCGGTCTGTGCTTAAAAACAAGAACAAGAACAGAAAGTACATGAGGAACTGTAGGGATATGAAACTCTTACTTTTTCATAGCTATTAACAAGGATCCTGGGCTACAGATTAAATTATTAGGAATAATTATTTGCTGAATTAAGTGTGTGTTCATCAAAGCTTAGCATAAGGGGTAATCATTTACTGGCAAAGTGCTGATAAACAGCATATTCTACATAGTATAGTGCAGTGGTTCTCAGCCTTATACTAAATACTTCCCTGACTATCCTAAAATGAAACTGATAGAAAATAAAATTTAAACACATATCAATTTTTTTTTTGAGATGGAGTCTCACTCTGTCACCCAGGCTGGGGTGCAATGGCATGATCGTGGCTCACTACAACCTCCACCTCCCGAGTTCAAGCGATTCTGCTGCCTCAGCCTCCTGAGTAGCTGGGATTACAGATGCACACCACCACGCCCGGCTAATTTTTGTACTTTTAGTAGAGATGGGCTTTCATCATGTTGGCCAGGCTGATCTTAAACTCCTGACCTCAAGTGATCTGCCTGCCTCGGTCTCCCAAAGTGCTGGGATTACAGGCGTGAGCCACCATGCCTGGCCTGTTTTGTTTTTAGAGACAGGGTTTTGCTATGTTGCCTACGCTGGTCTGGAACTCCTGGGCTCAAGCAGTCCTCTCACTTCAACCTCCCAAGTAGCTGGTAATGACGCAATGGTTAACTCTAGAAGGAGGAAAAAGCCTAGTGAACTACATGACCTAGCTCTAAATAGCATAACAATCATGTAAACACTGAACATTAATCTAACTGAAGTTATATTTTAATTACTTTTTTATTCTTTTTCTTTTTGTTATGTTTTGTTTTTCTGAGATGGGGATCTCACTCTGTTGCCCAGGCTGGAGGGTAGTGGCATGATCACTGCTTACTGCAGCCTTGAACTCCTGGGCTCAAGCGATCCTCTAATCTCAGCCTCCCAAGTAGCTGGGACTGCAGGTACATGCCACCATGCCCGGCTAATTTGTTTTTGTATTTTCTGTAGAGTTGGGGTCTAGCTATGTTGCCCAGGCTGGTCTCAAACTCCTGGACTCAAGTGATCCTCCTGCCTCGGCCTCCCAGAAATGCTGGGATTTACAGGCATGAGCCACTGCATCTGGCCTGAAGTTTATGTTGGAAGAAGATGAGAAGTGTCTACGTAATTTATGTTGGAAGGAGATGAGAAGTGTCTACACATGTGGTGGGAGCTGATATTGTAAAAGATAACTAAACTTTCATCTTTCATATACAGAAATTCATAGATAAAGCCTCAAACAGAAAAATAAAGAGGTGGCAATATAACTATGTTATTTAGTGATAAGGCAAAGGTTACCCAAAGAATCAGTTAAAATTGTTGAAAGTAGTTTCCCCTGGTGTGCAGAAAATGAAAAAGGGGGTGGTTTAGGGAACTGTTATTTTTTGTTAGAACCCATAAAGAACGATTTAATTTTTTTTTTCTTGCTTCCAGTAGGGCTAGACAATTTAATTCTTAAACTATGGAATACGTGAGCAACTGATGCAAGGTCACTGTGGCTGGAGCGGGGTGAGCAATGAGGGAAAGTCCAAAGCGTGAGCCTGGACAGACAGGCGGGTACATGGAGGGCCTCGTCAGTTACATCATCCTGGGACCTTATCTTTGGAACCCTGGGAAGCCTCCAAAACCTTTTTTGCGGGAGGGTGTCTCAGATTAATGTTTAAGAAGAGCACTGTCTAGGATGCTGAGAACATGTGTTGAGCGAGACTAGAGGACAGGATGAAGAAAAAGCAGCTGTCTGGGATGGTGGTCGCTTGTCTTCCTTACAGCCCTGGGGGATGGTTATGAGTTACTGACAAGGCTTATGAAACATACAGTGAGGAGCACAGATCCCTGAGAACAAAAGACATGAAGCTGTTCAGTTTTGCGGCAAGGAGTTTGAGTTGTCTGAAAGTCATTTAGGTGATGTCAGGTGGGCAGCTTATGGACACACAAACATAAAGATAAAAGTAGTAGACACTGGGACTCCAAAATAAGAGTGGGTAGGAGGGGGTTGAGGGTTGAAAACTTACCTGTTGGGTACAATGTTCAATATTTGGGTGGTAGGGGGCCGGGTGCGGTGGCTCACACCTGTAATCCCAGCACTTTGGGAGGCCAAGGCAGGTGGATCACAAGGTCAGGAGTTCGAGACCAGCCTGGCCAACATGGTGAAACCCTGTCTCTACTAAAAATACAAAAATTAGCCAGGCGTGGTGGGGTGTGCCAGTAATCCCAGCTACTCGGGAGGCTGAGGCAGGAGAATCGCTTGAACCTAGGAGGCGGAGGTTGCAGTGAGCCGAGATCACACCACTGTACTCTAGCCTGGGCAACAGAGCAAGACTCTGTCTCAAAAAAAAAAAAATTTGGTTGATCAGTACCCTGGAAGCCCAATCTTCACTGTTACATGATATACCCTGCAAAAACACATATGTGTGTCCTCTGAATCTAAAAAAGAAAAAAAAAAAAGAATTACTGGGAATGGGCTTAGCAGGAAGATCTGGCTGAGACATGTAAAAGTAAGAGTCATAAGCATGTAGACTGATAGCCATGGTTGTCACATGTAGCATGTAACATGTAGATTGATAGCCATGATTAGCATGTAGATGGAGATCCCCGGAATAGGTGAGATGGCTTAGGAATAGAATGAAGAGTGAAAATATGTTGGCTGAGCCTTGCAAAAAGCTGCAAAGAAGAGAAAGAAGCTTGAGCAAGGTGGGAGAGAACCAGTGGAGTGTGTGAGGCAGCTGGGTGAAGAGCCACGTGGCTGTACCTTCACCTTAATTCAGATATTCAAATGGAAATGCCTCTGGAAGGAGTTTGACCGCATAGGGCTGCAGCAGTAGGGACTACTAAAGGGAAAAGACAGTGTCCCCAGGGTGCGTCACCAGAGTGCATGCCCGTCACAAAGGCTGAAGAAGCAAAGGGATGCAAAGAAAGTGTTACAGGATCAGAAAAATAAAAAAGAAACTGAGAAAAACGAACCTACTACAACAAACAAGAAATTCACTAAATTTCTGGGAGTTTTGAGACCTACCTTCCCCACCTGAAAAACTGTTAGAACTAATGGCTTTATAAGAAATTGTTTGATGCATAAAGATGAGGTAGTGTGATTTCTTTCACTTTTCATCATTCATTTGGGTGGATTGATGCAAATTCTCAAATGGCTTAGCCTTAGCCACTGAGATGTGACATTTCTGGGTGGTGCCTCCTATCCGTGGTAGCCTCAGGCTGTGTGGTCAGAAGCCCGGTTCTGCGACGACTGCTTATCACACTCTGAGCCTGAGGTCTTTCCAGCTGCTGAAACCACTTCCTAAGTACAAGAAATGAGATGTTTTTCTACTTAGGCAAAATGCGAAATTATAAACACAAGTCCTCTTGAAAGAGTAGCTGGGTAAAGTTATGCCAAATTGGAATGCCTACTTTAAAAAGTCTAAAAATAATAACATCTTTGTTAAAAGAGTCTTATCAATTGCTATTTTTCTCTACAGAGTGTCTTAATAAAACATTAAGAAACATGATGGGAAGGTAGTAAACTTTTTACTTTAGGGGAAAAAAAGTCAATGAACCTAAGTGTGGACAAGTTTTCTGTCTTTGGAAGAAGCATCTGGGTATATTCTGCATATATTCTGCATGTTGCTTTATTTCTATTGATGCTAAATAAATGTGAAAAGCCTCCAAAAAATGCTTAATGCCAATGAATGCCACCTCCTAGGAGTCAAAATATAGTATTAGAAAAATCACAGAAGAAGCTGGGCACAATGGTTCAAGCCTATAATCCCAGCAATTTGGGAAGCTGAGTAGAAGGATCATGTGAGCCCAGGAGTTTGAGACCATCCTGGGCAACATAGTGAGACCCTGACTCTACAAAAAATCAAAAACTGAGGCTGGAGGATCGCTTGAGCCCAGGAGGCTGAAGTTGCAATGAGTCGTGATCGTGCCACTGCACTCTTGCTGGGTGACAGGAGAAAGACCCTGTCTCAAAAAAATAAAAAAATAAAAATCACAGAAGAGGGTTTCACTACATAGGCTATGGTTTATATGGTCACCTGCTGCAAAAAAATGAAATACTGACTTCTTTTACTTTTCCTTTCCCCAAACAATACTTGTTAAACAATGCTTTAGAAAAAAATAATTGATAGGAATTTATTTTTCTCTTTTCATCTATTTATTTGCTTCTTTGTTTGTATCACTATATTTTGATTGCTTGAGAATTTAGGATAAGAGCCTGAGTCAATCATATCTAAAGTTCAGCTCCCCAAGAAAATACATGTATTTTGGTCAGAGTCTTGGTTGCAAACAATAAAAACTGACTCCGGCAAACTTATGCAGATAAGCAATTTATTGGAAACATATGGAATGACTCAGGGCATCAGAAAACAGGTAGCAAGCAAAAGAGGCCGGGCAGCTGAGCACACTACAGGGGCAGGCTGGTGAGAATGTGGCCATGGGCCTTAGCTGCAGGTTCTGGCTGCTTTCCACCTCTGACTGGTGGTCTTTGCCTCTCAACCCCATCCTGACACCGTGAGTAATCTCTAACCACCCTGAATCTCTGCCCTCAAGATTTAAGGTTCTTGGTGAGAACATCCAACTGGCCCAGCCTTGGTCAATAGCTCATACTATGGACTGCAGAGAGAGAGAAAACAAAATACTCTTCCCTCTTTGGGATCTGTAGAGGAAGACAGGACCCTGCTGCCATAAAGACTCACACAATTGGGCATTCCCCAAGACCAGAAAGGGAGTTCCAATGCTAGCCAGCCAAAAAAAAAAAAAAAAAGACATAAGATCACCATAGTAGTGTTTTTCAAACTTGTTTTTGACTGTAAATCCAAGTAAGAAATAGATTTTACAGCAAACACCCACCCACACACACACACAAACACACACAAACACACACACACACGCTCATACAAATAAGTTTCACGTGATGATACTTATCATGACTAGTCAGACCCACCACCCCCTGTCCTGTGGGTGGTGGATGAAAAACACTAGGGGTGCTTGACACATAGACTACAATGCCAATAACATCCCCAGAGTGTTCAGTGTGTACAACCTGCACAACCATACCTAGCAGCCTTGTGTGCCATGCATTTAATTCTATTTTCTTCTAAATTTTTTGTAAATGCTCATTACAAACCACTAACTTGACTTCGTAACCCCCAGTAGATCTCAGCCTCAATTTGAAAGACACTGCATTACACTATGATCAGGGCAATGGGTTAGAAGTAACTGAACCCCTGTAGAAGTCCATTTCTAGTTTAAAAGGTTCTCTGACAATTCCAGGCTACAGCTGATCCAGAAGAAAGCCTATTCTGAACTTTCACCTCTCGCAGGGGCCTCCCATTTCTCATCTGGGGTTTTTGTAATCCATTTGCTTCCCATTTGGCCACCGAATTAACTCTATATGGGGAAGATAATCAGGGCATGTTTCCTTCCTTCTTTCCCTCCTTCCCTTGCTTTCTCCCTCCCTCCTTCCTTCCCTTCCCTCCTTCTTTCTTTGCTTCCCTTCCTTCCCTCTCTCCCTCCCTTCCTTCCTTCCCTCCCCATCCCTCCCTTCCTTCCCTCCCTCCTTTCCCTCCTTCCCTCACTCCATTCTTTCCCTATCTCCTCCCTCTCTTCTCTTCCTCCTTGCCTTCCTTCCCTGCTTCCCTTGCTTCCTCCCTTCCTCCTTTCCCTCCTTCTTTCTTTTCTTTCTTTCCCTCCCTCCCTCCCTTTCTTCCCTTCTTTCTTTACTTTCCTTCCTTCCCTCCCTCTCTCCCTCGCTTCCTTCCTTCCCTCCCTCTCTTCTTTCCCTACCTCCTCCCTCTCTTCCCTCCCTCCCTTCCTTCCCTCCTTCTTTCTTTCCTTTCCTTCCTTATCTACCCTCCCTCTCTCCTTCCTCTCTTCCCTCCCGCTCTCCCCTCCCTTCCTTCCTTCCTTCTTTTGCTCTCTCTTCCTTTCTTGTTTACTTTCTTTAATAAATGAATTGAGTCTTTAATATCTCGAAGCTTTCTCAAGCAACAATATCTGTTCAAAGTATTTTTATTAACTTAAAAATGCATTGCAGTGCATATGCTTATTCTCTTATGAAGAGGAGCAAAATAATAGCTTTTATAAATAACGGAATAAAAAGGCCCAGTTTTGCTGTTTTGTTTTGTTTTGTTTTGTTTTTTTAATTTGAAGCCAACCTTGGTCTTAACCTATCTGGACCACATACATTAGGCCCTATATAAAGCCTGGGTGACAGAGCAAGACTCCATCTCAAAAAACAAACAAACAAACAAACAAAAAACAATGACCCCCAGCTCCATCCAAGTTGCTGCAAAAGACATTACCTTGTTCCTTTTTGTGGCTGAGTAGTATTCCATGGTGTACATATATCACATTTTCTTTATCCACTTGTTGGTTGATGGGCACTTAGGTTGGTTCCACGTCTTTGCAATTGTGAACGGTGCTGTTCAAAACATGCATGTGTATGTGTCTTTTTCATATAATCCCTTCTTTTCCTTTGGGTAGATACCCAGTTGTGGGATTGCTGGATCGAATGGTGGTTCTACTTTTAGTTCTTTAAGGAATCTACATACTGTGTTCCATAGTGGTTGTACTAATTTACATTTTCATGGCTGAATACTCTTAATTCCATTTTACAGGTGAGGAATCTAAGATTCAAGGGGTTAAAATCACACTGTAGTAAGCCTTGGATCTGACTTTGTCCAATTCCAAAGTTTGTGACTCTTTGTTCTATATCAAACTGACTTCCAATTGCCTCATTTCCTTCAAATCCATCCAGAGTTCTGTTTTTCAAGAATTCTGTACTTGTGCATCAGAGTGTCCTAGACAAGGGGGTAGCTTGGCCTATTGCTCTCTGGGCACGCAATGATAGCATCGCACCAAAGTTGCTTGGATGACAGTGTTTGTCTCACATTCTCTGGCCAAATGGGCCTCCATGGGAGCATTTTGTTAAATTTTTAGGACAAATCCTCTAGGCTGAAAGCTTTATGGTGTCCCTATTGCTTATCAATCTATCTTAAACTTCTTATATCTCATTTTCAAAAATACCTATAACTTGAATTCATCCATCCTCATCCTCCCATTCTGCACTATAATGTAATAAGCTTTTCTTCAGTTTCTTTTGAGCCATATTGTAGTAGAAATAGGGCTGGGGCCAGGCACAGTGGCTCACACCTGTCATCTCAATACTTTGGGAGGCCAAGGCATGTGAACTGCTTGAGGCCAGGAGTTTGAGACTAGCCTGGGGAACAGAGTGAGACCCCATCTCTACAAAAAGAAAGAAAATAAGTAATAGGGCTGAGCCAGCTATCAGAAGCACCCATGCTCTTGCTCTGTTTTTGACTCTTAGTGGCCCTGGGTCTTTTAGGCCATCAGCTTACCTTCTTGAAAGACTGTCTCTACAGCTGTGAATTAACAGCCTTCTACTAAATCCTCTGAGAAGTCTCTTTCTGCTTTGAAATTCAGTGACTCTTTTACCTCATAGCATATTCTCAGTTCAGTGTTCAGGGTTTTACAGCCACAAGACTCGACAAACAGCGCTAAACTATTATAATTAGTTCAAATTGCTATTAGTTCTAAATAGCTCATTAAAAGTGCAGCAGTTTAGAATTAGCATCGTTTTTTTCAGATTAAGACCTCTCATTTCTCCAAAGTCTTAAGTGTTAATACTGTAGTGTTTTGAGATTGGCAGGGAAAGCAAGGGAAGGCAGGGAAGGAAGTGGTTAGGGTAAGGCGCTTGGAGTACATTCAAACAGCTCAACAGTGGCCAGTGCAGGTTGGGGAAATTTCTCTCTCTGGCCCTGCAAACAGAACTGCACGCTAGAGTGATTCCCCCTGCATACTCACTCCAATGGTGTCTTATTGTGCCCACTGGCTAGAACCCAGTTGTGGTCTTGGATTGACCAAATGATTTATATCAGGTGGCCAGAGAGCTGAGGTCTCACGCCCTGTTTTTTCCTTTTTCTTTTTTGAGAGGGAGTCTTGCTCTGTTGCCCAGGCTGGAGTGCAGTGGCGCAATCTCGGCTCACTGCAACCTTCACCTCCTGGGTTCAAGCGATTCTCCTGCCTCAACCTCCTGAGTAGCTGGGATTACAGGCACCTGCCACCATGCCCGGCTAATTTTTGTCTTTTAGTAGAGATGGGGTTTCACTATGTAGGTCAAGCTGGTCTCGAACTCCTGATCTCAAATGATCCCACCACCTCAGCCTGCCAAAGTGCTGGGATTACAGGTGTGAACCTCTGTGCCCGGCCACACCCCCTTTTCTCTATTTGAAATGGAATCTTAGCTTTTCAAGCAGTGAAACTTTGAACAAACTGTGGAACAAATCCAGAAGCTCATCTTATAAACTTACAACTTTCAAATATGCAAACAAATCAGTCTCTCCAAGCAAGAGTGTGATGTGCTTGCATTCTTAGTATAGCAGAACTTGGAGCATCTTCCTCTACGCAGAGTCCAGGGCTGCATTATTTCAGGGACCTTTTATGTACTTTAGCTAATCGAGCAAAACTCTTCCCAAGGTTTGCCAATGTCTTTGTCTGTTTGGGTTGCAATAACAAGATACTACAGATCTGGCAGCTTATAAACAACAAGCATTTATTTCTCACAGTTTTGGAGGCTGGGAGGTCTAAGATCAAGGTGCCAGTAGATTCAGTGTCTGGTGAGGGCCCATTTCCTTGTTTATAGACATCCAGTCTTCTCTGTTAGGGTTCCACACTCACAACTTAATCACCTCCCAAAGGCCCCATCTTCAAATACCACTACATTGGGGATTCAGTTTCAACATGTGAACCGCTCATTGGGTGGGTGAGGAGGGCATAAACATTCCATCTTTAGCAACCCACGTTCAATATTTTATACTCTGGGAGAATTAGAGAATGTAGACCAGTGAGGATGATGGAGAAAAGGGGAATCCACAGAACTCTGGATAGCACAGAGTGCAGTTCTGTTTGCAGAGCACAGAGCCAGCCAAGTCCCGGACCACTGTGGGAGCCAGTCACCCTCTAGGCATCTGGAAGCTGCTTCTAACTGATCTATATGAAGGCTGGCAGAAGTCTGAGATGCAAAAAGCTGACAGCAACATCCCCTTTGCCCTGGACCAAACTTACAGACAGGTGGAGCATACAGTCACCTACACAGTGTGCTTTGAGGGGCTTGGGAGTCTTGCATTCTTCCTAGAGAATGCTTTTCCCTACAATGCCTGAAATTTTGGCATCCACCATTCATTCCCCCTAGTCAGGCATTGCCTTCACTCCAGTTTTCATTCAAATTATACATATTCTTGAGAAATATATCACACTCCCTCCCTCCCTGGCTACTTTACTATAAGTCAAGTAAGTTGTACCAAGAAACAGGACAAGAAAGTGAGAATGGAGGCTGGGCGCAGTGGCTCATGTCTTTGGGTGGCCAAGGCAGGTGGACCACGAGGTCAGGAGTTCGAGATCAGCCTGGCCAACATGGTGAAACCCTGTCTCTACTAAAGATACAAAAAATTAGCTGGGTGTGGTGGCAGGTGCCTGTAATCCCAGCTACTCTGGAGGCTGGGGCAGGAGAATCACTTGAACCCAGGAGGCGGAGGTTGCAGTGAGCCAAGATCAGGCCATTGCACTCCAGCCTGGGTGATAGGGCGAGACTCCATCTAAAAAAAAAAAAAAGTAAGAATGGAGATCAGATAGGGGTTGGGGTAGGTGGTGTCTCATGTCTTAACCGGGGAAAAACCTTGTTCTCTATCATAAATTAGCCCGGGACCAGCTCCATCCCTATGACACACACTTTACTCCCTCCAAAAGGGAAAATCTGAGATCATAGGTTTGTTTTCTTGAGTCATTGAAGTATCTTCCGAAGAGGGCCTGGATTTGGGGGTGAAAAAAACTATGTCAAAGGAAAGAGAGCAAACGAGAAAAACAGTGTATAGTACTTTGCCTGTCACTTCACAGGTATTTGATAAATAAACATTCCCTTACTTCCTTTCTAGTGCTTCGATGTCTCTACTGTATTAATTTCTCCTCACTTAATTCCATTCTCTAAAAGTGTAGATTTCATGCCTGAAATGATCAGAAATTCCCAGACATTCATTAGAAATCCATCTTCAAGAAGGGACTTTTGTCATGAATATTAGCAGGTTCCTATACCTGTTCAACATAGCCTTGGCTGGTTCCAGCATAGAGTTTTATGGCAGGCGGGAGATCAAGATAGTCAGCAAAACAGTGAGGTCAAAAAAACACTCACATTGGCTGGGCACAGTGGCTCACACCTGTGATCCCAGCACTTTGGGAGGCCAAGGCAGGCAGATTTCTTGAGGTCAGGAGTTGGAGACCAGCAGCAATTCTCCTGCCTCAGCCTGCCAAGTAGCTGGGCCTACAGGTGCACGCCATCATGCCAGGCTAATTTTTGTATTTTTAGTAGAGACAGGATTTCACCATATTGGTCAGACTGGTCTCTAACTCCTGACCTCATGATCCGATGGCCTCGGCCTCCCAAAGTGCTGGGATTACAGGCACGAGCCACGGCGCCGGGCCTATTTATTTATGTGTTTATTTGTTTATCTATTTGAGATGGGCTCACTCTGTCACCCAGGCTGGAGTGCAGTGGTACAACCATAGCTCACTGCAGCCTCAACCTCTTGGGTTCAAGCAATCCTCCCACCTCAGCTTCCCAAGTAGCTAAGACTACAGATGTGAGCCACCATACTCGGCCTACTTTTTGGCTTTAAATTACTTTGACACATGTTGAGTGAACGTGCTGTCTTCACTAATCCCATCAAACAAAGAAGTTCTCACCAACTGATTTCGTTCAAATTCCCATGACACAAGAAACTATAATTTTCATTCTTTTCCCATGTTGTGTCTTGAGTTTTCCAGCCCTGCAGCCTGGGCCTTTAGCCTTCATGGTACATACACAGTCCCATTTTCAGTTCCTTTCTCTCACCACTTCCTGGGGTCTCTGTTTTTTCAATTCTTGGCTTCACTTTTTCTGTCCTTTCTACATGTTTCTGCTTCGGTGCCACTTCCTGTATTTCCATGTTTTACTCTTGCTTTCCTCCCTTTATTTTCTCAGATATTCATTGATATATCAATTCGTTGACTATATATCATGTGCTTGGCACAGTAATAAGTGCAGGGGAGCCAGAAATGGATGGCACAGCCTTTCCTTAAGGGACTCATCATTATGGGTGACAGAAGAAGAAACTATCTTGCTCCCTTGACCCAGACCTTGCTGGCCCAAATCCATTTGTCATCATCCCTGCAGAGCTCTGGTCCCTGGCAGTGACACACCCTGACATGACTGTCTGCAGCGAGTGACTCAAGCCCTGGATTCTGCCCAGTCTGGTTCTGTCTCCATGACCCACTCTGTGTCGCCCTCTGTGACACTAGCCTCCTCCAAGGTCATCCTTGCTGTGCTGGGGAACACATGTCCTTGTGGTTCTGAGCTCACCAGTGAGTCCACCCATTCTGTCCTCAGCAGTTTTCTTGTGGCTTCTCATTTTTTTCCACACCCTTTGTCTGTCCCTGATAACTTCCTCTTTTTTCCCATCAACACTGGACAGTAGTTTCATTTTGTTCTCTTTCTTCCTAGAGGTGTCCCTTCCCTCCTCCCCTCCGCTCCCTGCTCCCTGGGGCTTCCTGCACTCATCGGAGCAGAAGTCACCATTCCTCTTCCGCATAGGAACCTCAAGACCCAATTCTCCCTTCTATGTGACACATCAAGTTTTCTGTCCACTAGGGGACCACAGAATTTACCATTCAAACCAGATACTTCTGAGCGTGAAAGGGGGTGCTATTAATAATTACACCAACATAGTAGGTGTAAACCACGACTGTCCCAAATGGGATCTGATGGCCATCCCACTGTTTGCAGACGTATGACCTACTAGACCACTGACATCTCATACACTTTTCTTTTGGGAGATGCTTTTATGACCTAATCCAGCAGAATTGCAGAGCTATTCCTGATTGCGTGTCACACCAGACGGCCTCTTGAGTCATATGTATTGCATGTCTCTGACTGTCCCCTAGATCAGCTAAAGCCCTCCTCCGAATGACAAGCCCTCTAAATGAGCAGTCAAACCTGCAATCATATTCATGGTCATAGTTACTGAAGTTGCAGTTTAGACAGCAGCTACCTTTCCCCCCAGCCCCCTGCCCAGCTGTCTCCAATGCCTCCCTTACCCAAATATAAACCTCTGCTGTGGTCAAGGAAATGGCAGCATCACTACTGTGCCCAGCGTTCATGGTAGTGTTTACCAAAGATCAAAGGAACTGATCAAAGGAACTGATCAAAGCCCCGATCAAAGCCCCAAATTTCCAGCTTAATCGAGTGTCTTCCTTTTAGGGCTCCTGCTGTGACCTATGGCAATACTCACCAGGATACTTCCAAAGCCAAGAGCAAGCACTCATGGGCCACAAATACCCAGATCCTCACTAGCCCCCTTCTGCTATAGGGAGCATGCCTCTCTTCCTCTGCCAGCTAGATTATTTTTGGCAAAAGCTCACACTGTGATTTCACCAGCCTGGGTATATTGATTTGATGATAAGAGACAGAGCCCCAGCACAAGTGAAATTAGCCCAGAAGGGGAATTCATTGACTCACGGGTCCAAGAAAATTGTTTTGGGTTTTATTGTTTTTTGGGGGTTTTTTTGAGACAGAGTCTAGCTCTGTCGCCCAGGCTGGAGTGCAGTGGCATGATCTTGGCTCACTGCAACCTCCACCTCCCAGATTCAAGCAATTCTCCTGCCTCAGCCTCCTGCGTAGCTGGGACTACAGGCATGCACCACCATGCCCAGCTTATTTTTTGTATTTTCAGTAGAGACAGGGCTTCACCAGGCTGTCCAGGCTGGTCTCGATCTCCTGACCTCGTGATCCTCCTGCCTTGGCCTCCCAAAGTGCTGGGATTATAGGCATGAGCCACTGCACCCGGCCTGAGATTTTGTTGTTGTTGTCATTTGTTTGTTTGTTTTGAGACAGAGTCTTAACTCATCTCCCAGGCTGGAGTGCATTCGCATGATCATGGCTCATTGCAGCCTCAACCTCCTGGGCTCAAGCGATCCTCCCATTTCAGCTACTTGAGTAGCTGGGACCACAAGGATGTGTGACTCCATGCCCAGCTAATTTTTTTATTGTTCATAGAGATGGGGTCTCACTATGTTGCCCAGGCTTTTTTTTATTGAGCAAGAAAATTGTTGATGAGGGAGACAGGGATGCTGCTTAGCCTGAGAAAAGACCAGAACCAGAGATCTGAGGCCCATCCAGACTCCGTCTGCATCTTTTGCCCTGTTTCTGGTCATCAGCCTAAGTCTCACTCCTGAATGAACAGCATGGCAGGAAATGTGGTTCCTGAGCTCTGAAGTTTTGCACATTAGTGTCCTCTGTGTGTGTGTGAGTGTGTGTGTGTGTGAGAGTGTGTGTCTGCACGCACACGCACATGAGTGCAGCCTAGGGTATATTTCCATCATTTCCTAGGTGTGAATTGGGGGCATGACAACCAGGAGTCTTTAGGTCACACTTGGCTAGAAGGATACAGCAGCTCCTGATGTATATCCTGTCTGGATCATGGATGAGATGCAGTGTTTGGATATAGGAGAGAGGTCTCTAAACTGTCCAATTAGGAAGCTCTCCACAGGAAGCAGGTTTATGGGTGTCATATGCACACTGGTGGTGCTATTGGTTTTTCAGCTCAGATTCTTCTGTCAGTTACTGTTGATGCCTGGGAAAGGAAGAACTTCTTATTTTGCTTTATTAATGTGCTTGGTGAATGTCTCGTGCAACTTTGTGCATTTGGGACAGAGATACCTGACTTCATAGCATTGGGTCTCCAGCCGGGATCTGACTCCCCATACAGACCTAAGCTCATCAGTCAGACCCTGAATCAGAAGTACAGGGGAAGTTTCTAGAAGAGTGGAGTTGCTGGATCGAGTTCCCCAAATCCTTTAACAGTGAGTTTCCTGGGCCCCCTGAACCACCTACGTAAGTTAGGGAAACCCATCCAGGACCCTCATCTTTTCCATCCCGTAGCCATCCTCATTCTCCTGCCTGGCATGCGGCAGCTGTCAGTAAACACTCCAGCTCTCTTTTTGTTATTGTTATTATTGTTGTTATTTTAAGATAGTCCTTACAACTTGTCATTACATAAGTGCCCCAGCCTAGCATCAAACAAGCCAGAAACTGCCCCTGACATTCATCTCCACCCAGTTTCTTCCTGCACAGCAAACAACTCATTTCCACTCCCTCGCCTGTTTCTCCAGCTCTTCCCTGGGCTGGGCTGTGTCCCTTGCTTTCTGGGTTAGTCATATGCGTGTCAACTTTCAGTTGAGTTTCGCCACATGAGGAGATTTCTTCATCTCCATTCAACCCCCAAGTTTCCTTCACCTTTGACACCATTCTTTCTGACACCTCCAACATGTTTTTTCAGACAAATTCTGATTCTCTCTTCTACCAGGCTGCAAGCATCCTTCTCTAAGTTTCTCTTGGGGTGTTTTCTGGAGCCTTGCTGCTCATGTGCCCTTTGCTCCATACAACCCATCCTCCACGCACACCCTGCGGCCATCCCCACTCAATTTCCTTGGAACCCCCTTTCTACTCCTCTTTCATTCATTTCTTCTTTTTTTTTTTCGAGACGGAGTGTCTCCCTGTCACCCAGGCTGGAGTGCAGTGGCTTGATCTTGGCTCACTGCAACCTCCGCCTCCCGGGTTCAAGTGATTCTGCTTTCTCAGCCTCCAGAGTAGCTGGGATTACAGACACGTGCTACCATACCCAGCTCATTTTTGTATTTTTAGTAGAGATAGGTTTCACCATGTTAGTCAGGCTGGTCTGGAACTCCTGACCTCAGGCGATCTGCCCACATCGGCCTCCGAAGTGCTGGGATTACAGGTGTGAGCCTTCTACCCCTTTTTCACTTGTTACATCTAAACCGAGCCCAGCCATCCTCGTCCGGGTGGGAGCTGTCTGCTCCTGGCTGTCCTTTGCTGCCCTCAGGGTTCTCCCCACCCATTCCCTCTTCATTCCTTCTCCTCTTTCAGCATCCACTAGTTCATCTTTGCTCCCTCCACACTTCTTCCTCTCTTATGGTCTTTGCCTTTTTCACAGGTTGGTCCCTGCCTGTCCCCTGGGCAGGTGTATCCAGCCCTGTGATATTTCCCCTCTCACTCTGAACCTGCCTCCTCTGCTATAGCCCACATATGGGTTGTTTATAGAAATGTCACTTTCCTCCACCCAAAGGTTACCCCAGCCTTCTATTTTTATTTTTCTACTGAAAGCACTGTTATCGGCACTATGCTTGAAATATCATTCTCAACCACAGTGCTGAATTCTGATAGTTTCCCTTTTTGGGGGTTCATTTGAAAATAACAAAAATGAGCCAGGCATGGTGGCATGTGCCTGTAGTCCCAGCTCCTGGGGGCTTGGGTTGAGGGGATGGAGGCAGGAGGATTGCTTGAGACGGTTCTAAGCCGCAGTGGGTTGTGATCGCTCCTGGGAGACAGAGCGAGACCCTGTCTCTAAAAAGAAGAAAAAAATGACAAAATGATTTATTGTAATTATAAAAATAATATATGGTTACAATAGAAATTTGGTGACTAAAATACTAACAGTTTGTTGTCTAATATTTCTTTTCTATTGTTTAGAAGGTATGATTTTTAAAAATTGTAATCATATCTCATACACAGTTGTCAATTCTTCCATTATCTTTTTTTTAACTATTATTTTTTATAGAGACGGGATCTCCCTGTATTGCTCAGGCTGGTCTCGAGCTCCTGGGCTCAAGTGATCCTCCCACCTCAGCTGCCCAAAGTTCTGGAATTACAAACATGGAGCACTGTGCCCTGCCAATTCTTCCATTTTCACTCAGTATAAAGACTCATTCATAAGGGAAGGATGGAATGAGGTCCTGGGGATACAATGCTCACTGCCTTCATTGAGCTGATGATCTAGTGTCAGAAGTAATTGGGCAGTTATGATATTATACGGAAATTACAAAGTGCTATAGCCCCAGATCTAGTCTTGGGGTTGGGGGAGGTGATCAGGGAAGGGTTCCCCTAGCCAAGCGAGGTCGGAGCTAAGATCGGAAGAATTAGCAGGAGTTTCCTAGGCAACAGGGAGGGACAGCTCTAGGCAGAGGGAACGGCACATGTGCATTGTAGATGGGAGGAGGGCAAGGGAAATTTTGAAGGTCGAATCTAAAGAGGTGATGTAAGCTAGTTTGTTGAGTTTGTACGTATCATAAGAGCAAGGGAAACTTCTTTTGAGGCATTGTGATTTGCCAATCAGACAACAGCTCTAGCTACAGTAATAGAGCATGAATCAACTCTTTTTTTTTGTCTCCTAAAATCCTTAAGTTGGTGTACCCAGAATTTACTTAATCATTTCCCTGATGTTGCTAATATTTCACAGTTATAGATAATGTACTAATCATAGTTCTCTGTGGCTCTCCTCTGTATAAACTAAAATCATTTTGGGATGCTAATCGGGTAGCATTTTTTTTTTGTTTTCTGGAGGCACGATCTCAACCTGTTGCCCGGGCTGGAGTGCAGTGGCATGATCATGGTTCAGTGCAGCCTCAACCTCCTGGGCTCAAGCAATCCTCCCGCTCAGCCTCCCAAGTAGCTGGGACTACAAGCATGTGCCACCACACCTAGCTAATTTTTTTTTTTTGTAGAGACGGGGTCCCACTGTGTTGCCCAGGCTGATCTGAAACCCGTGGGTTCAAGTAGTCCTCCCGGCTTGGCCTCCCGAAATACTGGGATTATAGGCATGAGCCACTGTGCCCAGCCTGAATGCCTCTTCTATGTAATGAACCATATCTTGTCTTTGCTCCAATTCTAATTCCTGTTTCTTGCCTCCAATCTAGTCCCAAACTGATCTATTTCGCTGGGCTTCTTAGGAATTGCATGGAAATACCAGGCCCCAGCTGGACATGACTGACATTTATCTACTCACATCCACCACCAAACTTCCACTGGAGCACATGGAATGGCGTGAGAAACACCTAGACAGTGCATTTCACACCAGGAAGAGAAGCTCTGGGGACTGGATGGCATGTGTTTCTGCAAGGAGTCGGGAGCCTTGGTGGGAGACACTATGGTGAGAAACGGAGAGTGCACACACTTACTGAAAACGTACTGAGAACTCACACCAAGCGTTTTCAAACCCTTCCTCTTTCTCTCAGCCCTTTTTTTAGTTATCCCAGCTCAGCTGTTAATTACCATCAGTGAGTGTAGAAGAGGAAGGAAGCAAATACCACCCTTCTTAAGCAGCTGGGCTATTTTAGGGCAGACGTGATGGATCCTCAATTAGAAATTTGTACTAAACATTCAATTCACCCTCACACCAGTATCATACATCACAAATTGCATTTCTCCAGTTTGGTTGTCAAGGAGCCAAAACGTGTGCTGGATGCTCTATAACTACTTAGCTAAGGTGGTGTCCCTCCTTTCTGTGTGTTGTTTTCTACTTACTGCAACCCCTCTTGTTATTTTGTCATTTTCCTGACCACTTAGCTTCCTCTGAAATTAAATTTTATTCATTAAGGAAACACCTTGTTTTCATGGTTCTTAATTTCTCGCTAACTAGGCTGTGTACAACCAAGATATTAAAACCCATGCCAAAGTTTATAAATCTTCCAGAAATCTTACACTAATGATCTGTCTCATCCTTGGTGCCTTCCTGGTATATTTTTACATTATCTTGAAGTCCTATTAATAATTCACACATTCCATTATGCAGAAGGGGTGTACTGCCAGATAATAGAGTCCTCCATTCACTCATTTATTCACTCATTTGTTCAGGAAATATTTATCAGGTCAGGGGCGGTGGCTCACACCTGTAATCACTTTGGAAAGGAAAGGTGGCAGGATCATTTGAGCTCAGGAGTTCCAGACCAGCCTGGACAACATAGTAAGACCCAGTTTCCATATTTAAAAAAAGAAAGAGGCCTGGCACAGTGGCTCATGCCTGTAATCCCAGCACTTTGAAAGGCTGAGGCAGGCGGATCACTTGAGGTTAGGACTTCAAGACCAGCCTGGCCAAAGTAGTGAAACCTCATCTATACTAAAAATACAAAAATTAGCCAGGTGTGATGGCGTGTACTTGTAATCCCAGCTACTTGGGAGGCTGAGGCAGGAGAATGGCTTGAACCCGGGCGGCTGAGGCTGCAGTGAGCTGAGAATATGCCACTGCTCTCCAGCCTGGGTGACAGTATGAGAATACATCTCAAAAAATAAAATAAAATAAAATAAAATAAAATAAAATAAAATAAAATAAAATAAAGTAAAATAAAAAATAAAGAAATAGGCTGGGTGTGGTGGCTCATGCCTGTAATCCCAGCACTTTGGGAGGCCAAGGCGGGTGAATCACCTGAGATCAGGAGTTCGAGACCAGCCTGATTAACATGGAGAAACCCCATCTCTACTAAAAATACAAAAATTAGCCAGGTGTGGTGGCACATGCCTTAATCCCAGCTACTTGGGAGGCTGAGGCAGGAGAATTGCTTGAACCCGGGAGGCAGAGGTTGCGGGGAGCTAAGATCACGCCATTGTACTCCAGCCTGGGCAACAAGAGCGAAACTCCATCTCAAAAAATAAAATAAAATGAAGAAATATTTATTAAAGCACCCACTATGTGTGAGTTTTGTGATATACTCCCTAATCTATCAAGATCTGGATAAACTGAAGTAGGAGCAAAGTGCAAGCCCTAAGTTCAAATCTTGATCAAGAAGTAAGAAGTTATTCAATTTTCTGAATACCTTAACAAAAAAAGCCTCTCTTTGCACAACTTACAAAGAAGATTCTATCACAGTGGCATACCTAACATAACCCCTGGAGCAGATCCTTCCTTAATACCCCCTTCCTCTACATGACAAAATTATTTTTAGTCATAGTTGTGAAGCAAAATAAATAATAGTTATGGCCAGAAAAGAAGCAAAGACTTTGAAATTTTTCTTTTATTGAACTTCAAATATATAAGCATGACAGTAAAAAACCAAAAATTGAAATAAATATTATAGTACAAACAAGAAAATGGTAAATGATTAATATTTTAAGTTACATTAATGGTTAATTTTTTTTTTTTTTTTTTTTGAGATGGCGTCTTGCTCTGTCACCCAGGCTGGAGTGCAGTGGTGCAATTTCAGCTCACTGCAACCTCTGACTCCTGGGTTCAAGTGATTCTCCTGCTTCAGTCTCCTGAGTAGCTGGGACTACAGGCATGCACCACCACGTCTGGCTAATTTTAGTAGAGACAGGGTTTCACTATATTGGCCAGGCGGGTCTTAAACTCCTGACCTCAGGTGATCCGCCCGCCTCGGCCTCCCAGAGTGCTAGGATTACAGACATGAGCCACCGTGCCAGGTCCATTACTGTATTTTTAAAAGAAGAAAAACTATATGAAGATATGTATACATATACACACACACACATACACACACATATGTGTGTGTGTGGTAAAATATATATATATATGTATATATATACACACAAAAAACGTATATATGTTGTAGTAAAAAATAGTAAATTAGTTTCTGGAGCTGGGCTCAGTGGCTCATGTCTGTAATCCCAGCTCCTCTGGGAGGCCAAGGTGGGAGGATTGTCTGAACCCAGGAGTTTGAGACCAGCCTAGGTAACATAGTGAGATCCTGTCTATAAATTTTTTTTAATTTTAAAAAATGATTAATATTTTTAATTACATGAATGTATTTTTAAAGACAAAAAACTATCTATATATATTTATCAGCTATAGCAAAGAATAATACATTGGTTTCTCTTTTCCAGCTGTAACTCCTGCAAAACTGTCAATGACTTGGTAAAAACTGGTCTTTGCATATTCATGTCCAACAGCTACTACACTCAGATTTGCCCATCTTTCCTCACTCATCGTTGATCATTGCAACAGTTCTTATTAATTTTAATTTTAAAAGGGTTTTTCATATGAGACGACAGACATACAAATAGCTAAGAAAGGGACATAGTTTAGCAGAGATTCACATTAAGTCCCATTTTACAAAAAATTCCAGAATTGTAATACTGTTTATATTTTTATTTCTTTGAAACTGATTCCAATCCCAGCAGTTTTCAAAAGTATTCACATTCAAAATCTTCCATTATTTTCCAAATATCTTTGCTAGAAAGCTCATCATGGATTTCTTCCATGTTTAAAAAAAAAAAACTTCCAAAATTATTCTACAAAAATCAAGTAAAACAAAGGCAGGGCTGGGCGCGGTGGCTCACGTCTGTAATCCCAGCACTTCAGGAGGCTGAGGCAGGGGGATCACTTGAGGTCAGGAGATCGAGACCACCCTGGCCAACATGGTGAAACCCTACCTCTACTAAAACTACAAAAAATTAGCCGGGCGTGGTAGCAAGCACCTACTTGGTGCCTCCAGCTACTCAGGAGGCTGAGGCAGGAGAATTGCTTGAACCTGGGAGGTGGAGGCTGCAGTAAGATTGAACCACTGCACTCCAGCCTGAGTAACAAGAGCAAAACTCCATCTCAAAAAAAAAAATAAAAGAGAGAATGAGAGTAAACGTTGTTATTATTTGATCTACTTCTTTAGGACAAGTGTCCAGCTCTTGGAAAAAAAAAATAGGGCATTCAAACAATGCCCTTTGAGTTTCTTCTGGCAATGTAAGCCCACATCTATTATCATTTCTCTATATTATTCTTCTTCAAAATTTAATTTCCTTTTCTTTTTTCACATTTTATTTTTTCTTTATTTGTTTGTTTTGGGTTTTTTTTTTTTGATCGTTTATTTATTTTTGAGACAGGGTCTTGCTTTGTCAGCCAGGATGGAGTGCAATGGTGCAATCCGGCCTGCACTCCAGCCTGGCGACAGAGCAAGACTCCGTCTCAAAAAACAAAACAAAACAAAACAAAAAACAAACAAACAAAAAAAACAGTAAACTCTGAAAAGTTTCCGAGAATAACTTGCAGAAAGCACAAGAAAAGATTGATCAGTTCCTTTGATCTTTGGTAAACACTACCATGAACGCCGGGCATAGTAGTGGTGCTGTCATTTCCTTGACCACAGCAGAGGTTTATATTTGGTCCATCCATATCCAATTGTCCCGATAAATGTTTGATGCATTCAGCACCCATCTTCTCAGAAATAGGGAAGATGTCAGGCTGGGCTCACGCCTGTAATTCCAGCACTTTGGGAGGCTGAGGCGGGTGGATCACCTGAGGTCAGGATTTCAAGACCAGCCTGGTCAACATGGTGAAACCCCATCTCTACTAAAAATACAAAAATTAGCCGGGAGGTGTGGTGCATGCCTATAATCCCAGCTACTCAGGAGGCTGAGGCAGAAGAATTGCTTCAACCTGATAGGCAGAGGTTGCAGTGAACAGAGATCACACTATTGCACTCCAGCCTGGGTGACAGAGTGAGACTCGGTCTAAAAAAAAAAAAAAGGAAGATGCCCCAAAATGATTATTTTAATATGGTCATCTTTAATATGAACACATTTGGTCACTTCAAATATTTAATAACTGTATGAAATATTAGGAGTTCCACCAAAAAGACTACGATTTTGCTTTTTTTAACATTTACCGCTATTTTAATGCAATTTCCCAAAAAATGAATGAATGAATTCTAAATTTTTTTGGAAATACGTACTGAATAAAACCATCTTCTAAAGCAGCAGTCACCAACCTTTTTTGACACCAGGGACTGGTTTTGTGGAAGACAATTTTTCCATGAATGGGGGTAGGTGGTGGGGATTGTTTCGGGATGATTCAAGCTCACTACATTTATCGGGCACTTTTATTTCTATTATTATTACATTGTAATATGTAACGAAATAATTATACAACTCACCATAATGTAGAATCAGTGGGATCCCTGAGCTTGTTTTCCTGCAACTAGACGGCCCCATGTGGGGGTGTTGGGAGACAGTGACAGATCATCAGGCATTAGATTTTCATAAGGAGCAGGAAACCTAGATCCTTTGCATGTGCAGTTTACAATAGGGTTCGTGCTCCTATGAGAATCTAATGCCGCCAGTGATCTGACAGGAGGCAGAGCTCAGGTGGTAAAGTGAGCAATGGGAGTGGCTGTAAATACAGATGAAGCTTCGCTGGCTTGCCCACTGCTCACCTCATGCTGTATGGCCCTGTTCCTAACAGGCCATGGACTGGTACTGGTTCTTGGTCCGAGGGTTGGGGACCACTGTTCTAAAGGAATATGTTTAATTTTATTAATCTAGTTTGAAAATGACCCTTCAAACTAGATTGCAACTTAAGTCTTTCTACCAGCATCAAAATATTTCTTTTGTTTGCTGATGGTATATCTGCTTTATAACCACAGATAGAAAAGTTTTGTTTGGCTAGAAACATAATTAAGTCCAAATGATGATACAAACTTTCTCACTATTTTTTGTTTTTAATGTATTTTGACTTAATAGATTTTATCAATAGTGTTTAGGAGTTTACATTGCATTGCCAAAGTTTCCCATTTTTCTAAGCAGGGGAGATGTGATTCAGCAATCTCATGGTTCACAAACTTTAAGATTTAATTTCTATCAAATTTGAATACCAGTTATCAAGTTGCATGTTCTGTTTCTTGTTTTTTAATCAGGCCATACTTACATGGCTAGCATGTTCCGTTTTTAAAATCTTACTAGCAAGCAGTCTCCAACAAAAACAGTACAAAAAATTAACCTTTTAAAATGAGCCATCTACTGGGTATGGTGGCTCATGCCTGTAATTTCAGCACTTTGGGAGGACGAGGAGGGCAGATCACTTGAGGCCAGGAGATCGAGACCAGCCTGGCCAATGTGGTGAAACCCCATCTCTATTGAAAATTAGCCAGGTGTGGTGGTGCACGCCTGTAGTTCCAGCTACTTGGGAGGCTGAGGCAGGAGGATCACCTGAGCCAGGGAAGCAGAGGTGGCAGTGAGCCAAGATCACGCCACTGCACTCAGGTGACAGACTGAGACTCTGTCTCAAAAAATAATAGTAATAAAATAAAATAAATAAGCCATCTATGTTCTTTGCAGGTGTTTTTTTGGGGGGGGGTATTTAGAAGACATTTATGAAGCCATGAAGTTATCAAATAAAACACTATTGTGGTTTTGTTTGTTTTGTTTTGAGACAGTGTAGCAGGACAAGCTGCAGACAAAACCCCTCAGACACCGAGTTAAAGAAGAAAGGGGTTTATTCAGCCTGGAGCAGGTGTTTTTTTTTTTGGGGGGGAGGTATTTAGAAGACATTTATGAATCCATGAAGTTATCAAATAAAACACTACCGTGGTTTTCTTTGCTTGTTTTTTTTTAAGACAGTGTAGCAGGACAAGCTGCAGACAAAACCCCTCAGACACCGAGTTAAAGAAGGAAGGGGTTTATTCAGCCAGGAGCATCAGCAAGACTCCTGTCTCAAGAGCCGAGCTCCCTGAGTGAGCAATTCCTGTCCCTTTTAAGGGCTCACAACTCTAAGGGGGTCCGTGTGAGAGGGTCATGATCGATTGAGCAAGCAGGGGGTACGTGACTGGGGGCTGCATGCACCAGTAATCAGATTGGAACAGAACAGGACAGGGATTTTTACAATGCTTTTCCATACAATGTCTGGAATCTGTAGATAACATAACCGGTTAAGTCAGGGGTTGAACTTTAATTACCAGACCCAGGGCACGGCGCTGGGCTGTCTGCCTGTAGATTTCATTTCTGCCTTTTAGTTTTTACTTCTTCTTTCTTTGGAGGCAGAAATTGGGCATAAGACAATATGAGGGGTCTCCTCCCTTATTTTCCTCCTTTGAGACTCTCACTTATTTTGTCAGTGGGAGTTCTCACCTTCATTTTCACTATGTCTTCCTGCATGACAGATGGATAGTGATTCATGTAGTACACTTGTGAACTCTACTAGGTGGCTGTTTTTGTAGTACTGTTACACAGTTTTTGCCTAAGGCAGCTGAGTCTTCCCACAGGAAGGGTAAAGTCCTTCCCTACTCTTGCTATACAGTATTGTCTAATGATTGAGGCTTTTTGGACCCAGAAGTTATCAGGGTGATTTTTTTGAGCCAGGAATTCATCAGGAACTGGGTCTGTAGGTACTAATTCTCAGCCTTCCTATGGCCATTGATCTCCTGTTACAGTTCCTCTACATACATAACATGAAGTGACATTGAGAGACTAGGCTATATGCTCGGCTAATTGCAAAAACAAATTTCTTGTTTTTCCTGGAGTTTCTGGTATTGGCACATTCAGTTCATCATAGAAGGTTTGAAATACTGGCTCAGGAGAGCGTTTATAAACTTCTCCTCAAACCACGATATTTACTTGAAGATCCAGTCCAGCCCCATCAATTTGTAGGGCTACACGTTCCTCTTTTTTCTAGTGAAGATTAAGGGGGTTGGTTATTACTAGTTCTAAGGGGTTACACTCACCACTGGTACAGGAAGGGCCACTTTTCCCTTTCTGAAGGTGGACAGGATTTTTTTATTTTTTATCCAAGTAGCCTAAATGACACAAGATCAGTATCCACATTTATTTTTATACAGTCCTAATTTATGATAAATGTACCTATTTTCTGCCATATAGCCTCTTTTTTAATTAAGAGAACCACATCCTATTTCTAACTTATTACTCTTAATGACAGCACAGGCATCAAATTTCAAGGTGACTTGTTTGGACACCTCTTTTTTTTGGTTTTGTTTTGTTTTGGCTAACATTTTACTCGTATCGTTTATGAGCCCCCACCAGTCTTTAGTTCTTAATCTTATTTTAAAAACTGTGGTCATGGGAGGCTCAGGTGGGTCATAACACACATCAGGGTCATAACACACACATTTCCTGGGCTACATACCTTGTATATAATAACATTATACAAACAAGTTTTTTTTTTAGAGTTCCAGTACACTTATAATAACTGTAAAATAATAGGACCATAGCAACTTTTTGTCCTACCTCAGTGACTTGATGTATGCACCGGGAATAGCCCTCAGTCTGAGGAAGGTCAGTTGAAGTACTTACTGTACAAGTACAAATTTTAAGGAAAATGAGTCCTGCAATGAGTTTCCTCATGCTTCGGCCATGCGTGGACCAGTCAGCTTCCGGGTGTGACTGGAGCAGGGCTTGTCGTCTTCTTCAGAGTCACTTTTCAGGGGTTGGCAAAGCTGCTCCCGTCCACGTACAGCTCATATCTACTGATGTTCAAGGATGGTCTCGGAGGTTGGGCCTGCTAGAATAAACTGAGTCCAACACCTCTAAACAGTTATGTTCAACTGGGCTCTCTGATACCAGGAGCAAGGTGGTGGGGTTTAGGGTGTTGCAAACTTCAATGGTTATGTGGGGATTTTCACATAGCAAACTTTTGTACTTGGTTAATCTAGCATTTGTTAACCAATGATGTCCTTTGGTAGTCATTAAAGTTACCACAGCATGGGGGGGCCTTTACATTCTGGTTTTGCCTAAGGGTTAGTTTATCTGTTTCTTATGCTAACAGGGCCATTGCTGCCAGGGCCCTTAGACATGGGGTGAGGGGGGGCAGCCTTTGGAAACCCCGTCTAGTTGTTTTGAGAGATGGGCAACTGGCCTTGGCCAGGGCCCCACAGTCTGGGTTAAAATTCCAACTGCCATTTTTTCTGTTTCTGACACATAGGGTGTAAAGGGTTTTGTCAGGTCAGGTAGCCCCAGGGCAGGGGCCGACAGGAGTTTGTTTTATTTTTTTTAACTCATGAAAAGCTTGTTGCTGTTGGTTGTAATAGATGTAGTTTATCTAATTTACATTTTTATTAACTGTCACCTACTAAAATATTGACTTAAATCCTGTAGCTATTTGATTTTAAGCTTCAAACTGATCTGGTATTCCTTGCGGGGCTCCAATTGCATCTAAACAGATGTAAGAGTTGAAAGACCCATAAGGGGCTTCTCTCGCTTTACGGTGTCTTATTTTTTTCTCCCTCTGGTTGATGAAATGCCAGGGTGAAAGGGATAGCCAAATGGACTAAAGCACAAGTGTCACTCTAGTTATTTGGCAGAGTGCCCAGTAAAGGCCCACCACAATACCACCACACATCCACTCGGGGATGAACAAGAGCTGACTGATTGATAAGCTCTTGAAAATTCTTAAGCTCATCGCATTTCTTCAGGTCTCCAAGGAATGCTAAGTTTCCTCCCTCTCGTGAGAGACACGAAGTGAACTTAGTGTTGGGAGACAGAAGCTGGATGGCCCACGGGGGCTGACCCACAGGGTGCCAGACTTCGGGATATAGCAGAGAAAGCCTGGCATGACTTATTACTCCAGGCTGTAGAATCCTGGAAAAGAGCTACCATGCAGCCTACGCCTGGTGGACTGGAGGACCACCTTAGTGGAAGGGGGACAATAAGGGCCTCTGGCCTGCCATGTGCACCAGCATAACAATTGCTTTTGTTTAACGTGCAGGTGGAATATTTGATCCATTTTAACCAGGCATTTGCATCTTGGTATCCTGTCTTAATTGCTAAAGTTTGTTTTACGTCTTTAACTTCTATGATCCTCTAGTAAAATGAATGTATGATTTTAGGAAATTACAGAAACCGGTTGGGGCAGTCCATCCTTGCTCTTTAGTGGTCCACAGAATGTTGGACCAACTACGGCATAAAAGCTCTACATTGGGGGCAAGACTCCTGGTTGGCACTGGGATCTTTATCGAAATCTCCCCGGATTAAATGGTCCTAGTTTACTAATGCCCAGTGTGAGGAGAGTCAGGAGGGACAGAGGTGCTTTTCTGAGGTAGAAAGCTGTCTTTGGCTTGGCAAGTCCCCACAGGGTATAACAAGGCCAGCATTAAATGCAATAGTTTGAGGCAAAATTGACTTGGTTATGTTAATAACTAGATGGTCAGCAATAGAACAAGGAAAGAAGAAAGAGTAATAGAATAGATAAAAAAAAGTTAAATTTTTCTTAGCTTTAGTTTGGTAGGGTTTTCACATGGGACTATGGCCCACGACTCTGGAGGGGGTGATGCTTTCTTGACTCGGGTGTGATGAGTCCATCCTTTTTTGCTGTACGAACAGCAGTCTTGGTGGTTAGCAGCACAAGGTAGGGTCCTTCCCAGGCTGGCTCGAGTTTTTCTTCTTTCCACCCTTTGATGAGAACGTGATCTTCAGGCTGATGCTGGTTTACCGGAAATTCTAGGGGTGGTACATGTGCTAAAATACTTTTAGTTTTTGAGGGAAAGGAAAGTGGAAGATAAACCAAGTATATAATGTTTAAGAAATTGATCTTTAGTTTTAAATGTGGGGACCTTGGCAGTGGACGTTATAGTCTTTAGTGCCTTTTTACTGAGAAATTTCCTTTAGCACCTATTTTTATTAGTTTTTAAACCAAAGAAAGCCAAATACCATTTTACATTTAGCAATGCTTTTTGTTTGATTTTTATACCAGATAAGCTAAATTTTACCTTTATATTAGTGTGTTATTAATGTTAAACCTAATTTTAATAAAACCTTGTAGACATATTTATCCAATTTTTAATGTTTGAGCATAAGGTAAGATTTTATATACTCTGTTTAACCTTTTATAACTTTTGCTGAAGAGCAGGTTGGTGCTTTAAGAATAACCTGCTATGCTTTTATTTTAATGTCCAGTTTACAGAAAAACTGGATGATACCTTGTTAACTTTAGCCAATGTTTACACACAGAATTTTCTTTCCAATTAACATTTTAAAACTTGATTAAACCTTTAAAACAAAATATACATATTTTTAACCTTTTAATGTAGGTAAAAATTTATATTCTTATGCCTTCTTATAATACTTTTACTAAAGGTATATTTTACTTTCCTTATACACCTTGCACATAAACTGGTTTTTTTAATAGTTTTACATTCAGGGGGCATAGTTACTTTTAAATTATACAACACTTCTTACATAAATTCTTTTTTATTTTTATAACATTTTTCTCTTTCACGACTTTCACAGACAATTCTTCGACATGCCTCAACTTTCTGACTTATTACAAATACTTCTTTCTTTAAACAACCAGTTAATTTATTTCAGGACAAGAATGTACCATATAATACTATTTTTACATAAATTCCACCCCCCTATTTTTCCTTTTTTTTTTTTTTTTTTGAAGATGATAACCATTCTTTTCCAAAGCAAACTTCTTTTATGTCTGTGCACTAGACTCCAAGGCCACAAGAATAGAAGTTAGCATAATACATGTTACATTGTTAACTTTTAGCAAACTTTACTTTTGTTGAAAACCTTTTAAGTTTGGGATTTTAATTATCATTTGCTATTAATAAGACCTTGTTTTGTCCAAATTAACTTAGAATTGGTATAGATGGCTTTTTTTTCCTTCAATTACCCAGGAGGAACTATCCATCGTCCTGCCCTGAAGGGAGTTCCTCCTAGGTTTGGTTGGACCTTTGTATGGTAATTAAGATTTAGATCCCCTGTTAGGAAACCTGCTGGGTTAAGGGAATTTTCAGTGGTTAATGTTAAATCATCCTTTTTTGAAATTTTTCAACATAATTCCTAGGAGGGTGGGCTTATTTGTGCCTGACCCATGCTTCTTCGAGACAAAACACCACACTCACACCACACACACACCACAAAACAAAGAACAGGTGAAAAGGGCACACACACACTTTTGCAGTTTACACCAAACCAAAATAAAAAAAATCAGAGTATCCAGAAATCCAAGCCAGTTCAAAACCAAAACCAAAGTATCAAGCAATCCAAGTCAAGTCAAAAACAAAAACCAAAGTTCCGGTACAGGCACGCCACACTTCCACTCAAATGGAGTGGGCAAGTTCCCAAGACCGGGCCTGTCAAGCAATTCAAACCAAGTCAAAACCAAAACCAAAACCAAACCAAAGTGCCAATAAAGGTGTGTGATCAGGCCACGCTTCCACTCAAACGGAGTAGGCAAGTTCCAAAGACTAGTCTTACCAAGTTTCAGATGTCTGGACTCCAAGTACCAGTTCCTTCCCAGTGTTCAGCCATTGAGTTGATCCTCCACGGGGGCCTGCCACACACTGCTCTGGCGAGGCGTCCCACCAGGCAAATGCCTACCCGGGAGCGCTCTCAGGATCTGCGTCGCTCGTGTCGGAGTCTCCCGCAGGGATGTTCCACAGGGCAGGCCTAAGCCGCCTAAGGAGCTGCCTCGACCATCTGCCAATCACCTCGCTTCCCAGTCAGGGAACTAAGAAATGTAGCAGGACAAGCTGCAGAACAAACTCCTCAGACACAGAGTTAAAGAAGGAAGTGGTTTATTTGTCTGGGAGCATCGGCAAGACTCCTGTCTCAAGAGCCGAGCTCCTCGAGTGAGCAATTCCTGTCCCTTTTAAGGGCTCACAACTCTAAGGGGGTCTGCGTGAGAGGGTCATGATTGATTGAGCAAGTAGGGGGTACGTGACTGGGGGCTGCATGCACCAGTAATCAGATCGGAACAGAACAGTACAGGGATTTTTACAATGCTTTTCAATACAATATCTGGAATCTATAGATAACATAACTGGTTAGGTTGTAACTACCAGGCCCAGGGCGCGGCAGCAGGCTGTTTGCCTGTGGATTTCATTTCTGCCTTTTAGTTTTTACTTCTTCTTTCTTTGGAGGCAGAAATTGGGCATAAGACAATATGAGGGGTGGTCTCCTCCCTTAACAGAATCTCACTCTGTTGCCCAGGCTGGAATACAATAGCAAGATCTCGGCTCACTGCAACCTCCACCTCCTGGGTTCAACGATTCACCTTCCTCAGCCTCCCAAGTAGCTGGAATTACAGGCATGCACCACCACGCCCAGCTAATTTCTGCGTTTTAGTAGAGATGGGGTTTCACCATATTGGCCAGGCTGTTCTTGAACTTCTAACCTCAAGTGATCCACCCGCCTAGGCCTCCCAAAGTGCTAGGATTACAGGCGTGAGCCATGGTGCCCAGCCTATTGTGTTCTTTTCTCTTTTATTTTGAACGGTAGAGAAAGCTCTTCCTTCCTTCCTTCCTTCCTTCCTTCCTTCCTTCCTTCCTTCCTTCCTTCCTTCCTTCCTTCCTCCCTCCTTCCCTCCTTTCTTTCTCTGTCTCTCTCTTTCTTTTTCTTTCTTCCTTCCTTCCTTCCTTCCTTTCTTTCATTCTCTCTCTCTCTCTTTCTCTTTCTCTCTCTCCCTCTTTGTCTCTTTCTCTCTTTCTTTCTGAGACAGAGTCTTGCTCTTTTGCCCAGGCTGAAGTGCAGTGGCCCCATCTCGGCTCACTACAACCTCCGCCTGCTGGGTTCAAGCAATTCTCCTGCCTCAGCCTCCCAAGTGGCTGGGATTGCAGGCACGTGCCACCACACCCAGCTAATTTCTGTATTTTTAGTAAAGACAGGGTTTTACCATGTTGGCCAGGCTGGTCTTGAACTCCTGACCTCATGTGATCTGCCTGCCTTGTCCCCTCAAAGTGCTGGGATAGGCATGAGCCACCGTGCTGGCTGAAAAAGCTTTCTTTATTGTGAGAGACTCATTTTCCCTCTTCACCAGGTTGTTGCTCATGTCATACACTATTAATATTGGTGCACACACACACACACACACAAAGAAAACCAGTTATTTCCTTGACTAATTTATCAGTTTTAAACCAACAAGTATTGATTAAAATTAGAAAAATAAATCTTAATTTTAAAGATGTTAAGTCAGATTTAAAATACTTCATGTATGAAAGTTTGTACTTACCAGATCAAAAAAAAAAAAAAAAATCACCTCACAGTTTGTTCTTTGTTTCACAGTTTTAAATTTTAAACACAAAAATTCCACATTGAATGACAGAATTGAAGTGATGCAAGTTCTGTATCATCTTTAAAACTACTGGGCTAATCTGTTTCAAACATAGGGATGTATAAGCCCACAGAGGAGTACAGATACCTACATCCCTGAGTAAACTTCAACAGTTACCTGACATCCAGAACTCACTCTTGAAACAAACACATGTGGCTGAGTTGGGATAACTTTATAACTAGCTTCCCAAATTAGTTACTGTTACCATACAATGTTTATTAATGGGTAAGTGACCAGGTGCGGTGGCTCATGCCTGAAACCCAGTGCTTTGAGAGGCTGAGGCAGGAGGATCCCTTGAGCCTGGTTCAAGGCTACAGTGAGCTATGATTGCATCACTAAACTCTAGCCTAGGTGACAGAGCAAGACCCTGTCTCTAATAAATTAATTAATTAATTAAAGATAAGTAACTGAAATGTACTAACTTGAACCCTAAATACATTATTAAAAGCCAACAGTGGCCGGGCGGGGAACCTCATGCCTGTAATCCCAGCACTTTGGGAGGCTGAGGTGGGCGGATCACTTGAGGTCAGGAGTTCAAGACCAGCCTGGCCAACATAGTGAAACCCCATCTCTACTGAAAATACAAACATCAGCTGGACGTGGTTGTGAGCGCCTGTAATCCCAGCTACTCTGGAGGCTGAGGCAGGAGAATCACTTGAACCCAGGAGGCAGAGGTTACAGTGAGCCAAGATGGTGCCACTGCACTCCAGCCTGGGCGACAGAGCAAGACTCTATCTCAAAAAATAAATAAATAAAATAAAATAAAATAAAGTTAATTATTTTGCCTATGCTGATATAATTTAATTCTGCTTTCATCTCAAAACCTTAATAGCAACCTTTTTCCTGCCACACCAAAGGGAAATTGACCTGCTTTATTTCCAGGCTCTTCAAAGTACAACCCCACCCACTTACCAGTAATTCTTCTAGTTCTTCAACTTCCAGTGGATAGGACAACTCCCAACCCCCTGACAATGTTCCCTGAACTTGCCTTGCTTGGTCCTGCCCCTGGGCATTTGCTCACCTTTCTTCTCTTGCCTGGGACACTCTTCCCTTGCCCAGCCACCCTACTCATCCTACTCACCCTGCAAACAGCTATGTCAGCTCTCATTTAATTAAAAAAAAAAGTGGCGGGAGTGAGAAAGACCTAGACTAGTTGCTCCATACTAGGTCCCTCTCCTCACCTCACCACCCAGCTCTGAGCCCTAGGAGACTGACCTGTAGAAACTACCCCAGTAGACTCTTACTCTCTGGCTTCCAGTTGGAATTCTCACCCTCAAACTTTGTGGGGTTTTTGTTGTTTTTTTAAATTTTCTATTTTTTTTTTTGAGACCAGGGCTCTCTGTCGTCCAGGCTGGAGTACAGTGGTGTGATCATGGCTCACTGCAGCCTCTACCTCTCAGGCTCAAGAGATCCTCCTGCCTCAGCCTCCTGAGTAGCTAGGACCACAGGCACAAGCCACCATGCCCGGCTAATTTTTAATTTTTTTTTAGAGATGGGGTCTCACTCTATTGCCCAGGCTGGTCTTGAACTCCTGGGCTCAAGCGATCCTCCCATTTCAGTCTCCCAAAGTGCGGGGATATCAAGTGTGAGCCACTGTACCAGCCCTAACTCCTACTTTGTGAGATTGCCCTGGGATTGGTGGTGTCCCTTGACCAAAGGTCGTTGTTCCCTTTAAGGTGGCCTCTTCTACATGAATGTCCTTCTGATTCCAGTAATTATGCTCTTCCCTAAATCCCTCCAGCCTGGACTTGGTAACAGCTCTGCTACTACCAGCCCAGAGCTATCAAATTATCCCTCATGCTTCCCTTACACTGTTATCTCTAGAAAGAGTGCCTTTATGAATAGATTTTTCTAATATTACCTTAATTTGAATGTCTTATCACTTTTCTTTTGGAACTCTGTATCAGATACAGTTTATACACCTCCTCAGGTTCCCCTGGCCCCAGCTGTCTCCCGTGCCCTTGGTTGCTCACTCATGGAGACCCCCACCACCGGCCATCACTACTCTCAGTGCCACATCATCAGCTGGACTGACAGCCCCCAGGCCTCCACCCAGGGGGATGCCCAGCTCCAACACAGCCCCCATTGCTCCCACTCCAATGGGAGTTGCAGCAGCTCTGATGCCCAGGCATGATCAGACCTGGAAGGCTCTGGTCTTTCCTTTCACTGATGGATTTGGAGGAAGTGCTGAACTGTAGCATGTGGAAACTGGCTTCCCCAGCAGCTGCACAAAAGTGTCTGGAGACACAATCCAGAAAGGCAGGATAGTGAATACTCATGGGAGAACCCTGACCAGTGGGAGACAGGAGAGAGGAGAGAGAGAGAAAATACATTCCTCTCCCTTTTCCCCTTCAATGGGCTGTACTGGGATGCTGTGTTCTCTATGGCTCCTCTGAAGACAACCCATGTGACTAAGCAACTAGCTGTGTGTTTTCCTGAAGCCATGGCCAGTTCTGGAACATGTCTTCTTTTATTTGCTTCCCCTCGTCTCCTGAGGCGATTCCCTTTTCCCACTTCCCACTTCCCTCTTTCCTTACTCTCACTGACCTGGAATTGGGCCTCTCATGAAATGTTAGCACTTAAGCTTTGCCTGATGCTCAGTTTTCTAGGAAGCCTGGTCCAAGAAAGACTCTAACTAGCAAAAAATAAGCAAATGAATAAGTTAATTAATTAATTTAATTTAATTTAATTAAAGAATTTTGACGCCAGCCATAGTGGCTCACACCTGTAATCCCAATACTTTGGGAGGCTGAGGCAGGAGAATCACTTGGGCCCAGGAGTTCAAGACCAGCCTGGGCAACATGGCAAGACCCCATCTTTACCAATTTTTTTTTTAATTAGCAAGTTGCGGTGGTGCGCATCTGTAGTCCTAGCTACTTGAGAGACTGAGGTGGGAGGATCCCTTGATTACAGGAGATCGAGGCAGCAGTGAGTTATTATTATGCTGCTCCACTCCAGCCTGGACAACAGAGAGAGACCTTGTCTCAGAAAAATAAATAAATATTTTTTTTTAAAAGGAGTTTGAGCTCGGCACGGTGGCACACGCCTGTAATTCCAACATTTTGGGAGGCTGTGGGTGGATCACCTGAGGTTGGGAGTTCGAGACCAGCCTGGCCAACATGGTGAAACCCCATCTCTACTAAAAATACAAAAATTAGCCGGGCATGGTGGCACATGACTGTAATCCCAGCTACTTGATAGGCTGAGGCAGGAGAATTGCTTGAACCCGGGAGGTGGAGGTTGCAGTGAGCCAAGATCGCGCCATTGCACTCCAGCCTAGACAAAAATAGTGAAACTCCGTCTCAAAAAAAAAAAAAAAAAAAAAAAGAGTTTGAGGCTGGGCATGGTGGCTCACACCTATAATCCCAGCACTTTGAAAGGCTGAGGTGGGCGGACCACGAGGTCAGGAGTTCGAGACCAGTCTGACCAACAAGGTGAAACCCCATTTCCACTAAAAATACAAAAATTAGCTGCGCGTAGTGGCCCGCGCCTGTAGTCCTAGCTACTCAGTAGGTTGAGGTGGAGAATCGCTTGAACCTGGGAAGCAGAGGTTGCAGTAAGCCAAGATTTTGCCATTGCACTCCAGCCTGGGTGACAGAGTGAGACTTCGTCTCAAAAAAAAAAAAAGGAGTTTGGGCCGGGCGCGGTGGCTCACCCCTGTAATCCCAGCACTTTGGGAGGCCGAGGCAGGCGGATCACGAGGTCAGGAGATTGAGACCATCCAGGCTAACACGGTGAAACCCCATCTCTACTAAAAATACAAAAAATTAGCCAGGCATGGTGGTGGGCGCCTGTAGTCCCAGCTATTCGGGAGGCTGAGGCAGGAGAATGGCATGAACCCGGGAGGCGGAGCTTGCAGTGAGCCGAGATCACACCACTGCACTCCATCCTGGGTGACAGAGGAAGACTCTGACAAAAAAAAAAAAAAAAAAAAGGAGTTTGAGTGCCATAGAGTAAATTCACTGTGTCTACCCATAACCGCATCCCACAATTCTCTCTTTTTTTTTTTTTTTGAGACAAAGTCTCACTCTGTCGCCCAGGCCGGAGTGCAATGGCACGATCTCGGCTCACTGAAGCCTCTGCCTCCCAGGTTCAAGCAATTCTCCTGCCTCAGCCTCCTGAGTAGATGGAATTACAGGCATGTGTCACCACGACCAGCTAAGTATTGTATTTTTAGTAGAAATGGGGTTTCACCATATTGGTCAGGCTGGTCTTGAACTCCTGACCTCAAGTGATCCACCCACCTTGGCCTCCCAAAGTGCTGGGATTACAGGAGTGAGCCACCACGTCCGGCTGCATCCCACAATTCTTGAGCCCATTACAGGTATGGCAACATTCTATGTCATTGTTAACCTTAATGAGCAGCTCGTGACTTTATTTTCTTGCGCCAAACCTCATTGATTCGTCTCCTTTAGTATCACCTTGATTTTGCATTCATGCATACAGTTTCTTCTTCTTTTTTTTTTTTTTTTTTTTTTGAGACGATGTCTCGCTCTGTTGCCCAGGCTGGAGTGCAATGGCATGGTCTCGGCTCACTGCAACCTCTGCCTTCTGGGTTCAAGTGATTCTCCTGGCTCAGCTTCCCGAGTAGCTGGGATTACAGGCATCTGCCACCACGCCTGGCTAATTTTTGTACTTTTAGTACAGACAGGGTTTCACCATGTTGGCCAGGCTGGTCTCGAACTGCTGACCTCGTGATCTGCCCGCCTCGGCCTCCCAAAGTGCTGGGATTACAGGCGTGAGCCACCGCATCTGGCCTAGAGTCTCTTCTTCCCTCCATCCTTGACCCCAGAGCCTATTCTCATCCACCCATATCAGATCTCATGACATTGACTTAAGACAGGATCCAGCCTCTTCCTAACAATAGAAAGGAAATTTGATCCATCCAGCCCAATAATTCCTACCACTTCCCCACACTCAAAAGCTAGCCTAAGTATAAACTTTTGCTCTGGGACTTCCCAGGCTGTAGGCATCAGAAGAGGAATGGTAAGCAGCAATGGCAGTATGGTCTGGTGGCAAAACCCTGAGGTTAGAAGTCAAGGACTTTGGTTCCCACCCTTGCTCTGCAGACAATTACATTTGGACTTTCAGGAAATCAACAAGTTTGTTGCCATCCAATTTCCTGTCCTATAAGATGAATCAATGATTGGAAGCAACTTGAAAAGTCATCTTGTTCTACGTCTCATTTTCCAGAAAAGGAAAGAGAAGAAGCACGAGGGAAGCCTAACGAAAACTTCCAACCTCATGGCAGAAATGATTGGGAAAAGGCTTTGTCTACAAAGTAAGACTTGTATCAGGGGATTGCTCTTATTAAAATAGTTCCAGGCCAGTCATGGTGGCTCATGTTTATAACACTTTGGGAGGCCGAGGCAGGAGGATCACTTGAGGCCAGGAGTTTGACACCAGACCACCCTGGGCCACATAGCAAGGCTCTTTTTTTTTTTTTTTTTGAGACAGAGTCTCATTTTGTCGCCTAGGCTAGAGTGCAGTGGTGCAAACTCGGCTCACTGCAACCTCCATCTCCCAGGTTCAAGCGATTCTTCTGCCTCAGCCTCCTGGGTAACTGGGACTACAGGAGCATGCCACCATGCCCGGCTAATTTTTGTATTTTTAGTAGAGACGAGGCTTCACCATATGGGCCAGGCTGGTCTCAAACTCCTGGCCTCATGATTAGCCTGCCTCGGCCTCCCAAAGTGCTGGGATTACAAGCGTGAGCCACCATACCCAGCTGACCCTGTCTTTACAAAAAAATTAACAGTTAGCTGAATATGGTTGTGCATGCCTGTAGTCCCAGCTACTCAGGAAGCTGAGGCAGGAGGATCACTTGAGCCCAGGAGTTTGAGGCTGCAGTGAGCCGTGATTGCAACACTGCATGCCAACCTGTGAAACAGAGTGAGACCCTATCTCAAACAATAAACTGGGCCAGGCGTGGTGGCTCAAGCCTGTAATTACAGCACTTTGGGAGGCCAAGGCAGGCGGATTACTTGAGGTCAGGAGTTCAAGACCAGCCTGGCCAACACCGTGAAACCCCGTCTCTACCAAAATTACAAAAATTAGCTGGGCATGGTGGTGCACGCCTGTAATCCCAGCTATTTGGGAGGGTGAGGCAGGAGAATTGCTTGAATCCAGGAGGTGGAGGTTGCAGTAAGCCGAGATCGTGCCATTGCACTCCAGCTTGGGCGACAGAGCAGGACTCTGTCTCAAAGAAAAAAAGAAAAAAATAATAATGAATGAATTCATCTAATTAAATTACATACTTCCTCATAATTTTTGGGAAACAGTCTGTCAAAAAAACAAGATGGGCTGGGCATGCTGGCTCACGCCTGTAATCCCATCACTTTGGGAGGCCCAGGCAGGCAGATCACAAAGTCAGGAGTTCGAGACCAGCCTGGCCAATACTGTGAAACCTTGTCTCTACTGAAAAATACAAAATTAACTGGGCATGGTGGCATGCACCTGTAATCCCAGCTACTTGGGAGGCTGAGGCAGGAGAATCACTTAACCTGGGGGGCGGAGGTTGCACTCCAGCCTGGGCAAAAAGAGCAAAACTCCATCTCAAAAAACAAAACAAAACAAACAAAAATATAGAGAGCTATGTATAAAGTATGCTACCATGTGCACATTTGTTGTTGCTTATAAAGAAGAGTGTTATATAATCATTATATAATCACATATGTTTGTGTATGCATAGACTATCTTTGCTAGCAGCAATTGCTTCTGGAGAACAGAACTGGGGCATATAGAATGTGGGGGAGTGTATAGAGGAAGAGGGACAAGCTGAAGAGGCGAATGAGGAAGGCACGAGCCAAATCTTTCTGTTCCCTCTTGCTTACTGGCCAGACCAAAAAAAAGAACTTTCAGTTTCAGTGAGAAAATCTGAATTAATTCCTTTGTTCTTTCTCTTTCTTCCCTAAGTAACTTAATTAAGATAGAAGCAATTGGTGCCTTATTGCTCGCTGGCCCTGGCAAGTGATCACAAATTAATCCACATAGGGAAGTTGTGAGAGATTCTGGGAGCCTCCTAGGCTTGGAATCAGCTCCCAGCCCTCTGTCCTATTGGGAGCAAAACTTGAGCAAGATGCAAATTTCCAATAAGAAGAAAGACCTAGGCAGCAAGAGGTGAGTTGTGTGTGTATGTGAGGTTGACACCATTTCCTTTTCCCACAAGCCCATTGACAAAAGACTGTCCTAGTGCCAGCTGTTGCCATCCTGTAGCCTCTCTCCATTTTTTTTTTTTTTTTTTTTTTTTGAGACAGGATCTTGCTGTGTTGCCCGGGCTGGAGTGCAGTGGCATGAGCATGTCTCACTGCACCCTTGAACTTCTGTGCTAAAAGCTTCTGCCTCAGCCTCCCAAGTAGCTCAGACTACAGGCACATGCCACCATGCCTGGCTAAGTTTTTATTTTATTTTCTGTAGAGACAGGGTCTCTTTCTGCTGCCCAGGCTGGTCTTGAACTCCCGGCCTCAAGCGATCCTCCTGCCTGAGCCTACCAAAGTGCTGGGGTTATAGGCAAGAGCCACCATTCTCAGCCCTCTTTCCATTAGCGTCAGTCCGATGGGCTCACCGTCACTGGTGCGTTTGCAAAAAGCAAGAATGAACCAAAAGTTAACTCCACTGCAAGCTCCAAGCCTTCTTTCAGTAGTGCCTATTACCCCTCTTTTTGCTGAAAATATTCTTCTTCCTTCTCATCTCCCTTGATGCCTTGGAAGAACGTTAATTAGGCTGAAAAGAGTCAAGCCTATTCAGATTTATAAATGGACCAGTATGAAGGTATGTTCCAATGAAATGCTGTCTGAAATTCTACATACATATGGGAAAGATAAAGCGGAATTTCATTAAGCTTCATAGAAAGAACATTTAGCATTAATGAATTAAAACAATAATAATAGCCAACATTTGTAGGGAAATTCCATATCTCCCCTAATCTTTAATGTTATTTGTATAATGATACAATTGCTAGGCCAACTCAGGGTACCTTGGTGTAGAGCCGTAATGAGAGACCGCTATGCTCTTAGCTGATTATGCATTGATTTGTATTTCCAGTTGGCCTCCTTGTACAGTCACCAGGATGAACAAGATGTCATTCAATCAGCAATTATGCTCCAGGCAGCCAGATAGCCAATTATTATCACCTTTGGTTCTGTAATATGTGGTGAAGCAGATGTCTCGAAATTGGTTAAGTACTCAGAATTTATCCCAGCCTTGAAAATAAACGCAGCGCATGCTGTGTTCTTAGGTGTGCTGGCTATGACTGGTCATCTCTCACTGTGATTTTGAAGTGTGACAAAACAGATTTCCCACAAAGGGGTTAAACATAGGCAATGTGGGAAGGAATCTATACTCCAAGTTCCAGTTGTTGAAAATGCAGCTGTTGCTCCCGGGGCTGAGGACCATTGTCCAACAGAACAGGAACGTGATTCTCTCTCCTGTCCACGCTTGTATCTGCACACCCTGCCTAGAGAGAGCTGAGCACAAATCCGGATGAGGGTGTTTCACAGATGAGTACAAAAATGCTTGATGATAAGGTCTTATACCTAGAAAACCCTGAAGACTCCACCAAAAAAATTCCTACATTTGATAAATGAATTCAGGAAAGTTTCAGGATACACAATAAACATACAAAAATCAGTACCATTTATTCATATCAGTAACAATCAAGCTGAGAACCAAATTAAGAAAACAATCTCATTTACAATAGCTACCAAAAAAAAAAAAATACCTAGGCATATATTTAACCAAAGAGGTGAAAGATCTCTGTAAGGAAAACTACAAAACACTCCTGAAAGAAATCAGAGATGACCCAAACAAATGAAAAAATATCCCATGCTAATGGATTGGAAGAATCAATATTGTTAAAATGACCATACTGCCCAAAACAATCTGCAATCTGCAATCTACAGATTCAGTGCAATTCAAAATGCCAATGTCATTTTTCACAGAATTAAAAAAAAACCCCTAATATTCATATGAAATCACCAAGTAGCCAAAACAATCCTAAGGAAAAAGAACAAAGCTGAAGGCATCATATTACCTGACCTCAAATAATATTACAAGGCTGTAGTAACCAAAACAGCATGGTACTGGTATAAAAACAATTGCATAGATTAATGGAACACAGAAAAGAGAACCCAGAAATAAAGCTATACATCTATAGCCAACTGATCTTAGACAAAATTGACAAAAGCATAAAAAAACAAAAACATATAACATATAACAAAAACATAAAAAAAAAATGTTTGGTAAATGACTGCTTTGCATTTCTCCTCTCTCTGGCCCAAAGCAAACCTTTTTTTTTTTTCTTGAGATGGAGTTTTGCTCTTGTTGCCCAGGTTCAGTGACTGCAGTGGCGCCATCTCGGCTCACTGCAACCTCCACCTCCCGGGTTGATACGATTCTCATGCCTCAGCCTCCCAAGTAGCTGGGATTACAAGCGTGCACCACCATGCCTGGCTAGTTTTTTGTATTTTTAGTAGAGACGGGGTTTCACAATGTTGTCCAGGCTGGTCTCGAACCCCTGATCTCAGGTGATTCACCTGCCTTGGCCTCCCAAAGTGCTGGGATTACAGGTGTGAGCCACTGTGCCCGGCACAAAGCAAGCTTTTGAAACCTGATGCTGATGCCTAAACCTTTTAGTCATCATCTTCTTATGCATTGGCGATTCAATGGACATTTAGAAAGCCAGCTCACAGGCAAAAGGTAAAATTGCAAGTAAATACTTGATGAAAAAAGCCGTTTTGGAGGCAGATGGGAATATGCATTAAATCAAAGAACCTTCTAACAATTCCAAAATGGAACGTGCTTCCTTTCAGCAGAGAGTGGATAAGTAAGAGAGACTAGAATCTTCTCTCACTTATGTCTCCTTCAGGGCCCAGCACAGTTGCTTGCCCAGAGTTGGTCCTCATAAAACTTCAACTCTCCATTAATAGGCCCGCTCTCCTGCTGGGCACATTCCCTCCTGGGTGCCCATGGGGCAGGGCATCAAGCAATCTTTACTGCTAGTCACATTGCAGACCTATGAAAAATATCCCCCAGGCCCGCCAGAAAACACTGGCTTTCATATTGAGTTACACCACAGAAACTTGCTGTCAATAAAAGACCAAATTCCTTGTGTCTGCCAGACAGTGAGCATGCATCAGCAAGGAACCCAGGGGACTGACAGAATCCCTTCCAGGTCCCACTGTGGTGCTCGGTGACATGGCAGTCATCAGTAGAAACTTAGCTCAAGGGGCACTGGCTGATCCCCAGATGAGAAGCATCTCTCCAAGGCTAGGCAAATTCCCATCAGGTCCAGTAAATTCCTGGTACGATCTCCATCATCTGCTTTTGAATATTTCACAGACCTCAAGGAAAACACAAAGGAGGTGGTGACAATCAGAAGATGAGGCACTAGCATTGGTTGTGGGACCTCCAGCAAGCACGTTCATCTACCCATCTAACTTGCCAGGTGCTTAAATAAGATCATCTCTAAGGCTTGAGCTGGAAAAGCTCTGTATACATTCTGCAGTGCATTCCAGTGCTTCCATCCAATTCCCGAAGCAGGAATTATCAAAGTGGCTGGAAGTTGCTTTCTTTGTTTTTGTTTGTTTGTTTTAGAGACAGGGTCTCACTCTGTTGCCCAGGCTGGAGTGCAATGACATGATCATAGCTCATTGCAGACTTGCAATCCTGGGCTCAAGCAATCCACCTGCCTCAGTCTTTGAAGTAGCTGGGACTGCAGGCATGAGTCATCACATCCAGCTAATTTTTGTTTTTAGAGATGAGGTCTTGTAATGTTGCCCAGGCTGAGCTTTCAGGACATGATTATTCTATTCTAACTATACTCAAGCCTGACAGCCCCACTGCCCATCTTCTCATAAGGGGGTGAGTAGTGCATTCCTTTGGAATTCACTTGGGGCTTCCTTGCTCCTCTTGAGCTGATTCTCTGGTGACTCATCCTAGGGTGCAACTTTTGGCCTCCCAGGTGAACAGTTCTGCAAGTCCTCAGTGCACACAGAGCTCTCAGCCCCGAACTTCCCCTCATAGTTCTCTCTCACGACCGCTTCCTCAGCCACCAACACTATTGATCAGCTCTTAGCAATCATCCCCATTTCTCTCCATTAGAGTTCCAATTTATTTCAAAAGAATGGTTTTCCCAGCCTGGCCAATATGGTGAAACCCCATCTCTACTGAAAATACAAAAATTAGCCTGGCATGGTGGCGGATGCCTGTAGTCCCAGCTACTCGGGAGGCTGAGGCAGGAGAATCGCTTGAACTCCAGAGGCGGAAGTTGCAGTGAGCCGAGACGGCACCACTGCACTTCAGCCTGGGCGACAGAGTGAGGCTCTATCTTAAAAAAAAAAAAGAAAAAGAAAAAAAAAAAAGAGAGAATGGTTTTCTCCAAATGGAATTTGTTAACTAGAACTCAATTCATATTGACTATGTGAGTATCTCATGAAAATTATCAAAAGCTGTATACCTTTAACCAAGAGCAGGTCCAAGTTTTGTTGGGCCTGATCTAGGGTGATATGAAATTAGGCACAGGCAGCTAAGCTATGAATACGCAAAGGCATACAGAGTGAAATAATGGGGGAGGGTGGGGCTGAGCACAGTGGCTCACACCTGTAATCCCAGCACTTTGGGAGGCCAAGGTGGGCAGATCATTTGAGGTCAGGAGTTCCAGACCAGCCTGGCCAACATGGCGAAACCCCGTCTCTACTAAAAGTACAAAAATTAGCTGGGCATGGTGGTGCATGCCTGTAATCCCAGCTACTGGGATTATCGAGGCTGAGGCATGATAATTGCTTGAACCTGGGAGACGGAGGTTGCAGTGAGCCAAGATCATGCCACCGCACTCTAGCCTGGGTGACAGAGTGAGACTCCTTCTCAAAAAAAATAAAATAAAGGGGGGGAGGTGTGTGGGGTGAAAAACTACACATTGAGTGTAACATACACTACTCAGGTGATGGGTCCATTGAAGTTTTATAATTCACCACTACATAACTCATTCATGTAACCAAAAACCCCTTCTACTCCAAAAGTCACTGAAATAAAAAATACATTAAAAAAAATCAGGCACAGGGCTATGGAGGGGCCCATGCAAGTGAGGAGCCCTGAGGCTGAAGCTTCATTAGCTTCATGGTCAGTCTGCCTCTGCCCTTACCAGAGGGGCAGAAAAGGAAATTGTTTCCTCTGCAGTGTTGATCTCTCACTTACAAGCAGCAACGTACGAGGGAGAACATGTGTACTGGAGCCAGAAAGGACTGGGTTTAAATACCAGCTGTTTCTTCACTTGCTTTGCGGTCTTGAGGATAACGTTACTTACCCTCACTATGCCTCAATTTCCTTCTCTGAGAAAAAAGAGGTAGCAATGCATATTTCATGTGTGTTTACATGGATTACAAGGGATGGCATGTTTTACACAACACATGTAAAAGTGTTTAATACTATTTGCTATGTAGATGACAGACTTCCATTCAACAGTTTTCACTAGAGTTGATGTATGTGAGTTAAAGCCACCTTCTACAATGGCTAGTTATTAGCTTGCCACATAACAATGGGCAAAGAGTATGCAAGCGTGTATTCAAGGATAGTATAAATATATAAAAACAGGGTGCAAAATAGAACCACATAACCCTAAACCAGTGGCACACAATTATTATTTTATTTTTAGCAGGGACAAGGCCTCCCTCTGTTATCCAGGCTGGAGTGTAGTGTGGCATGATCTTGGCTCACTGCAACCTTCGCCTCCCAGGCTTAAGTGATCCTCACATCTCAGCCACCTGAGTAGCTGGGACTACAGGCATGCACCATCACACCTGGCAAATTTTTGTATTTTTTGTAGAGATGGGATTTCATCATGTTGGCCAGGCTGGTCTTGAACTCTTGGGCTCAACCAGTTTTCCCGCTTCAGCATCCCAAAGTGCTGGGATTACAGGCACAACCACAATTGTTTTTTCTACCTCAATGTACCGGGGGATGCAAACCATTCCAGCTGACAATAGCTTCATACAAGAGCAATAGAAAAGGAGTGTATTAATACAATTTGCAAAGCTCCTGGTATTTTTTGCCTTCTTATGATACACATTTCCTTCCAATCTATAACTCAACTCCTATAGCCCATCCTCAGTCCCAGCTGAGAATCACAGGCTTCACAACAACTAAGGCAAAATACTGAATTTATTCAGTTGATTTGACCAACCACATTGGACAAAAGTATTGGGTTTTATTTGCATAATGTAAAAACATACTTTACATAAGACTACTCACATACTTTACAATGTTACAAATATATATATGTATGAAAGATTCATGAAGGCATTTGATATAAAACATACACAGTATGCTATTTTAATATACAAATGCTTAAAAGAAAATTTAGTCATAAGAATTACAAAATCATCAATAATTTACAAAAGTTTTCATTTTTCTTAAAGGTCACATTCTCATCCTTTGGGATGTACAAAAATTATGTGGTTTACACAGTTTTATCCACATTCAAAACATCACGTTTTGAATGTCTTCAGCATAGCATGTACAGTATAAAATGTTTCCATAGGAACACAAAAGAAACTGTCACTAGTGGCCTGCTGTCAGATGGCTTCTAATTCATCAGTTAGCCATTTTTAGGACACTAGTCCAGCTTATTGCTACAATCTTCAAGTTGTTCTAGTCACCCAAATTATAATGAATTCAATGTATACCAGAATTTACCAATAAAGGCTCAAAGAGTTATATAATATACACCAATATACACAAAACAGCTATTCTGAGTAAAATGAATATTCCATACTTAAATAAGAACCAAGAATAGTAATTTTAGGCTACTCTATTATCCTTGTGATTGGTATTTTTAAAATTTTGAGCAAAGTGCACAGTGAATGAAACAGTCAGCAGACACGATCCTTCTGTGAACTCTCAAATTCCTGCCTTAGAATCACGTCACCTGAGAAATGAGAACCTTGAGACCTGGTGCATATCAAATAGCTTCACATGTCAAACACACAGGGCCGCTTGGAGGCACATTCACGGGTCACAGGAGGTCACACTGCTCCTTCGAAAATGGCACCATTCACTGTACAGGGCCCCTGTGTAGAGGCAGCAGAACCAGCCTCCAGGAGATCAATGCTGTCTTAATTTAGAGCAAACATGGCATCCTTCAGCCATATTCAAGCGTTGGTGGTCCCCGAACAAGATTGAAGTAGCCAGCCAGAGCGCCGAGGTCGATGTAGAGAGAGCGTTGCCTCTTGAGCATCTCAGATTCCTCGGTGCTTCCTGTGCACGAAGAATCTGAAAAGGAAAACATTACAAAGTAAGTAACAAGAAAACGTGTCAAATGATAAATACCTGTTCCTTCTGCAGTGAAATAAATCTTTGGGGCCTAATAAAACAGTGTCTTAAGCGTGAAAGATGGGTCTTTGAACACTATGGCTAAGTTCACATAATATGACATAGAACAAAAAGTTCAAACAGGAGTCAATGGAGACAAGAAATTAGTTAGAAATCCTGGCATATTTTTCCAACAGCCAGATTGCTCTCTTTAAATACACAAAAGTTAGACAAGCAGCAAAGAAATATAAACAAGCGCACCAGGCTTGACATCTCGGTTTGGACCTAAATGGATTAAGAATGCCACAGACTTTTAATAAAAATGGAAATCCCTCTTTATGCATATTCAATGCTCCTGGAAAGCATACTGACTTTCCTAAGTGGGAAAAATTTACAACTGGCAAGATTTTAAGCCAAGGAAGATGGAAATGCAAGTTGACTTCAAACTGAGTATTTTATCTGTGCAGGGCAGTGCCATGATGTTCCCCCACCAAGGACTGGGGTGGCTTAATATAAATGAGTTAGGCTGGGCATGGTTGCTCACGCCTGTAATCCCCACACTTTGGGAGGCCAAGGCAGGTGGATTGCCTGAGGTCAGGAGTTCGAGACCAGCCTGGCCAACACGGTGAAACCCCATCTCTACTAAAAATACAAAAATTAGCCAGACGTGGTGGTGGGCACCTGTAATCCCAGCTACTCAGGAGGCTGAGGCATGAGAATCACTTGAAACCGGGAGGCAGAGGTTGCAGTGACCCAAGATCATGCCACTGCACTCCAGCCTCGGCAACAGAGCAAGACTCCATCTCAAAAAAAAAGAAAAAAAAAGTGAGTTAAGAAGAACCAACTGCAAAGCTGTCATGCTCAATCTGTTTTCAAAGACAAAAGTTGTAAAAAAGCAAGTTGCAAAAAAGCAAGTCAGAAGCATTTTCCAGTGACTGTGCTACCTACACTTGCACTGAAAATCTGTTATAATTTGGTGCTAAATTAGCCAATTTAAAAAAAAAAACATGCTTCTGCTAATCTTGCTGAAATTTCTCAAGCAAGGTATGGTACTCAAGAAGTCATTTCCTTTTTTTCCAAGTGCTTTCATGAACTACATCAGAGGTTTGATGTGGACAGAAAGAGAAGGGAAGTAAGTGTGCGGCACACAGCAGGGTGTCCCTACCAGCAATGTTCTCAGGAAGTTCCAGCTCCTTCCTACTCAGCAGCCTCTTGCGCTCCAAGAGGGCAGAGTCCAGACTCTGACAGCGTGGCTGATCCTCTCTGGGCGGGTTCAGGGCCTCATGTTTTAGTAGGTCTGCGGCTCTTGGGCGGTGATTGGGGTTTCTCTCCAGGGAAGCTTCTATCAGCTCTCTCATCCCTGGACTGCAGTCATCTGCAATGTCTTCCAGTGGAGGTGCTTGCTTGTGGATCTATCAACAAACCAGCTCTCTTAGCATCAAAGGTATGGTGATACACCCTCAACAGCAAAAGCATGCTAGTACCAGGACCTAGAAAGTAATCCGTTTTCCACCACATGCCCTGCAACGAATGCAGTTCAGCCCTTAAGCAAGCAAGCTTCCCTTTAATTTCTTTTTTCTTTTCCTTTTGAGACAGGGTCTTTGCTCTGTCATCCAGGCTGGAGTACAGTGGCACCAACACAACTCACCGTAGCCTCGAACTCCTGGGCTCAAGTGATCCTCTCACCTCAGCCTCCCATGCAACTGGGACCACAGGGCATACACCACCACACCTAGCTAATTTTTTTAATTTTTTGTAGCGATGGGGTCTTGCTTTGTTGCCCAGGCTGGTCTTGAATTTCTGGGCTCAAGAGATCCTTTTGTTTTGGCTTTCTAAAGTGCTGAGATTACAGGCGTGAGCCACCGTGCTTGGCCCACTTTAATTTCTAAAGGATACCAGGTTAAACCCATCTTCTGATTTAATGTTACAAAAGATAAGTGATAGGTTTGAATGTCAGTGACAGCTTCAAATCAGTGTCCCAAAAGTCACTGTGCAGTAACAGGGAAGTGTCTGCTCCTGAATTTATCAACAGTAAAATGGGAATTGCATGTTCCACTACAAGCCACACTGGTGTGAACATTAATAATAAAAAATGTTTTAACTGTTCAAAGAACACATACAACTTCCTTTGCTGAAATATTTATGCTACTCTGATGCTACTAAGTAGTGTTGCATTATTACACATACAATGGAATAGCATAAATTATGCCCAATGCACATTTTAGTAAGCTCCCACTAAAATAGCTATGTTTTCTTTGCAAGAATGGAGCTTGCTTCTACATGGGAAGAACTTGTAGCTACCTGTCATTTCACCATTGCCTCATTCAGATGGGGGTGGTATAGAAGGCAGAGCAGTCCCTCCCAAGCCTGCGGGATGCATAACTCAACGCCCCCCCCCGCCGCCCCCAGCCCTGGTTGAACCCCACTTACTATGTACAGGTAGGAGGGATAGGCTGAGCGAGGGTAGCGCTTCACCCAGGGTGGGGTGCCCGTCTGCATGTGGATGAGCGTGGCCCCCAGGCTGTAGATGTCTGCTTTGGTTGAATGGCCCCTGCACAGGATGACCTCTGGGCTCATGTAAATCTGAAAAAGAAGTGGGAAACATTCAGCTTCATTCCCCTCCTTTGTGTGGGTTTCCATTTCCCTAATCCAGTTCTGGAAATTGGCTCATTTGCCTTAAACTAGGAGAATAATGCAGGCATTCCCCAGGAACCATGCAGCAATTGCTGGAGGTGTCCCTGCAGTCTGATGAAGAACACCTGGCCGGGCGCGGTGGCTCACACCTATAATCCCAGCTGAGGTGGGCGGATCAGGAGTTCAAAACCAGCCTGGTCTCTACTAAAAATACAAAAATCAGCTGGGCATGGTGATGGGCACCTGTAATCCCATCTACTTGGGAGGCTGAGGCAAGGAGAATCGCTTGAGCTCGGAAGGCGGAGGCTGCTGTGAGCCGAGATCGCACCACTGCACTCCAGCCTGGGAGACAGAGCGAGACTCAGTCTCAAAAAACAAAACAAAACAAAACAAAACACCACCTTTTTCTGGTTGATCTGGTGGCAAAGAGCCTAGAACCAGGAATCTATCAGGGACTCCCACTCATCAAAGTTCTGCAGTACACTGATCAGGTGTAGCTAAGTTTTCAACTAAAACGCCAATTCCTTTTATATTTAAATGAACTACAAACAGACTTCTTTATCTGTTTGTCATTACACTGCTAACCTTCTAAATATCTGCAATGATAAAAGGTGATAGAAGTCTATAGGGTATTAACACAAATTTCTTGAAAGGGAAAAACTTAAAAAATAAAGTGTAATATTGTAGAAGTGATTCTAAAGAGTCATTTTTACAAACTATCTGTTATTTTTACCTACTATGTAGCCCAGTGACTAAATATTAAATGCAGCCATATTAACATTGTATAAGTTATATTTGGTCTCATGAGTCCATGCTGAATAAACAGGGCTGGTTTTATAAATAGTTTCTCTAACGAGCATTTATTTCTAAACTTAAGAAAGAAACAAAGAGAGGTGGGGCATGGTGGCTCATGTCTATAATCTCAGCACTTTGGCTTTTTTTTTTTTTCGAGATGGGGTCTCCCTCTGTCACCCAGGCTGGAATGCAATGGTGCGATCTCGGTTCACTGCAACCTCTGCCTCCCGGGTTCAAGCTATTCTCCTGCTTCGGCCTCCCAACTAGCTGGGATTACAGGCATGTGCTACCACGCCTGGCTAATTTTTGTATTTTTAGTAGAGATGGGGTTTCACCATGTTGGCCAGGCTGGTCTCGAACTCCTGACCTCGTGATCCACCTGCCTCGGCCTCCCAAAGTGTGGGGATTACAGGCGTGAGCCACTGAATCTCAGCACTTTGGAAGGCCGAGGCAGGAAGATTGCTTGAGCCCAGGAGTTTGAGACTAGTCTGGACAAGATGGAGACCCCCCATCTTTACAAATTAATTAGTTACCTAATTTAATTAAACATTTTTTTAAAAAGGAACAGAGCAAACACTGGTGACCAGTGATTTGTATTCATGGCTGGTGCAGACATATAGTAGTTAATATCCTGATTATCAGTATTTCGCTTGAAACAGCTTGTACACTGTCTGCCATGTGAATAAGAGAATGGAGGTCAGTGTTTCCGGAACACATTTCAGGGTAAGTAATTAGAGAACTAGCTTACAAAAACCAGAGAAACTGCCCAGTCTCCCCACCCTAACCCTGCTCAACTCCTTCCTGCAAGCCACTTCCGGGCCAGCTTCCTTTTGCTCTCAGCAAACAGGTGAAACTGAGCTCCCGTTCTCAAGCTTTCCCTGCAGCAGAGCCAGAGGACTTTCCAGAAGGACTTTGCTACTAAATATATCACAAACTTAAAAAATTAATGCACAACATTGTACCTATAGTCAACAATAGTGTATTGTATACTTAAAAATGTGTTGAGAGGGTAGAGTTCATGCTAAGTGTTCTTACCACAATCAAATAAAAAAGAAAAAGAAATGCAATGGGTATTATTAACTGTCCATAGAGGATGCCTATCTTCTCTCCTGTACCCCCTCCTCCCTGCCAATAAAGCAAGGATTGGGCGGAGTGCCCACTGCTGGTGTAGCCCACAGGGGTTGTGCAGAGGTGGCTCTGCAGGTTCTATGTGACTGCACGCCTAGGCAGCCTGGGGGGATGGAACATCTGTAAGCCTGGTGGCCTGGGTGCTGCCACTCAGGTAGAAACCCCAGAGCTTCCTGGCTCGGAGCTCTTGTTCCTCAAGCTCTACCAACTACCAGTTAGATCAGGGAGCAGCAGGGCATAATGTTCGAGCACTCTGGCTGATTAGAAGGCATGAAACAGCCCTGGTGGGACCAACACAGGGCTCTCTGAGAGTTCTGCACCCTCGGGGCAGGGCACTGGAGCAAGAGAAAACCTTGATGTCAGCGATCGAACCCTTCACCTTTCAATATGTTTATTAGAAAGGGAAAGAGACCGTGTGTGTGCGTATATGTGCATGTGATGACTATATGTTAACTTACAAAGGTAAAACCAAGCAGACTTAGAAGGATTTTTCAAAAAGGACCAAGTTCTAAAAGTAATTCTGATTTGTTATTCGCATTCACTATGTATTCTCTCTCTGTACCTTGCAACTCAAAAACAGTCTATTCTGTATATGCTGGATTAACCCTGGATGTGTATTACATGGTTACAATAGAATGCTCTGAATACCAATGCTTAGAGAGAGCAATCAAACAGGGGTAACCAGGGTTTGCATTTGGGAGCTATACTGCAGAAATCAGAAATTGTCTATGACTGTGCAGTAGCCACATGATCAAATTCTAACATCAGCCAGTCTGCACAGTTGACTAATTAGATCTCCTGGCTCTTTAAGTAGGAAGGGTAAAAGCAAGCTTGTTGAAAGGTTTCACTGGTCACTTCACAACTTTGTTCATTATCAAACTTCAACTCGTGTGTACTAGGCAGATATTAAATGCAGGCTGATTAGAAGAGAGTTTATATTTATAAACACCAAGGCACAGTTTTGCACTTCACAAAAAGCAATTTGCATTTGCCAAAAAAAACCTGATCCAAATACTACTCAGGAGTAAAATATGTTATTATCTCATATCCATGCATTCCGCTAGACAGCCCCAGAAAGAACACTTCTTTCTCCAATGTTGCAAAATGTTCAACTTCACCACATTGCCAGGAAGAGAAAAGTATTTTCCATCTTTAATACCATAAATAGTTTGTTTTTCAAACTGGTTCCAGGAAAAAGGGTGGTGGAATATTACATATCTGAACTCCTGACTAATGCCAAATATGCTGAAACATTTTCCAAAGAAAACATGTCGTAAGCATTAAGTCTTATTAGACCTCACACTTTGGTAAAGTATTCTTAAGATCTGGGGACTAAGCATTCTTAAAAAAAAAAAAAAAGTACAGCTTCCCTTCTGAATATTGTTCTGCTCAAAGACAACCGTCAAGAATCCTCGCTCGAGCATTTTCAATAATAACTTCAGTAATATTCACAAAAGCAAGGATTTCTTCTGCTGCCCGGGAGAGTGCTGGCTTTGAGAGAGTTGAGAAAGGACTTACAGAATCTTGGCGTTTTTTTTTTTTTTAGGACAAGGTCTTGTTCTATTTTCCAGGCTATGGGTGCAGTGGCATAATCACAGCTCACTGCAGCCTCATCCTGGGCTCAAGCAATCCTCCCACCTCAGTCTCTTGAGTAGCTGGGACTACAGACATGCACCACCATGCCATTTTTACAAAAAGTAAAGTTTTTGTTTGTTTGTTTGTTTACTTTTTGTAGCGATGGGGTCTCACTATGTTGCCCAGGCTGGAAGAATCTGGTTTGAAAGGAAGACAATTTTTTTGTGGCTGCAATCCAGTTCAGTGCAACACGTATACTAGCTAGACTAGACTAAGGGTTGTCATCTGATTGAACACCAAGACTGACCTGGTAATCCTGACATAGAGGTGCAGCCAAAGACCCTCTCTCTATTTCCTATGGGCACTTCCAGCAAAGAGAAGGGCATGGGGCTGAGTGGCTCAGGCAGTGCAGCTTCCCCCGGTAGTGGTGAGGGGCCAAGGAGGCAGCTTTTACACCCATTTACCTTCCTGCTTGCATCCAACCTTGTGCCCATCACAATCAACTGTGAACTAAACTGTTGTGCATGCTTTCTTTCTTTCTTTCCTTCTTTTTCTTTCCTTCCTTCCTTTTTCTTTCTCCTTCCTTCCTTCCTTCCTTCCTTCCTTCCTTCCTTCCTTCTCTCTCTCCCTCCCTCCCTTCCTTCTTTTTTTCTTTTTTTTTTTCAAAAGAGATGAGGTCTGACTCTATTGCTCAGGCTGGTCTCGAACCCCCAGGCTCAAGCAAACCACCCCCACCTCCTTGGCCTTTCGAACGGTTGGGATTACAGGTGTGAGAACACCACGCCCATCCCTAAACGGTTGCTCTTTTAATAATTCAGGTAATTTAAAGTAAGTCCTCCCACCAAAGAGTGAGGATCGCTGGAGTACCACTAAGGCTTGCTCCTCACTGCCTTGTGTCATGCTTCCTCGTTGGTGCTCACAAGAACCTGCCACATAGCAGATGCCCAGTGGACACTGGCTAATTGAATCACCCAGTCAGCCTAATGATGTGAATGTTAAATACATTACTTGGAAGCCCGCGAACGCATTTTTCAGAATCTCATTTAGAGTCAGGAAAGAAAGGCTTTTCTGGGTCGTTTTTTGCTTCACAGATGAGTTAAACATGAGTGCTGTTTTACATCTTTAAATAAGATACATTTATGCTCACTACTTGAGGTTTATTATAGAATTCCTAGGCTCAAAGAGAGGCCTTTAGAGTCCTCATAAATATTAATGACCATAGTTAAGACTGTCATTGAGCCAAAACTCAGTGATATTAGTTATATCACTAATATATTTTAATAATGTATGTAATATTATAATTTTTTAAAGTTATGTAGCAGTTAGACCTTAGGGTTAGACTTAGAAAGAACTGGGTTCAAGTCCAGGGTCTGTCACTGAGTGACTCTGGACACTTTATTTTAATCTCTGCAAACTTATTTCCTTGATTGTAAAATAAGAATAACAATAGCAACAACTGGGTTGTTGTAAGGATTAAATAACATACTGCTTTTTAAGTGCTAAACTTATTATAAAGTTAACTCTAATTCTATAATTATTATTAAAGCTGAACTGTGGGCCAGACACGGGGGCTCAAACCTGTAGTCCCAGCACTTTGGGAGGCTGAGGTGGGAGGATCACTTGAGGCCAACAGTTCATGACCAGCCTGGCCAACATAGTGAAACCTGCATCTCTACTGAAAAAAAAAAAAAATTAGCTGGATGTGGTGGCACATGCCTGTAATCTCAACTACTCAGGAGACTAAGAAGCGCTTGAACCCAGGAGGTGGAGATTACAGTGAGCTGAGATCATGCGCCACTGTCCTACAGCCTGGGCGATGGAGCAAGACTCTGTCTCAAAAACAAAAACAAAAACACACAAAATAAAGCCGAACTGTGGATATGATCTATTTTGGGGGGCTTTTTTTTTTTTTGAAGCAACATCTCGTTCTGTCATCCAGGCTGGAATGCCCATGGCTCACTGCAGCCTTGAACTCCTGGGCTCAAGCAATCCTCCTACCTCAGCCTCCCAACTAGCTGAGACTACAGGCGTGTACCACCACACTGAGCTAATTTTTTTTTTTTTTGAGATGGAGTTTCACTCTTGTTGCCCAGGCTGGAGTGCAATGGCACGATCTCGGCTCACCTCAACCTCTGCCTCCTGAGTTCAGATGATTCTCCTCCCTCAGCCTCCCGAGTAGCTGGGATTACAGGTGCCCGCCACCACGCCTGGTTAATTTTGTATTTTTAGTAGAGACGGGGTTTCTCCATGTTGGTCAGGCTTGTCTCAAACTCCCGACCTCAGGTGATCCGCCCATCTCAGCCTCCCAAAGTGCTGGGATGACAGGTTTGAGCCACCGTGCCCAGCCTAAACCAGTTTTTTTTTATAGAGATGGGGTCTTGCTATGATGCCTAAGCTTGTCTCAAAGTCCTGGGCTCAATTGATCCTCCCACCCCAGCCTCCCAAAGCACTGGGATTACAGGCATTAGCCACCACACCTGGCCAATGTGATCTATTTTGACATGACATTGTGTACAAATGTTCTATATTATATATATCAACATGTATATTATATTACAAATACTATTATGTATTATAAATAACATAGCAAAAAATACAATAAAAAATCAAGTGCTAAACTTAGTACTTGACACAGAGCAAGTGCTCATTAAATGTGTTCCAAGGAAAATAATGATTTAATGCAGTGGGTTTCTTCCCCTTCTTTGTCCTTCGTTCCCACAATAATTCTAGAACATTTTTTCCTTTTTATTCTTAATAAAATAGTAACCCTTTTCATGTGAACATAATTACCTCTGTTCCTCGGAGGTCCTTAGGAAAATAGACATCTTCGGTCATTTGAACACTTAGGCCAAAATCCACCAAAACAGCTTTTGTGGACATGAAAACAATGTTGCTAGCTAAAATGAGAGGAAATATTTTTAAGATAAAATTTTTTATATACCCATAAGTCAAATGAAAACATTATCTAAAACAATAATGAATCTCCAATCAGAAAAGACTGAAATGCTTCCTCTAGTGAGATGGTTGTATTATATTCAAAAGAGGAGAATGAAATTCAGAGTTGAGGTGAAAATCACTTTGGATCCATCAAGAATACAGCCAATGTGGGTATGAATGATTGTAGCCATTAATAATGTTCAAGAACTTGAATTTCAAACTCTAAGACATAAGCATACTGTTGTCAAGCCACTTTTCTAAAACAGAAAAGTAAAATACCCATCTTTTTTCCCAGTGAAAGTTGTGCCACTCTAATTTAGTACTGGCTATTAAAGGTTTACCTATTTCCTCATCATATCAGACTCCTAGAAAACAGTTAGTAAAGGTGTGTTTAATGGATTATTGTTACATTGGTATAAAAAATGAAAAAGGTATTTGTTTCTCAAAAATACTTGTCTCTGTGTTTGTATGTTTTTAAGTAAATTGCTTTTTTTTTTTTTTTTTGAGACGGAGTTTTGCTCTTGTCACCCAGGCTGGGAGAGCAATGGCGCCATCTCAGCTCACTGCAACCTCCGCCTCCCAGATTCAAATGATTCCCCTGCCTCAGCCTCCCAAGTAGCTGGGATTACCAGCACCCACCACCATGCCCAGCTATTTTTTTTTTTTTTTTGTATTTTTAGTAGAGACGGGGTTTCACCACATTGGCCAGGCTGGTCTCCAATTCCTGACTTCAGGTGATCAACTTGCCACAGCATCCCAAAGTGCTGAGATTACAGGCGTGAGCCACCGTGCCCAGCCTAAATTGCAATTTTAAAAGCCTTTTTAACAGAGCAGTACCTAATAGGTATGTAGCTATAACCTTTCAACAACTGTTGAAAGTAATCTTTCCTTATGACTTTGAAAGCTCTAGTAACCCCGCATGATTCTAAGATATGTCTCTGGAGAAGGAAGACGGACGGTGCTCTGAGGGAGCTTTCCACCCTCCATGGAGGGTCTTCAGATTACAGGAAGGAGCTTGTTTGTCTCCTGAATAACTAGTCTCTTTGAGCCAAAAAGGTATATGTCCAAAGATACTTACGTTTAATATCATGATGGATCACTTTCTTTGAGTGTAGAAAATCAAGTCCCTTGAGAACATGCTTTGTCACCCAAATAATTTCAAATTCTCTCATTGGTCCACAGCTCTCCAGTTTCTCCAGAACAGACCCTCCCTCGCCTGCTTCCATAAAGAGATGGACAGTTTCACCCCACAGGACTGCGCCATACAGCTCTGCGATGTTCTCGTGCCGGAAGCAAGCCTGGATTTCCACATCAGATGGCTTAAATTGATCTACTGGGATCTAGAACACAAAAATACAAGCGAGATTCTAAATAACCCCAAAGTCATCTTAAAAATATAAAATATAGGTCAATGCAAAAAACAAAAGGCAAATAAATGCCCTCAAGAATACTCTGCCCTGTGTGAAAATGGACTGCCCAGTTACAATAATGTTCACCTCAGATCTGCCTTTAACTATGTTAGTCAGCTTTAAGTATAAAATTCAGAACAAGAAAATAAAAAACAAAATAATGAGTTACTCTTTTCATTTAGAAGTCAGAAATCTATCCAAAGTTTTAAAATTATGAATGAATCAAAAAAGAGATAATTTCCCACCTATTAGACAACAGTATCTATGGTACCTTGAGTTTAGGTTGTATTTTCAATATTTCAGTTGGTTGTGAGATAATATGAAGTGTTTGTTGCCACAGTTCATACTCTATTATAGCAATGTATTTAAAATAAGCACTGAGGCTGGGCGGTGGCTCATGCCTGTAATCCCAACACTTTGGGAGGCCAACACAGGCAGATCACTTGAGGCTAGGAGTTCGAGACCAGCCTGGCCAACATGTCGAAACCCCGTTACTACAAAAAATACAAAAATTTGCCAGGCATTGGTTGTGCATGCCTGTAATCCCAGCTACTCTCTTATTACAATAAGAGAAACCAAGACATAATATTTGGCAATTATTTATTTTATTTTTTGTTAAATCAAAAGTGAGTGTATTTTATTTTGTTATACTTTTGAAAATTTAATTAAAGTAAAACAGACATACAAAAAAGTGTAAAAATGATGGGTCCAACTCAATGAATTATCAACTGAACGTACAAATGTAACCCCCATCTAAATCAAAATGAAAAACCATGTCAGGCCAGGCGTGGGGGTGAGTGCCTGTAATCCCAGGTACTTGGGAGGCTGAGGCAGAAGAATCGCTTGAACCCGGGAGACAGAGGTTGAGGTGAGCCAAGATTGCGCCACTACACTCCAGCCTGGGCGACAGAGCTAGACTCCGTCTCAAAAAGAAAAACAAACCAGAAAAAACACACAGATGTCTACTAGCATTCAAGAAGCCCCCCTCTTGGCCCCTTCCAGTCGCTACTCTCCAAGGGTACCCACCATCCTGACATCCAGTAGCACAGATTTTGTTTTGCCTGTTTTGGTCCTTTATATAAATAGAATCTCATACAGTAGATCTCATTTCGTGTCTGGCTATTTGGGCTCAACATAATGGTTATGAGATTAATCCACATTATTATAGTTGTAAATCATTTATTCTTTTTACTATCCAGAATTTCACTAAGTAAATATATCCCATTTCAGCATTTTGGAAGTTTCTAGTTTGGGACCCTTACAAATAGTGCAGATATGAACATGCTACCACATAGCTTTTAGTTTTTGGTGGCCACGTGGACAGGTCTCTGTGGAGTGAGTGCACCTACAGGAGAGGAATTGTTGAGTCATAGGGGGTGTGAATGCTCACCTTATGTAGATACAGTTTTCCAAAGTAGTGGCACCTTGGCAGTTATTGTTTAATAAGAAGGGATAAGGGCAGGGCGCGGTGGCTTATGCCTGTAATCCCAGCACTTTGGAAGGCTAGGCAGGTGGATCACTTGTAGTCAGGAGTTCGAGACCAGCCTGGCCAACATGGTGAAACCCGTCTCTACTGAAAATACAAAAAATTAGCTGGGCATGGTGGCAGGTGCCTGTAATCCCAGTTACTTGGGAGGCTGATGCAGGAGAATCGTTTGAACCCAGGAGGTAGAGGTTGCAGTGAGCCGAGACCCCGACACTGCACTCCAGCCTGGACAACAGAGCAAGACTCTGTTTCAAATAATAATAATAATAATAATAATAATAATAATAAATTTGGGATAGGGTCTTTTCAATCATTGATGTATTTAAATTCAGCCCTTTAAATCTGCCTTCCTGAAAAGGCTACCTCCTTCCCAGTTTCTGCCTCTGCCTGGCCCCCTCTGCAGTGGGCGGAATGAAAGGAGAAGCACAGAGAATTGCTCCTACTTTGCAGGATGGCTCTTCTCTACTTCTCTCCAAGAGTGATGATGTTATTTATCCAAATCAGTGCTTTAAAAACCAGCACTTATCCTTTTAATCATCTAGATTAAAATCAACTATGCACCTAAACAGAGATTTTAGGGCTGAATGGCCCCAAGTAGCCAATAAATTCAGAAAAACAAATGCTTTGAGGCAGTGCACCCTCAGATAAGACCCAATCAAACGATAAAAACCTTTGGTTAATGCAAATGGACAAAAAAACAAAAGCCAGAATGCCAAACACACAGTGTGGGTTATCTAGGTAGAAAACACATACCAGTTTACACGCCATTCTTTTCTTCGTCTTTATATCTTGTGCCAAGTATACCTTTCCAAAGGCGCCCCGAGGAATAAAATCAGAACCAATATTCCTGTAAGTCAGCTTCCAGGGGATCAGGAGAACATCGGAATCTATTTGGTAACGTCCATTTTGGGGAGTGATGACCTACAACAAAATAAAAATGTGAGACGGTGAGAACTTCAGTCAAGCTGGCTTTTTCTAAGACCCACCTATTAGGAAGCTGGTTATTTTAGCAGCATTCTGATACACAGTTATGAAATTAATGTCACTGTGCTTAATCCTACCAACTGTACAGAGACTATATTTAGAGCTTGAGGAAGTCAGAGAGAGCATGTAACAGATGCAGGTGCCTGGTCAGACCTGGTCATATTTCCACCTACTCATGAGTAATTAATTGCCAAATAGAACTTTAAAAATTATTTATCTAAAAAAGCATGACTACGGCAACCAAAAGGCTGAAAATAAAGATTGCGTAAATATAAACCGTGCCTGCAGGTTGACTTGTTTCTATTACAATGTGCGAACCTGTTAGTCCACATAGCTATTACTCACACATGACGCATACAGAGAAAGAACATCAAAATTAACTGATGATCATGGAAGATTTTGGAAAACCACAGCGTATGTCAGAGCTATGAGTTGACAATGCTATGTAAATTAAGTGAGGGCAGAATTACTTTGCATCTACTTGCTCACTTAATATCTATCGCATGCATTGTTATCTATTGCTTGCAAAATAGGTGCTAGGCACTGTGTTTGGTGCTGCGGAGGCAGCCACAAACGAGATGGCTGATCCCTGACCTCCCAGGGTTCATGAGCAAGCCAACTCTTAGAACTAGAAGTTTTGAAACTAGTTGATTCAAAAATTGAGAGACAGCTGGGAGCAGTGGATAACGCCTGTAATACTAGCATACTGGGAGACTGAGGCAGGAGGATATCTTGAGGCCAGGAGTTCAAGACCAGCCTAGGCAACATAGCGAGACTTCATTTCTACAGAAAAAAATAAAAACACAATATAAATTTTAAAATAATAAAACAAGAATTAAGAGGTCTATTCTGACAGCAATGTGGGTTTCAAGGGCACATGCATTTGTCAAAACTCGTAAAATTGGACATTTAACATCTGTGTATTTGACTATATATAAAATATATTTCAATTTTTAAAGAGGAAAAAATTAGAAGAGAAAATAATTAAAATTAAAACAAAATAATATGGTAGTTCATGGGAAATGCAATCTGGAACGCGTGCCTGTAACATGTCCAGAGTGTTCTTTCAAGGGATAAATCGCCTCAGTACCAGTTTCTCCTCAATGTAATCAGTAATATTATGGCTTCTGATTCTGAATTCAGGAGTTATGAAACTTCTTCTTCTTCTTTTTTTTTTTTTTTTTGAGATGGAGTCTTGCTCTGTTGCCTAGGCTGGAGTGCAATGGCACGATCTTGGCTCAATGCAACCTCTGCCTCCTGGGTTCAAGGGATTCTCTCATCTCAGCCTCCTGAGTAGCTGGGATTATAGGTACGCACCACCACGCCTGGCTAAATTTTGTATTTTTAGTAGAGATGGGGTTTTACCATGTTGGCCAGGCTGGTCTCAAACTCCTGACCTCAAGTGAGCCACCTGCCCCAGCCTCCTATAGTTCTGGGATTACAGGCGTGAGCCACGGCGCCTGGCTCAGGAATTGTGAAACTATTAAAGGACCTTAACTTATTTCAAGTAACAGAAGAAGCTGAACAACTAGGTGCGGTGGCTCACGCCTATAATCCCAGCACTTTGGGAGGCTAAGGTGGGAAGACTACTTGAGGCCAGGAGTTCAAGACCAGTCTGGGTGACACAGTGAGACTCCATTTCTATTTTTTTAAAACTTAAAAGAGGCAGCAGCAGCCGCTGAAGGGAATGTGACAAATCCCCAGATCTACCACATGGGAAGAGAATGAACTCTTGATTCATCTGCAGATGCATGGGACTTCTTATTAGGGACACGGCTACAGAAATAGTTCTAGTAACTGTAAGGGCCATTCAGTCAGCTCCACCACTGCTAATTTTAGCTACACATCCCACAAACAGATGTGTTCACTATTAGTCAGGGAATAAAGCAGAGACTAACTCTAATGCTTAGAAATATGAAGTCATTAAATTTAGAAACTATTTACTGAGTGTTTCTGCTGTGTGAGACCCTGTGCAGGGCCCTAGAGCTAACATGAATAAGTGCAGATGGCGGTCTTGCCTTGTTTGAAAGATAACCTGTATGTCGCCTCTGGTTGCTGGAGGCCTCTTTTGCAGCATGCTGAGAACATGATAGATTTAGTCCCTTTTCACATTTAGACAGAACCCTACTCACAACACTCAAGAGCACTTGCTGATTTTCCGTTTCTTGTCATTAAATATTTACAGGCCTGATTTCACCTCACCCTCCAGTGAACCATCTCTGTGTTTAACTCATCTTCATGAAAGTTTTACCAACCTAAATTTGTTATAACCCAGTTTAGGTTTTTTTGTTTGTTTTTGTTTTTATTTGGAGACGGAGTCTCGCCCTGTCACCCAGGCTTGAGTGCAGTGGCTGGAGTGGAGTGGCAGATCTTGGCTCACTGCAACCTCTGCCTCCCAGGCTCAAGCCATTCTTGTGCCTCAGCCTCCCAAGTAGCTGGGATTACAGGCACGTGCTACCACACCCAGCTAATTTTTGTATTTTTAGTAGAAATGGGGTTTCACCATGTTGGCCAGGCTGGTCTGAAACTCCTGACCTCAAGTGATCCACCCGCCTCGGCCTCCCAAAATGCTGGGATTACAGGTGTGAGCCACCTGTGCCTGGCCTATAACCCACCTCGAACCAGTGTCCTCTTATTCTGTCCAAGAGGACAAAAGATAATTTCAGCCATTTGTTGAGTTCTAAGTACAGCAATGTGCTCAGTACTTCAATACATTATCTCATCGAAGTCTACAATAGTCTGAGCTTAACTACTATTTTTATCTCCATTTCACAGATGAGGAAACTGACTTCAAGAGGTTAAGGAACATGCTAGTTAGTGCTGGCATTAGGATTTGAACTCAGATCTGTCTGACTCCAAAGCATACCTCCTAGTCTGGGTAAGAGCCTTGTATATTCCAGAAGGCCATAATTAAAGCTGAGCTAAGATGAAAACCCAGTTATTAAATGCCGGGTTATAAAAATAACTCAGTTATTTATGTGTTTACATATTTTCTGAGCATACCTTAGCCTTCTCCTCTGTAGATCAAATAATGCAAGTTCCTTCACCCCCATTCACCCCTATTTTATAACTTCCCAGATTCTGGGGACCAGCTTTCAATGCCTATGAGTTCTCCTAGGCTCTTTTCATGATGGGCCCTGAATTTCTAGTGTAATGTGCAAGTCCTGACCAGTTTGCAGTTCTGCAAATGCCTGGTTCTTCCCCTAGCCCCAGATCCCCTGTATTTAATTTAATTTAATTTTATTTTATTTTATTGTGATGGAGTTTCGTTCTTGTTGCCCAGGCTGGAGTGCAATGGGGCGATCTCAGCTCATCGCAACCTCTGCCTCCTGAGTTCAAGCGATTCTCCTGTCTCAGCCTCCCAAGGTGCTGGGATTACAGGCATGTGCCACCACGCCCAGCTAATTTTGTATTTTTAGTAGAGATGGGGTTTCTCCATGTTGGTCAGGCTGGTCTCGAACCCTGTATTTAAATTTTAGATGGGTATTTTTCTTCTTTCTAGGGGCCCGTATAAATTTTTTTTTTTTTTAAGACAGGGTCTTGCTCTGTCACCTAGGCTGGAGTGCAGTGGCCCCATCACAGCTCACTGCAGCTTCAACCTCCCAGACTCAAGTGATCCTCCCATCTCGGCCTCCCAAGTAGCTGGGACTACACGTGTGTGCCACCTCACCTGGCTGACTTTTTTATTTTTTTGTGGAGATGGGGGTCTCACTATGTTGCCCAGGCTGGTCCCAAACTCGGGCTCAAGTGATCCTCTGGCCTCAGCCTCCCAAAGTGCTGGGATTACAGGCATGAGCCACCACACCCAGCGCTATCAAACCATCTTAGGGAACTCTATGCTGCTTATCTCTGCCAGTTCTTCAACTTACCAAAATCACCTGTAAGGGCAGGCATTATAAGCACACTTCCTATCTCCTCATCCAGATCACTGTCATTTATACGAAACAACACTGGGCCAAGAAGCAGCATATTGAGAAAACTCTTTAAGTATTATAGTAAGAATAGATTCCACAAGTGACTGGTGTGATATGCTACTATGAAACAGACATGGTATCGATCTATATTCATGCAGGCATATTATCTAGCACAAAGGCCAAGCTAGCTCTGTCCCACTCTGCTGATCACAACAAATGGATCCTCACATTCAAAATATGGCTCTAAGATAGACACTAATACAAGCTTGAGTTCACAGGGTCCTGCCCAGATGATGAGAGAGTTAATAGTACAATTCATGAGAAGTCATGCACACAGTTGGAAATGCATGTGAAAGAAGAGACAAGATCTGGGGAACATGCAATTTAAAAAATTTTGGAAGGACTGTCATAAGGAAGGGGTGTAACAATTGTATACAACAGTAACTCCCACAATGCCTCGAGTTCATTTAACACTCACTATGTGTAACCAGGTCACATGTATTCATTAATTGCTCCAAATATCAACTCTATGGAGTGTCATGATGTTATCCATTTTATGAATGAGTAAACTGAGGCACAGACAGGTGAAATGACCAGCCCAGGGTCACACAGCCAATCCATTTCAGAGCTGAACTACATAACCCAGGTACTTTAATTCAGGACCCATCGTCTTCACCACTGCTCATCATATGCACTTTTTTTAATGGCCAATAAGTAGGGCTTGCACTAAACGGTCAGAGATGAATTTTGGTTCTATATAAGGAAGAGAACTTTCTTACAGTCAGGACTGGACAAATAGGAAACTTTGTGTCCCAGTGTGTAATGAGCTCCTTGTCACAGGAGATTTTCAAGAACATACCAAAATGTTCTACCAATTATTGGAGATGATGAACAGGGTGATTTGAGTACTAGACGGAGGGCTGGACTCAAGTATCTTAAAGGCTTTTTCAACTCTGAGAAGCCATGACTCCATGACTAAGCCCTAAGGAACATCTTCAGCTCTCACACTTATAGATATAAAGTTGTAAAAAAGGGGTGAAGGTTTTGGGGTCCTTCAGTCCCCATAAAACCACCAAAGAGTTGAGTGTTTGGAACTCATTTTAGATTATTTGTTCCCGGGCCAGGTTATGAATCAGCGTAGATGATAAATAACATGCAGCACTCTTACCCAAAGCAATTCCCAGGTTAGTCTCCCAAAGCTTCTTCCCCAGATCTTGCTGGATGTTGGTGGGATCTTTAACAAATATTATTTTTAGTCAAATCACACACACAATCACTGAACATGCCTGTTCTTCAGGATGCTTTTGTAATTCCTGGTTCTCTACCCTGTCTAAATAACTCAATGGTGTTGTGGTTGTTGGCTGCCTGAATACATCAGGTCTCCATGTCTCTGGACCTCTGCACATGCTGTTTTCTCCACCTGGACCCTGTCCACTTCATCTAGCTGACTCCAACTCAACACTTCAGACCTCGGCTTAGGCATAAATCCTTCTTGGAAGGCTGTGCTGACATTCTCCTTCCTTCTACCACACTCATGGCTATGTAAAGTATCCTGCCTGTGCACTGCCAGAGCAAACAGCATGCACACGTGCTGGGAAGCAGCATACTCTGCTATAACTGCCTATTCAACTGCATCCTGCATGCACCAGGCAGCAAGCTCCCAGAGGCACAGACTGTTCCATACTATCTCTAGCACCCGACGCACTGCAGATGTCCAAGCTGTGTCTAGCAAATGAATAGGTAAATACTTGAATGAAAGTTTCCCCATCCCTATGTAGATACATCATATAGATGGATTTTACCTAGGAACCAATCAGCTGCTATTTTCCTAAAGCTGAGAGTTAGAGAGCAGCAAATGAAGCCCAGTGAGTAAAGTTCTGATAGGGTAGTGGGTGGAAGATGATGGGAATAGAAAGATCTTGAACATTGGGTGGTTCCAATGTTCCACGTGAGGATGAAAGGGAGCCGAAAGCAAGCCTTGCCTCCCTCACTACTGTCTTGAAGTGACTACAATCAGAGATGACAGTCCCAATTCCTAGGCTATCATTTATGAAGCATGGAGCTCTGATGGGTTACCTAGCAGGCACAGCAATGTAGTCCATCTTTAATGTGAGTGGCAGGAAAGTCAACCGCAGCCCCCCAGAGCCATCGACCACTGGGTCGATTTGCCTAGCGAGGCCATATCTAAGATCCAATAGATTTTAAGGTCCTCCTCTTATTCTCTTCTGTTTTTTAGTCTTCTTGTTTTATATGTTATATTCTTGATCATTTTAAAATAAAAATCTTTTTAAAGTTTTTCAAGATCCCTGCCTTTACTTATGTATTTGTTTATTCTTAAAATTTTTCCTGGCCAGGTGCGGTGGCTCACGCCTATAATCCCCACACTTTGAAAGGCCAAGGCAGGTGGATCACCTGAGGTCAGGAGTTCGAAACCAGCCTGGCCAACATGGTGAAAACCCATCTCTACTAAACATACAAAAATTAGCCGGGTATGGTGGCAGAGGCCTGTAATCCCAGCAACTCGGGAGGCAGAGGCAGAGGAATTGCTTGAACCCATGAGGCGGAGATTGCAGTGAGCCAAGATTGCGCCACGGCACTCCAGCCTGGGTGACAGAGCGAGACTCTGTCTCAAAAAAAAAAAAAAGAATTCTCCTTAATTATGTACTTGTTCTTTTAAAGAGCACAGGACCCACAGCAGGTAATGACAACATTTTACTCAAACCCTTTGCTGATACAATTTTATCCTCATCTTAATGTCTTAGTCTCTCTTCTTTTTAGGATTAACTTTTCTGGTCCCATTCCTAAAAGACTTCAGAATGTTGTTTCTTTGTATTTCTTCTAAATTTCCTGAATTTCTTTCTGTACATTCCCAGATAGGCCACGGAATAAGCAAACATACCTAAGTCTTTGCATATTTACAAGCAAGAATACTTTGGTTTTTTTTCTGCATATTTTCATTTAAAATACTCATTTTTATAGAAGGAGCAGGATTTTAAAAAAAATTTAATTCCCATTTTAACAAATAAATACGTTAAAAATGAGAGAAATACACAAACAATTATATTTCTCGGTATAGACATATATATAACTTTGAACCCGAGTTCTCCAACTATCCTTTATTTGGGAAAATCAGATATGGCTTCTAGTTCAAATGATTATTTCTCATTTATAAAAGGAAGAAATATTCTGAAGGTAAAGTACTTAGTCGACTATTAAATAGAGCTTGATAGAGCCAGACCAAAGCAGTCACACAACAATGCAAAATATTATCTTGCTCCATTGTGAGCTATGGTTGAGTATGACTGGCTTCTGACAAAACAATTCACTACATACCTGACCTAAATTACTCTGTTGTTTTTAATTAAATGAATGTGGTATGCAAAAAAGCAAAATAATTAAGTACTTTTTCTGGACTCCGCACTCATTCAGCACCGACTTTCCCCCAACATTAGCCATTTTGCCATTTAGATACACCAAAAGAAAGGGCGTCACTTTCATCAATAAGCATGTTTTGCAAGCTACCACCTACTCCTTTGCAAATTATTCTTTTTAAAAATATTAGGTTACCTTTAGCCAGCACCTACGTTCACCTCTGACATACTAAAAGCCTGACAGAATCCCAGGCACACCTAAACACATCACCTGATCTACTATTATGGCAACAAAATGTTGCCACAATATTTTGCATGATTTGCATACTTGCGATGATTAAGCAAATATATCACTTGCCATTCATACTTTGCCAATGAAAGAGAGTGAATCTGTGGATAGCTATTTACTGCCTACATACTACATTTTTGCAAGAAATGAATTAATAACATTTCAAGATGTGACAAGAAAGGAACAAATAATTCAGCCTTCAAGATTAATTAGTGACAAAGTGTTTATTCCCCTCTCAGACGAAGGAGTCTCATTAAGCCTTTCTTTTCTGCATAACTGATGAATAAACTTTTTAGTGAACTGTTAAATTAAAATACATTCTTCTTTGTTGTTGTTGAGACAGAGTCTCACTCAGTCACACAGGCTGGAGTGCAGTGGTGTGATCTCGGCTCATCACAACCTCCACCTCCCAGGTTCAAGGGATTCTCGTGCCTCAGCCTCCCAGGTAGCTGGAATTACAGGCACCCGCCACCATGCCAGGCTAATTTTGTATTTTTAGTAGAGACGGGGTTTCACCATGTTGGCCAGACTGGTCTCTAATTGCTGACCTCAAGTGATCCACCCACCTCGGCCTCTCCAAGTGCGCGGATTACAGGCGTGAGCCCCTGCACCCGGCCAAAATACATTCTTCTTAATTACCTATTTGTAGAAATACTACTAAAATATGATCAAGAATCTTTAAATAGAAATTTTAATGAAGACTTTTTTTTTTGCATCTTTAACATGGAAGTACTTCTTACTGATGATTACATTTTTTAAAATCATGCCTGCCAGCCCATCTAAGCCAAATTCAAACACCACTCTGCATTAAATGAAGCTGCAGTAGGAAAGCTGAGCACATAGCACCCAACTGATCGGAAAGAAACGTACCATGTTTAATAAAATTCCAGATTCCTGTGGTCGTTGTCCATAAAAATGCTTTGCAGTGTTGGATATATGGTTTGCAAAAGCAAGCAAATCCTCCACAGTTCCATATCTGACTGATGACAACCATGGTACCTCTTGGCCACTAAGCAGCAGAGACTTAGAACGCTCATCGTTTTGATTACTGTCTTGACACATGGTCATTAGACTGGGTTCATAAACTGCTGGCTCTTCACTTGCATAAAGATTTTCCATAATGTCTATTACATCAGACACATTTAAATGTTTAATTAATAAATCAATCTCTTCTTTATTGTCACTTCCAGTGCTCATGTACTCCATTACTGTTGCTCTTTCTGGAGAGTCTAGGAAAGAAAACACAAATATTTAGTTTACGATATTTGTATTTGCATTCAAGACCCATGGGAAACTGACATACAAGGATTGGCAACAGGATTTTATATGCTTTTGTTCAGAAAACGAGGGTTCTGTGTCAACTGTGTGTATGAATTCAAGTTGACAGTGCAGAGTTGAAAGGGACCTAAGATAACCTTTAGTCCAGCTCACTTTGCAGAGGGAAACCTGAGATCCAGAGAGCTTACTCTTACTCACAGAGTCAGTGGTATCAGCTACAGGCACTGAAAACAAACTTTCACTAAACATACACACGAATCAAGAGCAGCTCAGAAATCTTTGAAGACCTTAGGCTACCGGCTCTTTAGGGCTTCCAACCTTACACAACCCAGCTATTCCCCCGAAGTGGCACCCTCCCTGCAAGAATCGCTATGGCTTTTTTATGCCTCTGGTGACTTTAAAGAAAAATAACCTCTTCACTAAATGCAGGAGCTAACTTGGCAAATAAAACTCAGGCCCTGAAAGCCAGAAGCTGGAAAAATGGATTTCAATCTACACAAATTTGATGGCAATAGGTCAAGTTTCAGGAATGATTCTTATGCAAATGAGTTAAACAGCTAATTGGAAGGATGACAGGAAACCTTGTTCTCCCAGTGATGAGTATGAGAAAGATGATGATACATTTAACCTATGATTCAGCTGTCCTCCCTTAGGACCAGAATTCTTTAATAGTGCAAAGCAAACATCTTGAGGGTCCCAGAAGATTAATATCTAAATAAATGGCCTTCTAGAAGCTGTGAGTAGTAGAAAGAAGCCAGGAAAGTCAAATTTATCATAAGCAAGTCCAAGTGACTATATTAACCAAAATTGCATTTCAGCTCTTATATACAAATCAGCTGCCACACTTGGAGATCTGTAGATGAGAAAAAGAAAGTAAAGCAAGGGTAAAAACTGACGTTGTTACTCAGGATTTTAGAACAACTCTGTTCTGAAGGAGAAAAGACAAAAGGCCCTAAGAGATCTAAGAGAATTTCAAGGCACATTGGTTTACTTAAATCACCGATTGCACTCCCAAAAGCATAGCCTCTTTCTGAAAGGTATTTCAAGTTCTGAGAAGCACAAGCCTTTAACACACAGGACACTCAGGGCTAAAGCCACGCACGTCTGATCAATCTGGAGCTTCATTTCAAAGCTCCAGGAAATGCTCCACTGCAGAGCCACCTGCACGCATGACCCAGCCATCTGCCTCTCAGTGAATTTCATTTGACAAAAGAACCATGCAATTTAGTGTCATCATTCACTTACTTGATGGTCATTTTCTGACGTATGAATTGTGTCTGAGGAAAGCAGTTTAGCATCCTGCAATCCAACATTCCTCTGGTCTCAGACTGCTTGGAGTCAAATCTCATTGCCTCCCCCCACACTCCCATTTACTGCTTGCATGACGTTGAGCAAGTAACGTAACCTCTCTCGACCTCAATTTTCCCCATCTGTAAAATGGAAGTAATAACAGCACCTACCTCATGAGGTGGTCGTGAGGATTAACAGAGTTCAAGCTCATAAAGTGCTCAGTGCAGTGTCAGGGGCATGGTAAATAAGCTGTGTCATTTTTAGCTGCTTTGTATGCATGAGTGAGAAAAGTACTGAGTCAGACTCCTGGCTTTGCAGATACTGCGTTAGCTTCCTTTCTTATCTGCAAACAAGATGTGGCTACCTATTCCCCTGGCTTCTTCGCGGTAAGAAGATTGCATCTAAAACAAGACATAAAGAGAGAGAAAAAAAAGGCAGAAACCTATGAAATGCTTTCATGGCTGTTATCACCACCGTGAAATCTAGAGTGAGGGGGCAGCTTCCCCTCCTGAGATCTTGTACATCTTCGAGGGAGATTGTGATTCAGGTTCTTGGAGTCTGCTGAGTTAGGAGAGCAACTTCTTAGATTAATGGAGGAACATTTGACTTCGGTTTTACTGAGCCGTTTAGTTGCAGTTTCTGCTTGTCGAATTTACTGGAAACACAGAGGTTAAAAAAAAAACAGCCTAATTTAGGGCCTCAGGGGTTGAAAGGATCCAAGTCTCCTGGACTTATTTATCAAACAGATGATTTGACAGAAAAAAAAAAAGTTCTCAGTACTAACATGACTCAAGAAAGAAAGAGGAAAAAAGTCCACACAGTTCAAATTCACTCTGCTGATCTGGGAAGACAAATTTTAGAGGATTTTTTTTTTTTTTATAGTAGTAGTGGTATTCTTTTTATTCTTTATTCTTTTATTTTTTTAATTGGGGGGTTTTCCTGTGAGGACTGGAGATTCTAAAAGACAAATCCTAAAAGAGCTGTAAGACAAGATGTTAGTTTTTAAACCCTGCAGAAAAGTCTCAGGCATTTATATGTAAAACCCAAGAGCTTGAACACACACAACCACACCCCTAAACTGTGAGTTGCCTGGAAAGGGGAGAGGGAGGGAAGCAGGACCCGGGAGGTGGAGGAGTGTCTGACGCTGAGACTTTTCTCAGTGCCTGCAGTAATTCCTTAGCAACACAGGGCCCCTGTCACGCAAATCTACGTTCCCCAGAAACCCTGCTGACCAGTTCGCCTGCTAACTGCGCCTGCAAAAAGCCTCAGCACTTTCCAGCCTTAATTAAGCACACAATATGCTAATGGTTTCTGAGTTATTCATGATCTGTGCCCATCTAGAGAAAGTTCAGATTGTGAAGGTATTCTAGTTTGGCAATAAAGACGTTTAGTATAAGATGATTTTTCCCTTGACACAGTTTACAATAAAAGTCCTCATAAAATTCCTACTTCCTAACCAAACAGAAAATTATGCCAGCTTTTGGAATTGGAGAGATGTGCAAATACAGTCAAAATTAGTTACACTGAATTATTTCAGAAATCAGCAATAAAATCACGAGGAAATTCTCTTCCTAAACATTAACATAATACTCTTGGCTGCCTCCATATACAGAAACAAAATGTGAGTGTTTCCTGGCAAGTGTGAATGAAAATGGCCAGCATAACAGCATATGCTTCTGCCTAACAAAGAATGACTATTACTTGTGTTATTTCTCATTTAAAATATTTTTTTAGGCCGGGCACAGTGGCTCATGCCTGTAATCTCAGCACTTTGGGAGGCCAAGGAGGGTGCATCACCTGAGGTCAGGAGTTCAAGACCAGCCTGGCCAACATGGTGAAACCCTGTCTCTACAAAAATTAGCCGGGCGTGGCGGCGGGCGCCTGTAATCCCAGCTACTCGGGAGGCTGAGGCAAGAGAATCGCTTGAACCCGGGAGGTGGAGGTTGCAGTGAGCCGAGATCGCGCCATTGCGCTCCAGCCTGGGCGACAAGAGTGAAACCCCCTCTCAAAAAAAATTTAAAAATTATATATACATATATACATATGTGTGCCAAAATAGTACATTCTCCCTCAGGGCACATTTCTGACTATGTTTTTGCTCTCAAAAAGCCCCGGATTATGCGTTTCAGGCGTATGGAAGGAAGGACCGACACTCTGCTTCAAAACCTCTACATGCCTCAACGTTCCCATTTGCTTTACACGACAAAGTCCTCATGGGCCGTATGCCAGACGTCCTGCACACAAACCTCAATCCGTCGCAGAGAGCTGGGGGCGTCAGCTGGAAGTGGATTACACTCTCCTTGGCACAAACGACTCAGGCCACAGGTATGTAAAGCAACTGCAAGAGCCTTTCTGTCCCTGTTTTTTATCAAGAGCAGCCTTTAATCTTGTCTTCCCAAAAGTGAAATAGACAAGCATCGCAACGTTTCTCTCTTACAGGCAGCCGGTGGCCTTCCCCTGTTAACTATGGAGACAATCCCTAGGCGTCCTTCTCCGCCCAGAGCTAGAAAAATTTCAGAGTCCTGATCATGCACTATCGCTCGAAAACAACTTCCGTGAAAATAACTTTTTTTTTCTCCTAGTATTCTTTCTTAGACCAAAAGCCCAGCCTTCGTGTTCTGCTATGACCTCTTTAGTCATGGGATAGAGTCCGGGTTACAAACTTGAATTTAGTTCCAGCCATTCACAAGTCTCTGGGCTCCGCCAACCCACACTCCCACTCCTTTCCTCCTGGTTCTCTAAGTCAAGGGAGCCTAAAAGGCTTATAAATTATCAAAGCACCCAGCATTTGGGAGGATCGGGTCCTCCAGCCTCCGAGCTGCACTCACCGGGTCTCGGGCAGGGAGAGTGCGGCCGTCCAGGCGGCGTCGGCAGCGGGAGGCGCAGTGACAGCGGGTCCCCGCTTCCCCGCGCACTGCCCAGACCAGCACTGCCCTGGCGCTGCGGATACGGGAAGGAGGAGGAAGGGGGAGGAGTCGCGAGTCTGCACCCCGTGAGACCCTTGCGCAAGGTGCTTTCCAGCTGTGCCTGGTGCAGCCGGCGACCCGCGAGCGCAGCTGTGGGCACGCCCCCACCTCTTCCCACGCCAGAGTTTTCCCCTCTGCTGGGGGCACCCTCCATTTCTGCATGGGAATCCCCGGGGCACCCAGGCGGGACGCGACCCGAAAGACACGCCGGAGACCCCCAACCCTGGATTACCTGCGGCCTTGGCGCTCCCACGCCGGCCGAGCGCTCCAGCCGCGGCCCCCCGAAGGTTCGGTGCGATGCTGGCTGCAGGCCTGTGGGAGCCGAGCACGCCGGGCCACTGGGATCCGGCGGCGGCAGCGGCAGAAGCAGGAACCAGGGCGCCGGACCCCAGAGCGTGGCGCGCAGTCCAGAGCGGAGCGGACGAGTGAGACCCGCGTCGCCCGCACGCTCAGACCGCCCTGCTCTGCCCCTGACTCACGGCGTCTGAGCCTGCCCAGGGGCGGCGCAGCGGACGCCAGCCACCGCCTCCCCGACTTTTCCATTTCCCCTTTCTCTCCGTAAACAGAAAGAGACTGCCCGGTTGCAGGGTAAGCCAGAGCCCCCGCGCTGGGAAATTCCGCGTCTCCCCCCCACCCGCCACCCCGCCGCCCCTCATTTGCCCTCTGGGCGCCCGGGCGGAGCTGGAGGCGGGACTAGGGAGGAGCAGAGCGGCGCGCAGGGAGGAGCGCGGGACGTGAGCTGCGGCCCGAATCGAGAGCCTGGGACGGGGACGAGTTTTCCCCCGGGCCTGGTGACCCAAGGCGTCTTAGTGGCGGAGTTGCAAGAGGTGGTTGTGCCCTTCCCGGTCCCCAGGGAAGGTCGTATATCTTAGTGTACTCGCGCCCTCGGCGCTTCTCTGGAGTCCCAGGGTCCGGCGGGAGGGCACGCTCCCGGGGGGCGGCGGGGAGGGCAGTCACCAGACCTTTTTCCGCGCGCCCCACGCTCTGGGGTGGGGACAGAGGCGCCGTGTGCCCTCCCAGCAGTGCTGCGGGAAGCCGGGGAAGCTTCGGGGCTTCTTGGAACCGCGACTGTGGGTCCGATTGCTAGTAGCACGGCCCCGCCTCGCCCAGATTTCGCTTCAAATTCACACACAAAGAGGGCAGTGACCCGTGGTGCGCACGCACACATTCCAACTTAGAGATTTCCAAGAGGCTGCGGCAGGGTGGGCCCGGAACCTGGTTGTTGGGCGCTCGGCTGGGAGCCTGTGCACTCCGCCAGCAGAACCTGGTTTTCTTCTCTGCAGTCTTTATTAAAATTGGTTATTTTGCGGCACCGCCTCATTAGGAAGCGTACTTGTACTATCTCCCCGCTCCCGCCTACCGCTAACCCTCAGTCCTAGCTGCTCATCTGGGGTTTTCCTTCTAGAGTGTCAAGCTTTTACTCCAGGTGTAACCGGAAGAGAGTTCTAGAGAAAAGCGCCACTCTCCCGAAATCCACTCTGCGGGACATTCCCAATGCCCCGCCACCCCCTCCCCCTACATTTCCCACGTATCAAGCACCCACTAGGAACCAGGCATTCGGCTAGAGCGCGGAGAGCTAGGAGCCATGTAAGGTCGACATCCTCTCTCTCTCTCTCTCTCTCTCTCTCTCTCCCCCCCCACCTACGGCCCAGGAGGTGGGGTGTCCCAGGCACAACCCAGATTCAAACGCGGTCACACTCCAAGTCCACGCCCTATTCTTCCCAGTGCCCAGGTCCGTGCTCCCTCTGCAGTTTCTAGATTGCCTCCGCGCGGTTGCGCACGCCTGTAATCCCAGCGCTTTGGAGGCCGAGGCGGGAGGATCACTTGAGGTCAGGAGTTGGAGACCAGCCTGGGCAACATAGCTACCCCGTCTCTACAAAAAATCTAAAAATTAGCCAGGCATGGTGGCTCACGCGTGTCATCCTAGCTCCTCGGAAGCTGAGGTAGGGGGATCCCTTGAGCCCAGCAGTTCGAGTCTGCCGTGAGCTATGATTGCGCCATGGCACTCCAGCCTGGGCGACAGAGCGAGGCCTTGTCTCAAATTTAAAAAATAAAATAAAACAAAAAAATTTTTGAGACTGAGTTTCGTTCTTGTTGCCCAGGCTGGGGTGCAATGGAGCGATCTGGGCTCACCACAACCTCCGCCTCCCTGGTTCAAGCGATTCTCCTGCCTCAGCCTCCCGAGTAGCTGGGATTACAGGCATGCGCCACCACGCCCGGCTAATTTTGTATTTTTAGTAGAGATGGGGTTTCTCCATGTTGGTCAGGCTGGTCTCAAACTCCCGATATCAGGTGATTCGTCCGCCTCAGCCTCCCAAAGGGCTGGGATTACAGGCGTGAGCCACCGCGGCCAACCAAAAATAAAATTTAAAAAAAAAATTTGCCTTGTACCTTCTCTAGAGCCCTCCACATTTCTGCTATGGAAAATGAATTACAATACAACCCGAGGATGTATTGAGAGAATTGCTGGAGGAGATAGGTTAGTTGAGGTGACAAGCCAGGGGCTTTTTGCAGGACCTTAACTCGCAGACAACAAGCCCAGGTAGCAAATCCAACGTCGAGGGCCGATTGACTGAATGGGCACTGTCATCCGTCAAGTTATTTTAAATACGAGAGCGATTTAATTTATATTCATTCACCTCATGAAGCAGGGCTTTGCCATTCCCTCCAAATATCCAGGCAGTCCCTTGCACCTAGAGGAGAACCCCTTCCTGAACCCTCCGCCTTTCTGATCTTGGAGGGAGGGAAGGCAGCTTCCACCAACCCGGCAGCACTGACCCGGCAGAAGCAGCCTGGGCCGGGGTTGGGGAGGAGAAGCCCCGCTCGCTTGCGCGCCGGATGGGTGGAATTTGGCACTGGCTCAAGCGGGTTATCCCAGTCTCAGCTGAAGCCGAAGTTATCAGTACACTTTTGGCCTTTTCGCTGGAAACCAGGTTAGCACAGGTTGTTACCTCTGATTGTAACGTGAGAAACAGAGACGTCTCTTTCTCTACTGCCGTGTTTAGACAACAAAGGATGATCTTTACACGAGTTTTAAAAATAGAACCATGGAACCACTCCCCTCCCCACCCGCCTTGTGTGAGCTCATTAAAACCACACCTAATCTTCTGGGAACTGCATTATTAGCCTTACTTCCTACACAGAAGTCTCCCAAATATAGCTGCATTTTAGGGAGCTGGTGAAATGGCTGGTCTAGCAGGGTTCTCTCTTGCTTCTGGCTTAATCCAGAGCAGGTTCATCTGTTGGGGTAAATTAGAAGGTTTTACTTGAAAACGTATGTAGAGTTTTTAACAAGGAGGCCAAAAGGGAGAGAGCAACTGAAAAGAAAGAAAAAGTCTGTGGACTCCCTGTATGTATGTATGTATGTATGTATGTATGTATGTATGTATGTATGATGTATTTGAGACAGGTTCTGGATCTGTCGCCCTGGCTGGACTGCAGTGGGGCGATCTCAGCTCACTGCAACCTCCACCTCCCTGGCTCAAGTGATCCTCCCACCTCAGCCTCCCAGATAGCTGGAACTACAGGCGCATGCCACCACACCCGGCTAATTTTTGTATTTTGGGTAGCGTTAGAGACGGGGTTTTGCCATGTTGCCCAGGCTGGTCTCAAATTTCTGAGCTCAAGCGATCTGCCCGCCTCAGCCTCCCAAAGTACTGGGATTACAGGCGTGAGCCACCTTGCCTAGACTCCTTGCATTTTTCTGGTCTGGCTTTTTGTTTTTTATGCAGGCTTACAAAAACAATCCTGCTCTTCTAGGGGCGAGCTAAGTGAGTTTTAAACCTACCAATGAGAAGTCCCTTGAGCCACAGTGCACACAACCATAGGGGGTTATTCTGGAAGTGATCCTAAAGCACATTACGAAACAGCTCTCTAGAAGCTGTTTGAAGCAAGCAAAATGCATTTGCAAATAAGGCTGTAACCGATTGCAGTTTACCTGAAGAAGCTTGCTCCATCTCATAGGTTGGGACATTAATGGGTTTGTAATTTGTAGTTTGGAAATCCAAATTATTTTACTCACAGAAAGAAAATTATTAACAATGGGTAGGTAACCCTGTTGGCCCATTAACCGATGTAACCACAATTGTGCTCTAGACTAATTAATATGATATGGGGCATTGTTTCTCAGTTTTTTATATTCATAAAATATGGAATTTTGTGAATAAAATAACTGCAATAAATTGGGAGCATAGCTATAGGTCACTTGGCGAAAATATGTTGTTTTTTGTTAAAAAAAAACAATAAAATACAAAGTATTGAAAGTAGATAATTTGAATAAAGCTTTAAATGAGATATTTTTAAAGTTAAGAGGAACTTGAGCCTGATTTCATGATCATAACTTTTTCTTTATGGTTTCATGTTGAAACAGCTATACAGATTAAGAGTTTCAACAACAACTTCTTTATACTTTTGATAATAACTTTCAGGTGAGAAGCTGTACAGACACGTAGGTAATACATTTACAACTATTATTATTGTCTTAAATTGTGAACAATTTGAAATTGGATTCTAAAAATTCAGTATCTCTTTTTTTTTTCATTGATATGTGTAAGTTTCTTATGATAATGTGAGTGGATTTCAGATATAATTGAAGTTTTTCTGGCCGGGTGTGGTGGCTCATGCCTGTAATCCCAACACTTTGGGAGGCGAGGCAGGTGGGAACACCTGAGGTCGGGAGCTTGAGACCAGCCTGACCAACATGGTGAAACCCCATCACTACTAAAAATACAAAAATTAGCCGGGTGTGGTGCCTCATGCCTGTACTCCCAGCTACTTGGGAGGCTGAGGCAGGAGACTCACTTGAACCTGGGAGACAGAGGTTGCAGTGAGCTGAGATCGTGTCATTGTACTTCAGCCTGGGCGACAAGAGTGAAACTCCATTTCAAAAATAAAAAATAAAATAAAAATAATTAAAGTTTTTCTGGTTTTTTTTCCCTTTTCTTTCTTTCTTTTTTTTTTTTTCCAGACACAGTCTCACTCTGTCGCCCAGGCTGGAGTGCAGCGGCACGATCTCAGCTCACTGCAAGATCTGCCTCCCGGGTTCAAGCGATTCTCCTGCCTCAGCCTCCGGAGGAGCTGAGATTACGGGTGCATGCCACCATGCCAGGCTAATTTTTGTATTTTTAGTAGAGATGGGGTTTTGCCGTGTTGGCCAGGCTGGTCTCAAACTCCTGACCTCATGTGATCCACCCACGTCAGCCTCCCAAAGTGCTGAGATTACAGGTGTGAGCCACCACATCTGGCAATTTTTTTTATATTAAGAGTTTCAAGCAGGACATGGTGGCTCACACCTGTAATCCCAGCACTTTTGGAGGCCAGGGGAGGATTTCTTGAGCCCAGGAGTTCAAGACCAGGTTGGGCAACATGGCAAAATCCTCTCTCTACAAAAAAAAAAAAAAAAAAATTTAAAACATTAACTGGCCATGGTGGCACGCACCTGTAGTCCAAGCTACTCGGAAGGCTGAGATGAGGCAGAAATTTAAAAATAAATATGCATTCATTCACTGTAAGAAAAGTAACAGGCACGGCAAAGGTTAAAAAGAAAAGAACAAGTTTCAAGTTTTCCTCTGCCTAGCAAGCTCACTTCAAGAAGAGTTATAAGATAATGCTGTCCAGAAAGCCAAGGACAAAGGAATGGGCTCCAGACAACACCCCCCTCCAGAGAAAGGTTGAAGGAAAAAAAAAAAAAGAAGAAAAAGACAAATTCTTTTACTGTTACTCCTTTCCCTGGTTTCTTAAGCATGATTATGTTTTACAAATCTCTGTATTTAGCCAGTTCTTATTTTTCTTTTGACGCAGCTATAAGGTCACTAGCTAGGCAAGGCCACAAGTTATGCTAAGTCAACAGTTATGCTATAGATTATGTGACCTGTTACTGTATGATTAATTGCTTTTGTTTGGCTTTTGTAGGTTTGCTTATAAAAACCCCACTCAGTCTTTGTTCAATGCTCAGCTTTTTGGATGCGAATCCACTGAGCTGGTGCATACCTAAAATAAACAATCCTCCTGTTCTCCATATCAGTCTCTCTGGTCCTCAGTTTCTTGAGCCCAGGATGTTGAGGCTGCAGTGAGCTATGATCATGTCACTGTGCTGCAGCCTAAGTGACAGAGTGAGACTCTGTCTCAAAAAAAAAAAAAAAAAGAGGGGCGGGATTTTCAAAATGACAAAGTAACATGCAGAAAATGCATGCATCCTTAGAGCAGTTACCTTGGATACCACTGAAAAGGCACATCGGCCCAAAGAATGAAGTATCCAACGGAGGTAGACATTTAGGGTTGCCTTTTCCACTGTGGGAACGAACAGCTCCACCCCATGCCCCACCTCTGCCACTGACTGCTCCTTGGACTATGGCCATCTGCTCCAATACCTAAAACATAAACTCCTTCCTCTAACACAGGCTAGGCCCTCTATTCATGACCATGCAGTCATGAGAACCTGTTCAGCCTCACTTAGCATCTTGAGGTGGAGCAGAGCCATCCATCAGACCTGTGGGGACCACAGGGTGCTTCATTAGATTCTGCTGTCCCCCAGCAGCCCTCTAAGACAACCCAGGTGAGATTGGAAAGACACCAGGCCCTAGAGCCACAGGCCCACCTGCCTGCCTTAAGCAATAGAGATGAGTATCTATAATGCATTCATGGTACAGCAATAGGCAAGACTATGCCCTCAGCTCTTACAACCCTCTTCCCTTCCCATCCACCTTAGGACTATGGGGGAGGAATGCAGACAAGGTTGAAAGGGACAGTCTTCTCCATCCTCCTCCTTCCGTTTTCCTTCTCCTCCCCTTTGGGAGGTAGCTCACCAGCTTTTGCCTTTCCTGTGTAAAGTGAAAATAGCAACTGAGCAAGGGAAATGGGGCCCCAGGCAGAGATGAGGTCCTCCCGTGGGGGAAGGGGAGAGAAGTCCCCGGTAACCCTGGGAAGGGAAGGGGAGTTCCTAAATTCACTCAGCTGTGGCTGTTGTTTATCTTGAAGGCTGGGTGTAAATTGGGCCTGTATATGAACCAAGACCATCTGTTCTCATGTGCAGAAAACTAAAATGTAGGTCTCTCAAAGGGCCTAAATAGCATTATTCTGTATGCTAAATGTTAAGAATTTTATTACTTACTTAGTGTTGTGGCTTCCCCAAATTTGAGGTTCTCGAACTGCACTTTAAAAACAGAACTATTGGTCTGTGCTCCTGTGTTCCACCTCCCAAATGGAAACTCCTTGTGCAGGGTTTCTTGATCATGGCCTTCCGAAATGACCACATGGCATAGGACTGCTAGCACCCAGAACTGTGCAAGACTGTGTCCTCATGCGCATGCAGTAGCTTTCACTTGCCACACTTTTTTTTTTTTTTTTTTTGAGATGGAGCCTTGCTCTGTCATTCAGGCTGGAGTGCAGTGGTGTGATCTCAGCTCACTGCAACCTCTGCCCCTGCAAGGTTCAAGCGATTATCCTGCCTCAGCCTCCCGAGTAGCTGAGATTACAGGCCTGTGCCACCACGCCTGGCTAATTTTTTGTATTTTTAGTAGAGACAGGGTTTCACCAAGTTGGCCAGGTTGGTCTCGAACTCCTGACCTCAAATGATCCACCTGCCTCGGCCTCCCAAAGTGTTAGGATTACAGGCATGAGCCACAACACCCGGCCTCACTTGCTAAACTTTTAAAGGGGGAGAAAGGCTCAGCAATCATGCTCTCTCCAACTCCCTATCTCCTTAAACTGCCTAGGGCTAAATGCTATGGTGTAGCCCCAATTGAGTTGGTGGAGATTTCCCATATGCAACCTTAAGTGCCTCCTCTCACTCCTTTACATATTAACCTCACAGTCCTGTCTCCCCTCAGTACAATGCAGGGCCTGAAAATACTGCACAGTGAAGGCTCTGCCTGTGAAGGGAGGGAACTGCTGTCAACATATTGTTTGGGCAGGGGGAGGAATTGGTTAAATATATATATATATAATCTGATCCCCATCCTGTACATGCAAGTGTAAATGCATAAAAACAGAAAAAAGGGCTGGGCATGGTGGCTCACCCTGTAATCCCACAGTTTGGGAGGCTGAGCTGGGAGAATCACCTGAGCCCAGGAGACCAGCCTGGGCGATATAGTGAGACTCCATCTCTAAAAAAAATTCGTTTTTTAATTAGCCTATGTGGTGGGGGTACCTGTACTCCCATCTAATCAAGAGGTTGAGGTGAGAGGATCGACTGAGCTGAGGAGGTCGAGACTGCAGTGAGCTGTGATCAGGCCACTGCACTCCAGCTTGGGTGACAGAGCAGGACTCTGTCTTTAAAAAAAAAAAAAGAACATGCGTGACCAGGTGCAGTGGCTCATACCTGTAATCCCAGCACGTTGGGAGACCGGGGCGGGCAGATCACTTGAGGTCAGGAGTTTGAGACCAGCCTGGCCAACATGGAAACCCTGTCTTTACTGAAAATATAAAAATTAGCCGGGTGTGGGGGCGTGCACCTGTAATCCCAGCTGCTTGGGAGGCTGAGGCAGGAGAATTGCTTGAACCTGGGAGGCAGAGGTTGCAGTGAGCCAAGATTACACCACTGCATTTCAGTCTGGGCAACAGAATAAGACTCTATCAAATAAAAAAAAATGAACAAAATAAAACTAGAATATTATACCCTTCAAAAATAATTTATTAGTCTTTTTGAAATGGTGTTTTCCCCATGCAATGGTTTGGGAAACGGATTTAAAAGGATGTGGTGTGCTTATCTTCATGTGAGACTTTGTTTTAAGCTGAGCTAAACACATTTTGTTCCTTGACTTTTCCTTTCTTAGTCCCTTTTTGTGCTGCTATAACAAAATACCTGAGCCTAGGTAATTTATAAAGAGGAGAATGTATAAAGAACAGGTCTAGAGGCAGGGAAGTACAAGATCAGGGCACTGGCAGGTTGGGCATATTTGGTTGTCTGGTGAGGGCTGCTCTCCCCTTCCACGATGATGCCTTGTTGCATGATGGATTGTCAAAGGGCTATGGAGCCACTGCTCCCTGAAGCCTCTTTTATAAGGGCTTTAATCCTATTCCCAAAGGAAGAGCCCTCATGGCTTGATCACCTCCTAAAGGTCCCACCTCTTAATCCTGTTGTCAGAAGCTTTTGAACAAGAGCGACTCCATCTTGAATACAGCTGGGTAAAATAAGGCTGAGACCTACTGGGCTGCATTCACAGGTTAGGCATTCTAAGTTCCAGGATGAGATAGGAGGTCGGCACAAGACCTTGCTGATAAAATAGGTTGCAATAATGAAGCTGACCAAAATCCACCAAAACCAAGATGGTGACAAAAGTGACCTCTAGTCGTCCTCACTGCTCATTATATGCAAATTACAATGCATTCACATGTTAAGAGCACCATGTGACCAGCACCGTGACAGTTTACAGATGCCATGGCAATGGCAGGAAGTTATCCTATATGGTCTAAAAAGCGGAGAAACCCTCAGTTATGGAATTGCCCACCCCTTTCCCCGAAAACTCATGAATAATCCACCCCTTGTTTACCATATAATCAAGAAATAACTATAGGTATCCTTCGTTGAGCCCCTGCCCTGCCTATGGAGTAGCCATTCTTTATTCCTTTACTTTTTTTTTTTTTTTTTGAGACAGAGTCTCATCCTCCAGGCTGGGGTGCAGTGACGTGATCTCAATTCACTGCAACCTCTGCCTCCCAGGTTCAAGCGATTCTCATGCCTCAGCCTCCAGAGTAGCTGGGATTACAGGCATGCATCACCATGCCAGGCTAATTTTTGTATTTTTAGTGGAGACAGGTTTCACCATGTTGGCCAGGCTGGTCTTGAACTCCTGACCTCAGGTGATCCGTCCACCTCGACCTCCCAAAGTGCTGGGATTACAGACGTGAGCCACCATGGCCGGCCCCTTTACTTTCTTAATAAACTTGCTTTCACTTTACTCTATGAACTTGTCCCAAATTCTTTCTTGCATGAGATCCAACAACCCTCTTTTGGGGTCTGGACTGGGACCTCTTTCCAGCAACACTATCACATTGGCAACACCTGAATCTTGGAGGGGACATATCCAAACCATAGCAGTTATGCTGCAGTACTAAAAGCAATTGCCAGCAAATTAAGTTTCTTTAGTGTGGTGAGGGGAGATTGCTTGCCTTTTTAAATTAAATCTATGGAGTAATGCCCATCAGAACTTTTTTCCTTTTTAAAACAATATTTTAAATTTTTATTATTTTTTTAAAGACAGGGGTCTCATTATATTGGCTAGGCTGGTCTGGAACTCCCAGCCTCTGGCAATCCTCCTGCTTGGCCTCCCAAAATGCTGAGATTTCAGGCATGAGCCACCCGCACTCAGCCCAGAAGGATTTTTTCCTTAATACTTAGATGCTTTGATTGATCAATTTTGTAATAATGAAGCATCATCATACACTCTGACTGTATTAGAAATAATATTTAGTCTGGACGTGGTGACTCATGCCTGTAATCCCAGCACTTTGGGAGGCCCAGGTGGGCTGATCCCTTGAGGTCAGGAGTTTGAGACCAGCCTGGCTAACATGGTGAAACCCTGTCTCTACTAAAAACACAAAAATTAGCCGGGTGTGGTGGCAGGGGCCTGTAATCCCAGCTACTCAAGAGGCTGAGGCAAGAGAATGGCTTGAACCCAGGAGGCAGAGGTTATAGTGAGCTGAGATTGCATCAATGCACTTCAGCCTGGGCAACAAGAACAAGACTCCACCTAAAAAATAAATAAATAGATAAAAATTTTTTGAAAACCATTAATAACAACTGCATTTTGAGCACACACTGTGTTCCAGGGACTCTGCTAAGCCTTGTAGATGGATTATCTCCTTTGACTGTCACGACAGTCCTGAGGTGGGTCCTATTCTCTCCATTTACGCGTGGGATTTACATGAGTTTAAAGAGGTTAAGTGTCCAGGGAAACCCGATTCTAATCCATGTCTGGCTGACTCTAAACTCAAATAAACAACTTCCTGCATCTACAGGCAGTGACTCTGCCTCCTGCAGCAAAGGCAACTCTGTGTGCAGCTGGTGTTTGTTGGTGCCCATTGGAGGAAAACAGGGTTGCCATGCGCCGGTTGTGAAATGCCTCAGCCTGCTCTCCCAGACCAGCTTCTTTCCTATGCGGGCTGAAGACGTGAATGAGTTTCAGGCAGTTTGCAGGTCTAATGTTTTAATCTTTGATCTCTAACTCAGGGGAGGGGCTGTCAAGGAATTTCAGCTATTTCCTGGGAGTAGGGATGTGAGGGAGGGCTGAGCTCAGGACACCTTCGAAATAGGACACTAGTTTTGCTCACCCTTAAAGTAGTCCTGCCTTAATTTCTCCAGGTTTGCAGGAACACAAAGAGACGTGCTGCCTCCTCTCATCCAGAGATGCTGAGGAAGTTCTGGATGGGACAATAGGAGGTGGGAGGAGGTATTGCTGGGGCTTCAGGCCTGTTTCTACGGTGTTCCCGAGAATGTTTGAGGGAGAGGGAGGCATCTTTCCCATCTGCCCAGCCAGATCTAGCACAAATCCCAGTCTTCCAGGCCAACACTTTCCCTACAACAACAGTTCCCTGCCCAGAGACTCCTAAAGGCAGTGGCCTGTTGCAATCCCTTGTTAAGGCCTTAACCAGAGCCAGCATTAAACTTTTCAGGGAACTGTGAGAATGAGTTGTTAAACATAGCCGTTATTAAAAATAAAATTCCTGGCTGGGTGCACTTTGGGAGGCCAAGGTGGGTGGATCACTTGAGCTCAGGAGTTTGAGACCAGCCTGGGCAACATGGTGAAAACCCATCTTTACAAAAAATACAAAAATTAGCCAGGCATGGTGGCTCATGCCTATGGTCCCAGCTACTTGGAAGGCTAAGGTAAGAGGATTGCTTGAGCCCAGAAGGCAGAGGTTGCAGTAAGCTGAGATCTCACCACTGCACTCCAGCGTGGGCAACACAGTGAGAACCTGTCTCAGCAATAAATAAAATAAAATTTAAAAATTCCAAAAAAGTAAAGTATATATTAAAGGCAAAGATAATAAATACAAAAAACTCACCACTTCCTGATAATCGTGTTACATTTGTCCCTTCTCGAGGCTCTCCAGGTTAGTTAGGTCTGTCATATCTGTGTGGTGGAAACACTGCATAATGATGTACTTCTCTTTCCAACATTGCATTCTGTGGCCTCGCATTGGTAACTTGAAATACGTCGTGGTGGGAGAATTTACATCACAGAAATCAGCAAATACTACACATCAGGGCAGGGCTTTCAGAAAGCTGATTCTTAAGTATTTACTAGCACACCACTGCCAATGGGCAGAGTTTGTATTTTCTGGTACTTTTGACCTACTTTATGTTTTCTAATATTTATTTATTTATTTGAGACGAGGCCTCACTCTGTCACCCAGACTGGAGTGCTGTGGTGATCATAGCTCACTGCAGCCTGAAACTGCTGGGCTTAAGCAATCCACTGTCTTCAGCCTCCCAAGCAGCTAGGACTACTGGCACGTACCACCATGCCCCGCTATTTTTTTTTTTTTTACAGTTTTTTTAGAGAAGAGGATCTCACTCCATTGCCCAGTCTTGTCTCAAACTCCTGGCCTCAAGCGATCCTCCTGCCTCCCAAAGTGTGGCCCTTTTTTTGAGACAGAAAAAAAAAGTTCGATCTCGGTTCACGGCAACCTCTGCCTTCTGGGTTCAAGCAATTCTCCTGCCTTAGCCTCCCAAGTAGCTGGGATTACAGGTGTCTGCCACCACATCCAGCTAATTTTTGTATATTTATTTATTTATTTTTATTTTTTATTTATTTATTTTTTTGAGACGGAGTCTTGCTCTATCACCCAGGCTGGAGTACAGTGGCACGATCTCGGCTCACTGCAACCTCCGCCTCCTGGGTTCAAGCAGTTCTCCTGCCTCAGCCTCCCAAGTAGCTGGGATTACAGACACCCGCCGCCATGCCCGACTAATTTTTGTATTTTTTGTTTTAGTAGAGATGAGGTTTCACCATGTTGGCCAGGCTGGTCTCAAACTCCTGACCTCATGATCCACCCACCTTGGCCTCCCAAAGTGTTGGGATTACAGGCATGAGCCACCATGCCCGGTTAATTTTTGTATTTTTAGTAGAGATGGAGTTTCACCATGTTGGCCAGGCTGGTCTCCAATTCCTGACCTCAGGTGATCCATCCGCCTTGGCCTCCAGAAGTGCTGGGATTACAGGCGTGAACCACCGTGCCCAGCCCCCTGGCCCTTTTCTAATGTTTAATAGCATATCTGCCTATCTTACTTCTATCTGTGTAGCAAAATCACAGGCAATAAATGGTGACTGTGGCCTCAATTCATTAGTTGTTACTGTAGCTCCATCCTTATTCCAACAACATAATCGAGGGAAGAGGAGATTATCCGTCACCTGTCTTGAGGGGCAGGCTGTCGCCTTAGGATAGTCCCTTATGGGCATGGCCAGCCTGTCACAGGGGGGCACATTCACTCAGAATCTTAACTCCATGCTGATGATGGCTTGGTTTTAGGACCAGTGATTCTCATTTGCCTTATAAGTATCACCTAGGAAATTCTCATTCAGTAGAGGTAGGCTTGGGCCCCTGAAATCTGAACTTCAGAAAGCAAGAAGGGACTGTTCCTTGGAAATACTAACCAAGTGAAAAGAACACTTTTTAAATTCAAATCTCTGCTTCCCCATTTTCTGTCCATGTGACCTTGGGCAAGTCACTTAAACTCGTAGAGCTTTGGTTTCTTTATTATATAATGGAAAAAAGAAAAGCTATCTTGTTTTCATTTTACTTTTCATAATATCAAAACCTCTTAACCTACAGCTCTAACCATAGGAGAAAAGTGAAATCATGTATTGCATGTATTTATACTGTACTAAAATGTTTTTGAAAAACATACTTTCATTTACTCAGTTAATATCCCTGATGCAGTGACCCTGAAAGTTGCTGTTACAAGGCTTGTTTTGTATTTGAGGGATCTGAAATTTGGAGATTAGTAACTTGTCCAAGATCACTCAGATAATACACATGGCCAAAATTCTAACTCAAATATATTGCCTTCAAAATTATATAGCCATTAGGTTACTATATTCTTGGACTTCGCAGGTGCTAAGTCACCCACTCATTCAAGAGACACTTACGCACATCAGTGGGCCCCAGGGATTGCTATAGGTATTGGAGGTACAGCCCACATTACTCATGGGCTGCTGTCAACCATGAAGCCACTGGCCAGTCCCCCTCACTTATGCATGCAGCCCTCAGTTGACACCAAGTTGCCTCCCACATCCTTGTTTGCCTGAAACCCACCACCATGAGTGGTTCTAGCTAAGTCAACTGCTGCCCAGTTGGGTCCCCCAGTTTTATCCCTCAGATCCAAGATTCACAGAGCATAGTCTGGGTGCAGAGACCTCCTGGCAGAAGGAGATACTGGAATATTGAGATGTACCTTCTTGGCTCTAGTTAGTTACATTTGGGGAAACTTCAGATGCTCCCCATCCTGATGCACAGATTATAGCTCTAACTGCTCTCAGAAGAACAGCAAATTAGAGAGCATACCAAGAGTTTATACTTTTTAAAAGCTTAAATCTGATTTCAAAACAATTCCTGTTTACTAAAGACTTGCTAGAAAATAGGGATAATGAAATTTACCCACCAATCCCAACACTCAGATCAACAATAATTGCTGTCAACATTTTAGTGAACATCGTTCTGATTTTGTAAAGCACAGATATTAAGATTTTGTAACCTTTATCTCTGGCACCTGCTTCTAAAATCAGCTTTGCAAGTGAGAAGAAAAGAATAACCACTATATCGTTTAAAAGACAATTCTGCTCCTTTATCCGTTCATGCAACAAATATTTGAGTGTGTAGTATATGCCAGTCACAGTTTTAGGTGCTGGGGAGCAGCAGTGCACAAAACTCAATGGCCTTCATGGAGTCTAGAGTTTTGTCAGGGAGAGAGAGACACTGAACAAATAAATAAATACACATAAGTGCACAATTTATGACACGTTTCAAGAGGAAATGAACAAGGTGAAGGAAGTGAATGGGATGGGGAGAGATACTTTGGGACTAGAACTTACTTAGGTCAGGGAGAATATTTCTGAGACTGTGACGCTCACATAAACATAATGTTCTAGATTATAGCAGCCTGGTATAAGTCAAAAGTCACTGTGGATGAATAAACATTTGTCACTTAAGTCCGTGTTTCAATTTTGTTATTAATTGATATGGACAGATCTTGCCACTGCATTCTAGCCTGGGCAACAGAGCAAGACTCGGTCTCAAAAAAAAAAAGAAAAGAAAATAATATTATAAAGAAATGTTGCTTTACATAGTCCCCATAAATACACCATAATCAAATACAATCAATTACACAGTATTTGAACCTGTTTTAGTCCCTGGTGGAAAGTCTGAGGTAAAAGAAAAAAATATGGGCTTTAGTGTTATATAACATCCAGATGCCAATTTTTTTCTTTTTTGGCCTGATACTAGCTGTTGATTTAGAAAAGCTATTTAATCCCTTTGAGCTTTACTTTCCTTGATTATAGGAAAAAAAAAAAGGCATAAATAGAGTGAAAAAAGTTAACCTTCTTGATGCCAGAGAAATAGAGTAGCGCTTGGTGGTGGATGGGTTTTTCTTTCAACTCAATAGGGCTCTGTTAGTAACAGAAACCCCGCATGGAGGTTTCTCCAGTGCCTGGAGAAACCTGGGTAACCGACTCAGCAGGTTGAAGCCTTATCACTGTGGCTTTTCTTTTTAAGATATGGAAACTTCCGGTTTCCTTTTGTGCCTCTTTTATTTCACTTACTTTATTGCATCACAAGCTATGTGGTAGTGGTTTCATTTTTACCATGTGAACTGGATTATCCCACTGCAAATCTCCCTTGAGTTCTTGGAAAAATATCTAACATTGATAAGAAACAGGAAAATTTTAAGAAAATACCCAACTAAGGAACTATTGAATGTTTGACATAGTTTGCAGAGGCTTTAGGAGATCTTAACAGGTTCTTTTTTTCTTTCTTTTCTTTTCTTTTGAGACAGGGTCTCCCTCTGTCATCCAGGCTGGAGTATAGTGGCACAATCCCGGGTCACTGCAACCTCCACCTCCAGGGTTCAAGCGATTCTCCCGCCTCAGCCTCCTGAGTCGCTGGAATTACAGTGTGCGCCACCACAGCCTGGCTAATTCTTGTACTTTTAGTAGAGACGGGGTTTCACCATTTTGGTCAGGCTGATTTCAAACTGCTGACCTCAGGTGATCTGCCCACCTTGGCCTCCCAAAGTGCCGGGATTACAGGCCTGAGTCACCTCCCCTGGCAACAGTTTCTTTCTTTCTTTTTTACTTTCTCTCTTTCTTTCTTTCTTTCTTTCTTTCTTTCTTTCTTTCTTTCTTTCTTTCTTTCTTTCTTTCTTTCTTTCTCTTTCTTTCTTTCCTTCTTTCTTTCTTTCTTTCCTTCCTTTTTTCCTTCCTTCCTTTCTCTTTCTTCCCTCTTTCTTTCCCTCCCTCCCTCCCTTCCTTCCTTCTTTCTTTTTTATTTTTGAGACAGAGTTTAGCTCTGTCACCCAGGTTAGAGTGCAGTGGCGTGATCTTGGCTCACTGCAACCTGCACCTCCTGGATTCAAGCGATTCTCCTACCTCAGCCTCCTGAGTAGCTGGGATTACAAGCGCCTGCCACCATGCCCCACTAATTTTTTTTCTTTTAGTAGAGATGGGGTTTCACCATGTTGGACAAGTTTGTCTTGGACTTCTGACCTCTAGTGATCTGCCTGCCTCGGCCTCCCAAAGTGCTGGGATTACAGGTGTGAGCCACCATGCCCAGCTAACAGTTTCTTTAGAAAGGTCAGTTTAAAGGCCTGTTTTTGTGTCTCAGGGAACTACATGGAGTGTTTGTTTTTTAATACACTGGGACAAAGAAGAGCAAGCCTAGTGTTTAATGTCCTGAGCCTTTAGCTATGTGGCTGCCCAGGCGGGCTTTTCTTTTCCTAACCCAGCTGGATTGCCATAGACCAACGAGAAGTGGCTTGACCCAGGAAGAAAACATGGGTTCTATCCCCAGGAGTGGAGTCAGAGTATTTCCCAGATGCTGGTCCCCATCCAACTAGAGGCTGTTTCCTCTGCCTTGCAACCACTGGCAGGTACAGGCACTTCTGCCCACAAGACAGTCTGGCAGCAGTAGCATTTCCTAAGAGATCCAGTGACAGATGGCTCTGACAGGATACAACAGCCTGCAGAGGAAAGAAACACGGGACAGCAATCTCTCTTGTCTCTTGTCTCTTCCAAGGACACTTTTCTTCCTTTCTTATTCTGAAGAAAAGAAGACATGAGTTAGTACTAAATGTGGCAGGAATAGTGGGCCAGGCGCGGTGGCTCACTCCTGTAGTCCTAGCACTTTGAGAGGCCAAGTGGGGAGGATTGCTTGAGCCCAGGAGTTCAAGACCAGCCTGGGCAACATAGGGAGACGCTGTATCTACAAATAAATAAATAAATAAATAAAATTAGCTGGGCATGGTGGCATCCACCTGTAGTGCCAACTACTCTTGAGGCCGAGATGAGGGGATGGATCACTTAAGCCTGGGAGCTCCAGACTGCACTGCACTCCAGCCTGGGCAACAGAGTCAGACCCCATCTCAAACAAACAAACAAACAAAATAATAGAAATGAGTAATGCTGTACTTGTATGAGTGACTGTGCATCTGAATTCATGGAATTATTGGGGTCTAAGTTCATAGAACTCATTACTAAAGAGGGGATCACAGTTGAAAATCACATGTAAGTAAATTAATAAAAGTCTCTGAAATCTAAGTCAAAAATTAATATGGAAGCAAGCATAGAAAAAAAGCATCCACTTGGTCTGCATGGAGAAAAGTGCTTAACTCCAGCAATAACTGGATTTGATGAGATGTTTTTCATGTGGTAAAACATACTCTTTAGCGCTGTGCGTTATGGCTCATGCCTGTAATTTTAGCACGTTGGGAGGCTGAGGCAGAAGGATCCCTTGAGCCCAGGAGTTCGAGGCCAGCCTGGGCAACATAGGTAGACCTTGTCTCTATAAAAATAAAATAATAAAATAAAATGAAATAAAATGAAAAAAGAAGACCATATCCTTTTCAGAAAATTAAATACAAAGAGTAGGTGTGGTGGATCATGCCTATAATCCCAGCACTTTGGGAAGCCAAGACTGGAAGATCTCTTGAGCTCTAGAGTTTGATACCAGCCTGGGAAACATGGAGACAATCTGTCTCTACATAAAATACAAAAACTAGCCAGGTATGGAGGCTCGCTACTTGGGAGGCTGACGGGGGAGGACCGCTTGAACCCAGGAGTTTAAAGCTGCAGTGAGCTGTGTTCACACCATTGCACTCCAGCCTGGGTGACAGAGTGAAACTCTGTTTCAAAAAAAGAGAGAAAGAAAAGTAAATTAAAAAGTAAATCTAGAATTCCATGAATTATTGGCACACATCCAGTGATGGTCTTCAGTAATGGTTCTCATGCTTTAGCTAAAACCATTTATAAATGCTAAACCTTGTTTTAAAAAAAATACAGATTCCTGAATCGCACTTCTAGATATTCTGATGAAGTAATTCTAAGGGTGCAGCCCAGAAATCTATATTTTAGTAAGCTCACCAAATACTTCTGACTCACGAATCAGTTCCCTGGACCAACTTTAGAAACTATAGTCTCCCAAAAACAGAAAGAAAACTTACTTGGGAATACACAAAGCCAAACTGCAAGAACATTAGTGTCAGATTCCAAAATCCAATGTTCACACTTTAAAACATTTGCCTATGGGCACTGGTACATGACTTTCAGTCTCACTGATTCTTCATGGTCTCCATAGCAACAACGGCTTAGAAAAAGAAATCACAGAGGAAATAAGAAAATTGTTAATGCTACTTCTTTTTTTTTTTCTTTGAGATGGAGTTTCGCTCTGTCGCCCAAGCTGGAGTGCAGTGGCGTGATCTTGGTTCAGTGCAACCTCTGCCTCCTGGGTTTAAGTGATTCTCGTGCCTCAGACTCCCGAGTAGCTGGGATTACAGGTGCGTACCACCACACCTGGCTAATTTTTGTATTTTCAGTAGAGACGGGGTTTTGCCATGTTGGCCAGGCTGGTCTCGAACTCCTGGTCTCAAGTGATCCCCCTGGCTTAGCCTCCCAAAGTGCTGAGATTACAGACAGGTGTGAGCCACCACACCTGGCCAAAATAATGAAGTGTTTCATAATGATGATTTCTTACGCTAGATAAAATATTCTATTACTACCTGTATCCTAGGGTTTTGTGGGTGTTAACTGAGCCAATATACCTAAAATGCTTAGAACTATAAGTGGCTAATATTAATATTAATCACTTAATAAATGTAATATGTTAGCTGGGCATGGTGGCATGTATGTAGCTCCAGCTACTCTGGAGGCTATGGCAGGAGGATCACTTGAGCCCAAGAGTCTTAGGCCACAGTGACCTATGATTGTGCTTGTAAACAACCACTGCACTCCAGCCTGGGCATCATAGTAGACCCTGTCTCTAAAATATATATGTGTGTGTGTGTGTGTGTGTGTGTGTGTGTGTGTGTGTGTGTGTGTATGTGTATATGTGTGTGTATGTGTATATACGTGTGTATATATGTAAATATACATATATATGTGATATACATATAAACTTAGATCTCTTCATATATGTTACATACAATGTAATATGTATATATGTGTTATATATAATATACATGTTTACATATTACACATGTTTATATATTGTTACATAAAATATATATCAGATGTAACACATGTAAATATGATATAACATATGTAACATAAATATGATATATACATATGATGTATACATATATGTAACATATAAAAATAGAGATCTATATTTACATATATTACATATAAATTATATTATATATAATATAAATATGTAGTATAATACATATTATATATTACATATAAATTATATGTAACATATGTATAAATAGAGATCTATATTTATAATCTAATAGTATTCTAATCTGTGGATAGATTACAAATTAAGTAGTCCCCTCCTCACATTGGAACTGTAGATTGCTTCTAACTTTCCTACATATATGGCATTGAAAATTCCTGTATGTACCTTCATGTGCATCTCTAATTCAGATAGATTTCTAGTAATGGAATTACTAGATCAAAAAGCATGAACAAGTTTAAGGGATGGACCTATAATCACAATGATTAGAAAGTCAGTCAAATCTGTGTTGGAATCACCACTTATTCTATGACCTTGGTCATTTTGCTTAATTTTCTCAATTTTCATATCCATAAAATGGGGATAACAACAACATTCACAGGCATATTGTGATGTAATTAGACACAACACAATACTGTCACACAGTATGTTCAAAGTAAATGTAAGCTGTTTTTATGAGGACATTTGAAACAGCAGGGCATTGCTTCATCCTAGCATTGGGTGAGAAAGCATTGGACAGTTTTCAACAGTGACTCCATGTGGCCATAATAGAAATAGCAGTGGCAGAAAACACGTGTTGTCAGAAATGACCAGATTTATCAGTTCTTTCTTTGGTGTTTGTTAACAGGACTGTCCATTTGGATGGCCAAAGCCTGTGCCCGAGATTCTTTTTTTTTTTTTTTTTTTTGAGACAGAGTTTCACTCTTGTCGCCCAGCCTGGAGTGCAACGGCAAAATCTCGGCTCACCGCAACTTCTGCCTCCCAGGTTCAAGCGATTCTCCTGCCTCAGCCTCCCGAATAGCTGGGATTACAGGCATGTGCCACCATACTTGGCTAATTTTGTATTTTTAGTAGAGATGAGGTCTCTCTATGTTGGTCAGGCTGGTTGCCAACCCCCAACCTCAGATGATCTGCCCGCCTTGGCCTCCTAAAGTGCTGGGATTACAGGCGTGAGCCACCGTGTCAGGCCATGAGATTCTTGAATAATTTGATACAGACAAAGTTCAGGAAAGAGATAATGGGCCCTGCTAATCTTTTTTTTTTTTTTTTTTTAAGATGGAGTCTCTTTCTGTTGCCCAGGATGGAGTGCAGTGGTGTGATTTCAGCTCACTACAACCTCTGCCTCCCATGTTCAAGCGATTCTCCTGCCTCAGCCTCCCAAGTAGCTGGAATTACAGGTGTGTGCCACCACGCCTGGCTAATTTTTGTATTTTTAGTAGAGACAGGGTTTCACTATGTTGGCCAGGCTGGTCTCGAATTCCTGACCTCAGGTGATCCACCCACCTCAGCCTCCCAAAGTGCTGGGATTACAGCTTGAGCCACAGTGACCAACCTGTATCTTTTAATATATTGCATGTATAATATATTGCACATGTAATATACTGTGACACACACACACACACGTGAAGCAGCTTGTAATGATTTCTAAGGAAACAACATAACAACAGTCTATCTCTCTGCATAATATAACCATGAGGAGTCACTTTGGCAATTTTATTTGTATCTTATATTTCCCAGCAAAATCTAAGAGTGAATCTTAGTGAATGGTTGGGATTGGCATGCTGATGTAGTTCATGAAAGTCCTCCTGGCTTGACCTGCTAGAGAAGTTGGGAGGCCCAGAATTTAGAAATACAACCAGAAGTGATTACATAACAAGCATGTTGACTACATTAAACAACTGGCTTGTCAGATGATGAATATACACATTTCACTCATTTTAGTTCAGAAAACATGTCAATCTTAAGCAATTCCATGGTTTCTACAATCCACTCATAAAGATTAAATGAAAGAAAATATGATTTTAAAATAAGCTTTTGGCCAGGCATGGTGCCTTCCGCTTATAATCCCACCACTTTGGGAGGCCGAGGCAGGTGGATCGCTTGAGGCCAGGAGTTCCAGACCAGCCTGGCCAACATGGGGAAACCCTGCCTTTACTAAAAATACAAAAATTAGCTAAGTATGGTGGTGCACACCTGTAGTCCAGGTATTTGGGAGGCTGAAGGATGAGAATCACTTGAACCCAGGGAGCAGGGGTTGCAGTGAGCCTAGATTTGTGCCACTGCACTCCAGCCTGGGCAACAGAGCGTGACACCATCTCAAAAAAAAAAAAAAAGAAAAGAAAAGAAAAGAAAAGAAAAAGAAAAAGACATTAAATTTCTTTCCTAATGACAGGTGGTAGGCTCCTAGTAGAGGGAGGACTAGAACCCACTTCTTCTGATTCCCTTCTTCTGATTCCCAGGCCAGTGCCTTTTATACTATACCTTGAAGATCCCCTGATCTTTACTTAATACTTAGGGATTATCCTTTTTCAAGATGCTAGGCTAAGCCACAAGGAACAGAACTATGAAATTTTCTCCTTGGACTTAAGCAATGAATAAATGAATGGAATTAATATAAACATATATTTTGGCTTCCCTAATGTATAAGTAAATCTTTCTACATGTATTGGTCTAAAGCCAGTGAAAGAGGTTTGTGAGCTTTCCTTTTAAGTGTGAACTGAATGGCTGTGTGAAGTCAACTGTTTGGTTACTAAGGGCAATTTATCCATAGGAGTTTCTCCTTATTTAGACAACATAATGTTCATGGAAGTTGATCATACAAATTGGATCATCCTTGTTATATCCAATTAAAGATGGAGAAGCAAGGAGTGAAAAAGCACTCAGGGTACAAAACATTGCTCCAAGAATGCAATTCTCTGCAAACCTGGCTGCTGTAACTGCCTGTTTTTCAAATTGAAGGACACCCGGCCTGTGTGCTCGAATTGCAATTTTTGCTTCCCAAATAAGACTTTTTAAACGTAGAAATTCATCTCTATATTTTATTTGACTTTGACATGTTCAATCATTCATTGAACACTCAGGCATTTGACAAAGGAGATCAAGAAGTCCTGGCTGGGTGCGGTGGCTCATGCCTGTAGTCCCAGCTCTCTGGGAGGCCGAGGAAGGAGTTTGAGACCAGCCTGACCAACATGGTGAAACCCCATCTCTACTAAAAATACAAAAATTAGCTGGGTGTGGTGGCATGCACCTGTAATCCTAGCTACTTGGGAGGCTGAGGCAGGAGAATTGCTTGAACCCAGGAGGCAGAGGTTGCAGTGAGCCAAGATCAAGCCATTGCATTCCAGCCTGAGTGACAAGAGCGAAAATCTGTCTAAAAACAAAAACAAAAAATAGAAGAAGCCCCCAGCATTAGAGCTGTGCATCTCACATAAGAGCTCAGGAATCTCTGCAGTCAGGGCTGGGGGAAGGCATGAGAGTGGAGGACTTTCAATTTTACTCAGCCAATTTGAGGAGAAATGTGAAGTAATTTAACTGTATAGTTAGGGAAAGTGTCATTGTTATACTGTAACAAACATAGAAGTAATGGAGAAAATGCAAAACTTTCATGATTTTAAAAATAAAAGACACAGTTTCATAGAATTTGCAAGATTGTGATAGTTCATGTGTTTCAAAACTGTCCTGTAGCTGGGACGACAGGCATGTACCACTGCTCTTGGCTAATTTTTGTATTTTTGGTAGAAAGACGAGGTTTTGCCACGTGGCCCAGCCTGGTCTCAAACTCCTGGGCTCAAGCAATTGACCTGCTTTTGCCTCCCAAAGTGCTGGGATTACAGGCGTGAGCTACTGTGCCTGGCCCAATATATTTACTTATTTATGTATTTAGCTTTTATGTTTATTTATTTATTTTGGAGACAGGGCCTCACTCTGTCATCCAGGCTGGAGTGCAGTGGCGCAATCTCAGCTCACTGCAACCTTCGCCTCTGGGGCTCAAGTGATTCTCCTGTCTCAGCCTCCCAAGTGGCTTAGACTACAGATGTGTGCCACCACACCTGGCTAATTTTTATATTTTCAATGGAGATGGGGTTTCACCATGTTGACCAAGCTGGTCTCAAACTCTTGACCTGAAGTGATCTGCCTGCCTCAGCCTCCCAAAGTGTTGGGATTACAGGCGTGAACCACTGCACCTGGCCCAATATATTTATGTATTTATTTATTTTTGTTTTTGAGGCAGAGTCTTAGTTTGTTGCCCAGGCTGTAGTGCAGTGGCACGATCTCAGCTCATTGCAACCTCCGTCTTCTGGGTTCAAGCAATTCTCCCGCCTCAGCCTCCTGAGTAGCTGGGATTACAGGCACATGCCATGATGCCCAGCTATTTTTTGTATTTTTAGTAGATACAGAGTTTCACCATGTTGGCCAGGCTGGTTTCAAACTCCTGACCTCAAGTGATCCATCCTCCTCTGCCTCCCAAAGTGCTGGGATTCCAGCTGTGAGCCACTGTGTCCGGCCTTATATTTATTTTTAATGGCAAAAATATATTGATACATGCTCGTTATAAAATATTTATAATTCAGACTTATATGGAGTAAAAAATTTAAAGTCTTCCCACGCCACAAGTACTCTCTAGACAAGTGCATCCCTCCTTAGAATAGGGAAGAGAGTTCTGTAACATGTCTTTACGAAAGTTTATGTAGTGAATCACTTATGTTTAAGTTGTTTCCATTCTTCTGCCATCACAAAAAAATGCTGCAGTGAACATCCTTCTACATATGACATTGCATGCTTGTGAAAGTCTGTCTATAAGGTGAATTCCTAGAAATGGAAATGTTAGATAAAAGGCATGAATATGCATTTAAAATTTACATGATTTAGAGGCTGGGTGAGGTGGCTCACACCTGTAATCTCAGCACCTTAGGAGGCCAAGGTGGGAGGATTGCTTGAGCCCAGGAGTTCAAGACCACCCTGGGCAACGCAGGCGAAACCCCATCTTTACCAAAAATGCGAAGATTAGCCGGATGTGGTGGCCTGTGCCTGTTGTCCCAGCTACTCAGGAGGCTGAGGTGGGAGGATCACTTGAGTCTGGGATGGAGAGGTTGTAGTGAGCCGAGATTGTGCCGCTGCACTTCAGCCTGGGGACAGAGGCAGACCCTGTCTTAAAAAAGACCTAGCTGGGCATGGTGGCAGGCACCTGTAATCCCAGCTACTTGGGAGGCTGAAGCAGGAGAATTGCTTGAACCCAGGAGGAGAAGGTTGCAGTGAGCCGAGATTGTGCCGCTGCACTCCAGCCTGGGTGACAGAGCAAAACACTCTCAAAAAAACAAAACAAAAACGAAATTTACATGATTTTCAGTTGGATTCCTAGTATATCACATGACAAATGGTCCCAAGTAGGCCATGCGCAGTGGCTCACGCCTGTAATCCCAGCACTCTGGGAGGCCGAGGCGGGTGGATCACCTGAGGTCAGGAGCCTGGCCAACATGGTGAAACTCCATCTATACTAAAAATATAAAAATTAGCTGGGCATGGTGGCAGGTGCCTGTAATACCAGCTACCTGGGAGGCTGAGGCAGGAAAATTGCTTGAACCCGGGAGGTGGAGGTTGCATGAGCCAAGATCACGCCACTGCACTCCAGCCTAGGCAACAGAGCAAGACTCTGTCTCAAAAAAAAAAAAAAAAAAAATGGTCCCAAGTAAAATAACTGTTGCAATAGCCTTCAGGAAATCATAACAAGCAGCAGTTGAACCTGAACTTTAAATTTTTATTATAGACTACAACCCTGTTGAGTATGTGCCATACAAAAATGGACTCTGTTTAAAAAGAAGATGAGAGGAAGTCCTATGATGCTATGCCATCGGGTGGAATTTCCTTGGGCAAATACTTTACTGTTATGATGAACTGTCAGTGATTCGTTTAACAAATATACCACCTGCCTACATCATCCCATTTAGGCCTTATATCAAGTCCATTTCCTCTACTTGGGAACTAGACTCCATCCCTCTCCAAGACTTACACAAGGACATAGCTCAGCAGCTTTCTCTTCTCTCTTCCATATCACTTATTTTCTATTTATTCTGGATAATTTTGATCAACATACAAACATGGTGTTTCTTCACACCCCATTTCTCTATTCAACTTTATAGTAAAATCCCTAAAATCATTTTCAGTGCTCTGTTTTAATTTCTGTCTTTTCATTTGTATTTGAATCTACTCCAGTAAGGTTTAAATGCCCATTTCTCCATTGAAAATGTTCTCATTAAGAACATCACACCCAGGAACTGATTCAGAGCAAGAGGACAGCTTCAACTCCCTATGATTTCATCTCCTACCTAGCCAATCAGCACTCCTGGCCCACTGGCTTCCCCCCACCCAGCAAGTTGTCCTTAAAAACTCTGATCCCCAAATGCTTGGGGAGACTGATTTGAGTAATAATAAAACTTCAGTCTCCTGCACAACAAAAACAAACAAACAAAACATCAGACGCTGCGGGCGGTGGCTCATACCTGTAATCCCAGCACTTTGGGAGGCTGAGGCGGGAAGATCACTTGAAGCCAGGAGTTGGAGACCAGCCTGGGCAACATGGTGAGACCCATCTCTACAAAAAATTTATTTATTTATTTTTTAGAAAGAACATCAGTGACCTCTATATTTCTTTTTTTCCAAATAAATTTTATTGTGTATATTTGAAGTTTACAACATGATGTTATAGGATGCATATAGACAGTGAAATGGTTACTACAGTGAAGCAAATCAACATACCTACCATCTCACAGTTACTTTTTTATGACAAGAGCAGCTAAAATCTGCTTAGTTAACAAAAGTCCCTAATACAATACAATTTTACTAACTGCAGTGTTTGTTGTACATTAGATCTCTAGTTCATCCTACATATCTGCTTGTTTGTATCTGTTTTTTTTTTTCCTTTTTTTTTTTTTTGAGTCTCTTTCTCTGTCGCCCAGGTTGGAGTGCAGTGGTGCGATCTCGGCTCACTGCAACCTCCACCTCCTGGGTTCAAGCCATTCTCCTGCCTCAGCCTCCCAAATAACTGGGACTACAGGCATGTGCCACCATGCCTGGCTAATTTTTTGTATTTTTAGTCAAGATGGGGTTTCACCAGTTGGCCAGGCTGGTCTCGAACTCCTCACTTCAAGTGATCCACCCGCCTCAGCTTCCCAAAGTTCTGGGATTACAGGCATTAGCCATTCCCTGCCCCCGGCCTGCTTGTTTGTATCTTTTGACCTACATCGCCCCATTTCCTCCCCACCCCAATCTCTACATTTCTTGCATCAATTTCTCTATAGCACTTATCACTACTGACATACTACATATTTTACTTGGATTTGTTTATTGAATTTCTCTCTTCACTATAGGTTAGGCTCTATAAAAGGAAGGATTTTTTTGTTTTTTTTTGTCACCATTGTATTCCCAGAATCTACAGCATTGCCAATAGTAATAAATTTGTCACTGTTGTTGAGACAGGGTTTCGCCCTGTTGCCCAGGCTGAAGCGTAGTTCCATGATCTTGTCTTACTGCAACCTCCACCTTCCTGGCTCAGGTGATTTTCCTGCATCAGCTTCCCGAGTAGCTGGGACCAGAAGCATGCACCATCATGCTGGGCTAATTTTTGTAGTTTTGGTAGAGACGAGGTTTCATCACCATGTTGCCCAGGCCAGTCTCAAACACCTGGGCTCAGGTGATCTACCCAATGTGGCTTCCCAAAGTGCCTGGGTTACAGGCATGAGCCACCACGCTTGCCTGATAAATGAGTAATAGTTGTCCAATATATAGTTAAATGAATTAATTTATGCTTATATTCTACTTGAGGAAAGACAAACTAAAGAGCTTCTGCACAGCAAAAGAAACAACCATCAGAGTGAACAGGCAACCTACAGAATGGGAGAAAATTTTTGCAATCTACTCATCTGACAAAGGGCTAATATCCAGAATCTACAATGAACTCAAACAAATTTACAAGAAAAAAACAAACAACCTCATCAAAAAATGGGCGAAGGATATGAACATACACTTCTCAAAAGAAGACATTTATGCAGCCAAAAGACACATGAAAAAATGCTCATAATCACTGGCCATCAGAGAAATGCAAATCAAAACCACAATGAGATACCATCTCACACCAGTTAGAATGGTGATCATTTAAAAAGTCAGGAAACAACAGGTGTTGGAGAGGATGTGGAGAAATAGGAACACTTTTACACTGTTGGTAGGACTGTAAACTAGTTCAACCACTGTGGAAGTCAGTGTGGCAATTCCTCAGGGATCTAGAACTAGAAATACCATTTGACCCAGCAATCCCATTACTGGGTATATACCCAAAGGATTATAAATCATGCTGCTATAAAGACACATGCACACGTATGTTTATTGAGGCACTATTCACAATAGCAAAGACTTGGAACCAACCCAAATGTCCAACAATGATGGATTGGATTAAGAAAATGTGGCACATATACACCATGGAATACTATGCAGCCATAAAAATGATGAGTTCATGTCCTTTGTAGGGACATGGATGAAGCTGGAAACCATCATTCTCAGCAAACTATTGCAAGGACAAAAAACCAAACACTGCATGTTCTCACTCATAGGTGGGAATTGAACAATGAGAACACATGGACACAGGAAGGGGAACATCACACACCAGGGCCTGTTGTGGGGTGGGGGGAGGGGGGAGGGATAGCAATAGGAGATATGCCTAAGGTTAAATGACGGGTTAATGAGTGCAGCACACCAACATGGCACATGTATACATATGTAACTAACCTGCACATTGTGCACATGTACCCTAAAACTTAAAGTATAATAATAATAATAATAATATATATATATATATATAGAATGTCATAGTAACACATTCTATGGAAAAAGAGCAGTTAGGAGAATGGAGAATATCATGCCATGCTTAGAGGTAAAAGGGTTGCTATTTTATAGGGTGATCAGAAAATGCTTCTCTAATAAGGCAACATTTGAACAGAAGCCTGAAGGAAGAAAGGGAGTAAGCCATATAGGAGAGTACACGTCCAGGAAGGGAATACAGTAAGCGCTAATATCCTGAGGTGGAAATTTTCTTGGATGTTTGAGAAATAGAAAGGAGATTAGTATAGCAAAAGCCAAGTAGTTGAGGCAGAGAGTGCCAGGAAATGTGCTAGAAAGGATGTAGGAAGCATGTTCACATTTGGTTTTGCAAGCGTTTAGCTTTTAAGCCTGGGTAACATGACAAGACCCCATCTCTACAAAAAATTCAAAAATTAGCTGAGTGTGGTGGTGCACATCTGTAGTTCCAGCTACTTGGGAGGCTGAGGTGGGAGAATTGCATGAGCCCAGGAGCTGGAGGCTCCAGTGAGCTAAGATTGCACCACTGCACTCCAGCCTGGATGACAGAGGGAAACGCTGTCTCAAAAAAAAAAAATATATATATATATATATAGAATTTATCTTTTACTCAAGTATGAAAGAAGCCCCTGGAAGATATAAAAAAGAAGTGTAGCATGATCACAACACTCTAGCCAGTGTGCTGAGACTAGAATGTAAGGAGCTTGGAATAGAGATGCAAACAAGTTAAGAGGTTATGGCAAAAATATAAGTAAGCAGAATGCAGCAACATATAAAAAAGGCCCATATCATGACCAATTGGGATTAATCCCAGGAAGGCAAGGTTGGTTTAACATCTGAAAATTAACCAATATAATTTTATTAACAGAATAAAGGACAAAACCATATGATCATCTCAATGTAAGCTGAAAATATTGACAAAATTTCATGATAAAAATTATTAACAAACAGAATGGAAGGAACTTCTTCAACCTGGCAAAGGGCATCTACAGATCATCCCAGCTAACATACATAATGGTGAAAGGCTGAATGCTTTTCTTTTAAGGTCAGGTACAATACAAGGAGCTGCATTCCAACCACTTCTATTCAACATTGTACTAGAGGTGCTAGCCAAGGTAATTACGCAAGAAAGTGAAACAAAAGCTTCCAGATTAGAAAAGAAAAAATAAAACTATCTTTATTTGCAGATGACATGATCGGTCCATTCTCATGCTGCTTATAAAGACATACCCAAGACTGGATAATTTATAAAGGAAAGAGGTTTGGCTCACAGTTCCCCATGGGTGGAGAGGCCTCACAATCATGGCGAAAGAGCAAGGAGCATCTCACATGGCAGCAGGCAAGAAAAGAATGAGAGCCACGCCAGAGGGAAACCCCTTATAAAATCATCAGATCTCGAGAGACTTATTCACTGTCAGGAGAACAGTATGGAGGAAACGCCCTTATGATTCAATTATCTCCCACTGTGTTCCTCCCACAACACATGGGAATTATGGGAGCTACAATTCAAGATGAGATTTGGGTGGAGACACAGCCAAACCATATCAATCTTTTTTTTCTTATTCTTTTTTTTTTTTTTTTTTTTTTTGAGATGGAGTCCCACTCTGTTATCTAGGCTGGAGTGCAGTGGTGTGTGATCTTGGCTCACTGCAACCTCAGCCTCCCAGGTTCAAGCGATTCTCCTGCCTCAGACTCCTGAATAGCTGAAATTACAGGCACCTGCCACTACGCCTGGCAAATATTTTTTGTTTGTTTGTTTGTTTGTTTGTTTGTTTTGAGACAGAGTCTCTCTCTGTCGCCCAGGCTGGAGTGCAGTGGCGCGATCTCAGCTCACTGCAAACTCTGCCTCCCGGGTTCAAGCCATTCTCCTGCCTCAGCCTCCCAAGTAGCTGGGACTACAGGCGCCCACCACCACCATGCCAGGCTAATTTTTTGTATTTTTAGTAGAGACAGGGTTTCACCGTGTTAGCCAGGATGGTCTCAATCTCCTGACCTCGTGATCCGCCCACCTCGGCCTCCCAAAGTGCTGGGATTACAGGCGTGAGCCACTATGCCCAACCGTATCAATCTTGTATATAGAAAAACCTAAGGAATCTACAAAAAAACCCTATTATAACTAATATAATAATAATCTGCAAAGTTGTAGACTATGAGATCAATATACAAAAATTAACTCAATTTCTTTACATGTACAATGAATAACCCCAAAACAAAACTGGGAATATAATTCTATTTTTAATAGTATCACAAAGAATGACAATACTTAGAAACAAATGATGGGCGCTAGCTTGCACTCCCGCCCTGCCTGTGCGCTGCCCGAGTGTGGAGCTGCTATGCTGCGAAGGCTCGAGGACCCGCAGACGCCAGGGGATCAGCGCGTCCTGCAGAGCTTGCTCCCCTTGGAGTAGCGCTGCGTGCACTGCGCCTACTTCCAGTGCGTGCAAAGGGAGAGCAAGCCGCACATGCGGAAGATGCTGGTTTACTGGATGCTGGAGGTGTGTGAGGAGCAGTGCTGTGAGGAGGAGCAGTGCTGTAAGGAGGAAGTCTTTCCCCTGGCCATGAACCACCTGCATGCTACCTGTCCTACGTCCCCACCCACCCGAAAGGCACAGTTGCAGCTCTTGGTTGCGGTCTCCATGCGGCTGGCCTCCAAGCTGCGTAAGACTGGGCCCATGACCATTGAGAAAATGTGCATCTACACCGACCACGCTGTCTCTCCCTGCCAGTTGCGGGACTGGGAGGTGATGGTCCTGGGGAAGCTCAAATGGGACCTGGCCGCTGTGATTGCTCATGACTTCTTGGCCCTCATTCTGCACCGACCGACAGGCCTTGGTCAAAAAGCATGCCCAGATCTTTTTGGCTGTCTGTGCTACAGATTACACCTTTGCCATGTACCCACCATCCAGTTGTGAAAACAACCCAAATGCCTGTTAACTGATGAACAGATAACCATATGTGAGATATATCAATACAATGGAATATGGCCTGGCATGCTGGCTCACGCCTGTAATCCTGCACTTTGGGAGGCCAAAGTGGGAGGATCACTTGAGCCGAGGAGTTCAAGGCCAGCCTGGGCCACAAAGTGAGACTCCTTCTAAAAAAATAAAATAAAATAAAAAATAAAAACAATGTAATATTATTCAGCCATAGAAAGGAATAAAGTACTAAACACACTATAACATGGATGAACTTTGAAACTATTATGCTAAATGAAAGATGCTAATCATGAAAGACCACATATGGTATGATTTCAATTATATGAGATGTCCAAAATAGGCAATTCCATAGAGACAGAGAGTAGATAAGCAGTTGCTCAGGGCTGGAGGGAATGGGGTCATTGTGGGTGGGTGGTAACAGCTAAAGGACACAGGGTTTCTTTTGGAGTTGTTGAAAATGTCTTAAAAATGATTGTGGTGGTTTTTGCACAACTCTGAATATACTAAAAACCACTGAATGTAGTACACCTGGGGACCCTGGTTCTCTGCCCTTTCTCTGGCCACTCCTTCCCTGTGTGCCATCCCTCCCGCAGTCTGCAGCCTCTGCTGCTCCTTAGTCCACTGTTCTTGGCCATCTCTTCCACCTGTGACCACTCTCTCCTCATTCCCTCTGGGATGAGCTCACTCCTTCCTTTGGTACCAATTACTATCTATGGCAGTGGGTCTTGACTTTGGACAGACCCTCTAGAGACTCTGAGTGATTGATCTGGGTGCAGCCTGGCCATAGAGCATTCTGAAAGCTCCTCAGGGCATTCTAATGTAGACCACTGGACAGTAAAGCGTTAGTTTGCTCAGCAGCCTTGGGTCACTCCAACCCTGCACATTCCAAAAAAAGGACTGGCCCTTGACCACCTCTGGGGAGATAACTTCTGAGCACTTTGAATCTTCTGCCTTCATTTTTATTTTTTCTGAGGTGGAGTCTTGCTCTATTGCCCAGGCTGGAGTGCAGTGGCATGATCTCAGCTCACTGCAACCTCCGCCTCCCTGGTTCAAGTGACTCTCCTGCCTCAGCCTCCTGAGTAGCTGGGAGTGGCACCGGCCACCACTCCCAGCTAATTTTTCTCTATTTTCAGTAGAGATGGGCTTTTGCCACGTTGGCCAGGCTAGTCTCAAACACCTGACCTCAGTTGATCCACCCGCCTCGGCCTCCCAAAGTGCTGGGATTACAGGCATGAGCCGCCGCACCCGGCCGAATATTCTGCCTTGTAAGAATGTTTTTGTATGCCTGAGGCTTTGGGCTTTGCTGTATCAATATGACCTCTCTAGGGACTGAAACCTGAGTAGCTGGGGTCAATCACCCAGGAGCTGCATGCCCCAAGAAAAACCCTGAGCACTAAGGGTTGCTTGGGTGGGCTTCCCTGGTAGACAACCCTTAGCATGTGCTGCCACACATCATTGCTGGGAGAATTAACCACTGCCTGTCCAACTCCAGATTGGAGGCCTTCCTTTAGCATTTCTTGTAGCACAGGTCTGGTGTTGATGAAATCCCCGAACTTTTGTTCGTCTGGGAAACTCTTTATTTCTCCTTTAGGTATGAAGGGTATTTTTGCTGGATATATTATTCTAGGGTAAAAGACTTTTTTCTTCAGCACTTAAAATATGTTATGACACTCCCTTCTGGCCTGTAAGGTTTCCACTGAAAGTCTGCTGCAAGACGTATTAGAACTCCATTGTATGTTATTTGTTGCTGTTCTCCTGCTGCTTTAGGATCCTTTTTTTATCCTTGACCTTTGGGAGTTTGACTATTAAATGCCTTGAGTTAGTTTTCTTTAGGTTAAATCTGCTTGGTGTTCTATAACCTTCTTGTACTTGAATATTTATATCTTTCTCTAGGTTTGAAAAGTTCTCTGTTATTATCCCTTTGAATAAACTTTCTACCTCTATTTCTTTACTTTCGCTTTAAGGCCAATAACTGTTAGCTTTGCCCTTTTGAGGCTATTTTCTAGATCTCATAGGCATGCTTCATTCTTTTTTAATTTTTTTGTCTCCTCTAACTGTGTATTTTCAAATAGCTTGTCTTCAAGATCACTGATTTTTTCTTCTGCTTGATCAATTTAACTATTAAGAGACTCTGATGCATTCTTTATTATGTCATTTGCATTTTTCAACTACAGAATTTCTGCTTGATTCTAATTATTTCAATCTTGTTGTTAAATTTATCTGATAGAATTTTGAATCCTTTCTCTGTGTTATCTTGAATTTCTTTGAGTTTCCTCAAAACCACTATTTCGAATTCTCTGTCTGGAAGGTTACATATCTCTGTTTCTCTAGGGCTGGTCCCTGGTGCCTTAATTAGTTTGTTTGATGAGGTCACGTTTTCCTGGATGGGCTCGATGCTTGTGGATGTTCTTTAGTGCCTGGGCATTGAAGAGTTAGGTATTTATTGTAGTCTTCTCAGTCTGGGCTTGTTTGTACTCATCCTTGGAAAGGTTTTCCAGGTATTTGAAAGGATGTGGGTGTTGTGATCTAAACTGTATCTGAGTAGGGGACACTCCAAGCCCAGTGATGCTATGGTGCTTGCAGACTCATAGAAGTACTGCCTTGGCAGTCTTAGATAATATCTGGAAGAATTCTCTGGACTACCAGGCAGAGACTTTTATTCTTTACCTGTAATTTCTCCCAAACAGTCTCAGTCTCTTTTTTTGTTTCTCTCTCTCTCTGTGCTGAGCCACTTGGAGCTGCAGGTGGGCTGACACAACATCCCTATGGCTACCATCACTTAGACTGCACTGGGTCAGACCTAAAGCCAGCAAAGCACTGGGTCTCACTCAAGGCCCCCTGTAAACACTGCCTGGCTATCACCGATGTTCATTCAAGGCCCTAGGGCTCTGCAGTCAGCAGGTGGCAAAGCCAGCCAGGCTTGTGTCTTTCCCTTCAGGGCAATGAGTTCCTTCAGGCCCTAGCGGGTCTAGAGATGCTGTGTGGGAGCCAGGGACTGGAGTAAAAAACCTTAGAAATTTACCTGATGCTTTATTCTAAGGCGGCTGAGCTGACACTGAAACCATGAGACAAAGTCCTTTCCACTCTGCCTTTGCCTTTTCACAGGCAGAGGAAACTCACCCTGTGGCCACCACCAGAGGCCCACAGGGAACACTGCCAGCCTACGGTCGATGTTCACTTAGGGCCCAAGGGCTCTTAAATCACTTGTGGTGAGTGTTTCCAGGCCTGGGACTCACCCTTTGGGGCAGTGGGCTCCCCTTTGGCCCAGGGCACGTGCACGTCCAGAAATGCTATCTAAGAGCCAAGGCCTAGAATCAGTGACCACAAGAGCCCATTTGGTGCTCTACCCCATGGTGGCCAGACAGGTACCTAAGCTGCATGACAAAGTCCCTTTTACCTTTCCCTCTGCTTTTCTGAAGCAGAAGAAGTCCCTCACCACAGCCACCACAGCTGGGAATGTGCTGGGTCTCATCTGAAGCCAGCATGTCTCAGTCTCAGAGTCTTACTCCAGGCCCATAACATACTACCTGGGTATCACTGTTGGCTATTCAAGGCCCAAGGACTCCTGAGTCAGCAGGTGATGAATCCTGCCAGGACTGGGTTCTTTTCTTTAAGGCATCAGATTCCCTTCTGGCCCAGGGTATATCTAGAAATGACATTCAGGGGCTAGATCCTGGAATGGGGGTCTCTTGACTCTGACCAGTGCTCTATCCTGCTGTGGCTGAGCTGGTATCCAAGATGTAAGACAAAGTCCTCTTTACTCTTTCCTCTCCTCTCCTCAAGCAAAAGGAAGAAGCCACGTTTGTTGCTGCATGCTGCACTGCTTGGGTTGGGAGAGGGGTGGTGCAAGCACTCGCTTGGCTGCCCTGCCTGGTGTCTTACTAGGTTGTGTGCCCCCTGAGTCCACTGGCTCTAAGCCTAGCATGGCATTAGGACTTACCTGGGAATTGAAGTCTTTATGGTCTAGACTGCCTTTCAAGTTTACTTAGAGCCCCAGGTAACGATAGCTTGCCATGGCAAGGCTTATCAAAACTCAAGCCTCAAGCCTTCTAACTGCTAGGATGGGTGAACCCCTCTGGGTAGGGCTGGTTTAAATGCTCCCTCCACGGGCAGGTGTCACGGGAGTTCCCCCTGGTTTTGCTTTCTGCTGTGACAGGGCAACACTGAGTTCAATGCAAAGTCCCACAATTGCTGCACTCTCCCTTCCCCAAGTGCACAGATTCTCTCTCAGCACCACAGTGGCCACTGCTGGCGGATGGGAGAGGAGTGACCTTGGTGTTTCAAGACTGTCTTTCCTACCCTCCTCAGTGCCTCTTTCAGTGTTATGAAGTTAGGGCCAGGTACTGTGAGTACTCACCTGATTTTTGGTTCTTATGAAGATGACTTTTTGGTGTAGAGAGTTGTTAAATTTGATTTTCCTGCAAGGAGAATCATTGATGGAGGCTGCTATTCAGCCATCTTGCTCTGCCCATCCTACCTCACTTAATTTTAATTATCTCCTAACAGCCCTATTTCAAAATGCAATCACATAAGGGATTAGGGCTGCAGCATATGAATTTGGGGGAGACACAATTCAGTCTATAGCATTTGGACTTGGGGAGAGGGAGGAACAGAACATTCAGAGGAAGGACTCAGTGCAAGCAACAGTTTGGAGGTGGGAAAGTTCAGCTCATGGATAGAAAAAATTGATCCAGTTTGGCAGGGCCCACGGGAAGATGTGGTGGAGTGGTGAGAGGTGGGCCACATCAGAAAGAACCTTGAATGCCAGACTGAGGTTAGAGACATTTCCTGTTGTGCAGAAGATGCCGTGAGGTGGTGGGGAGAGTAACATGATGAAAAGGATATTTGGGAGGATGGATCTGGCATCAGTGATAGGTAGGGGTAAGGAGTGAACAAAGCTGGAGGCCAGGAAACTGGACACACAGCCCAGAGTTCAGGTTTAGGCTGTTCAAAGGCAGTTTCCACACTGAGTTCCAATGTGGATCAAAGCATGCAGGGGGTGGATGATTTGGAAAAGCAAAACCATCTCTCTTCATTACCACACAATTTCCCAGCTGAGATCATCACCAGAGTCCTACAAATCAGACAGTCAGCTTGCCCCAAACTCTGTTCCTAGAAGCTGTGACCCAGAGGGAGCCCTTGTCCAGCTATAGCCCAGGGACACTGCACCCTGGACAGGACTGCACCTGTTCCCTCCCAGGAGCCTCATCTCTGTCTGGCCTGGCTTTGGCTTCAAATACCCTCAGCTTTGGAGCTTTGGCTTCAAAATCTGTTGGATCAGATTCATGAGAGCTCTGGCCTTCTTTGGTTTAGGAATTTTAAAATAGTTTTTTCAGCAGGCAGTAGATGAACTCGGCTTGCTTACCTCTAAGGACTGGCTAGAACTCACAGAAAGCTGTTATACTCACAGTTATGGTTTGATTATAGGGAAAATATATAGATTAAAATCAGGTAGTGGAAGAAAGGCATAGGGCTGAGTCCAGGAGGTCACCAGATATGGAATGTCCATTATCCCTTCCCCATGCAGTCAGAGTGCATTACCCTCCTGGCTTTGATATGTGCCAATACACATGGAGTATTCCAGCCAGTGAGGCTCCCTCAAGCCTCAGTGTTCAGGATTTTTACTGGAACTTCATCACGGAGGCATGCTTGATTGTCCATGTGGCTGCTCTCAGTTTCCAGTCTCCAATCCTTTCAGGGGTGACCTAAAGCCAGGACTCTAAATCACATAGTCGGTTTTCCTGGCCTGGCTAGTCTCCACCCTAAATCTTATTATTAGACTATCCATCCTGACCCAAGATCCCCAGGCAAAAATATTCCTATCAGGCGTTACGTGTTGGAGATAAGGAGTCAAGGACAAAGGCCAGACCTATTTTTGGTTGTTAATTATTTTATTTTATTTTTTTTTACTATACAACATGCCATCATTCTGTTATCCTTCCTTTCTGTTTTATCTTCAAAATAACCCTAATTGGTGGGTAAGGATGTTTATTATTATAAATGAGATCTCAAAAGGAAAGGCACTTGGGCAAAGTTGCACAGTCTATCTTTGACTCGTGGTGCAATACTCTTTCCACTCTCTGAGAATCCTGAGTCCTGAGAAGAAGATAGAAGGAAGGTGTGTATATGTGTGTGTGCACGTGTGTGTGTGTGTAAATGTATATCTAATAAGTGTGTGTAGATATATGTATGTCTCTGTGTGTTTGTGTGTACATGTGGATGGGTGTCTGTATTCATGTTTGTGTGTGTGTGTACACATGCTCAGGGGGAAGGTTAAAGAGACAATCAGCAGGGTGCAGTGGTGGGAGGCAGACGGGGGAGGATCACTTGAGCCTGGGAGTTTGAGAAAGAGAAAATTTCAATAATCTTCCTCTTGCAATTAGAAGGAAAATCCTGGGGCTGGGCATAAAGAGAAATAAAGTACAGCATAAAGAGGCAGAAAAATGTCTAATGAAAAACAAGTGGCCAAGAATCTATAAAGAAATATAGCACATTAGCAGCAGAATAAAACTGGAAGATAATTTCCTCTAGAACCCTGATAATCTTTGTGAGAAAACTGTTGGTCACATATGTTAACTGCCGAAACTTGCAGGACCCTGTGCAACAGAACTGACAAGTAAAACCATGTTTCTTAAACTCACTATGCTACAACTGTCATTCAACTCTTTCACAACGAAGATTTCACAAACCTATCTCCAGCTTCCGGATGGTGAGGGAAAGTGTGATGAGATTTTGTGATAAATTGTGCCTGTCTCTGAGTCCATCTTCTCCTATTGAAGAGAAGGAAAATGAGGCTAGCACATTACAGCCCTGCCTGACAAAAGTCACAAGATAGGCAAATAATTATTATTTAAAACTGGAGTGTCCTATAATGTATTCATGAATGCCACACATTCTATATCAGATCATCCATTTCAATTTACTTATGTTCTTTGAAGCAAATTTATAAGATTTGAATTATTCAGAAAATGCTCCCAAGCTAATAGAAGAAAATACTTTAACCACATGAAGTATCATGCTACCCAATATGGTGTGGTGGTGAAGTGTGCAAGCTCTAAAACAAGAAAACACAGTTTCACGTCCTGGCCCTACCCCCTTGGGAAAGTTACGTGGTCTCTCTCTGCCTCAATTTCCCCATCTAAAGTGTGGGGATGACAATAATACTATTTCACAGAGTTGTTTTGAGGAAAAGAATATATGTAAAGCACTTTGAACAGCAGTTAGTGCTATGTAAGTGTTTCCTATTGTTATTTTAACATTTCAGATTATAAATATCTACCCTGTTATTCAGATGGCAAGCGTCCCTAAGCTGATAACATGATGAAGAGCTTTTGGGTTCCTCGATTTCCCATCAGCTTTGTGAGGAAAAAAATACCACATGAAGAAGAGCAACTGAAGCAGGTGTGAGAAGGAAACTTGGCTTAAGATTGGGGGGCTTGGGTTTGTTAGGCTTCTATCTTCTAAAAATTTCCTGAACTCCATTGATAAGAAGATTTTTAATATCAATCTAGCTAAAAAGGACCAATAGACCCCACAAGACACTGAGTTAGACATAAAAATAAAAGGGTAATAAATAGCCGGTTGCAATGGCTCATGCCTGTAATCCCAGCACTTTGAGAGGCCGAGGTGGGTGGATCATGAGGTCAGGAGTTCGGCCAGCATGGTGAAACCCTGTCTCTACTAAAAATACAAAAATTAGCTGGGCATGCTGGCACACACCTGTAATCCCAGCTACTCAGGAGGCTGAGGCAGGAGAATCGCTTGACCCCAGGTGGTGGAGGTTGCAGTGAGCCGAGATCGTGCCGCTGCATTCCAGCCTGGGTGACAGAGCGAGACTCTGTCTCAAAAAAAAAAAAAAAAAAAGAAAGAAGGATAATAAATGAAATATGGAAAACTACACAACCAGAAAAATAAACAACTACCAATACCCAAAACATGGCTAAATCTCATAGGATTGTGTTGAATGAAAGAAGTCAGCCACAAACATGCACATACTGTATGAATCCATTTATATTCATAATTAACCCAGGGTGACAGACGTCAGGATTGTGGTTAACTTTGAGGAGGACAGCAACTGAGAAGGGGCAAGAGGGAGCCCTCTGTGGTGATGGAAGCATTCTGTATCTTGAGCTGAGTGGTGGTCACATGAATGTGCACATATGTAAATAGTATGGAGTTGTAATTTAAGGTATATGCATCTCACTGTATGTAAGATACTGTCTTAGTCCATTCGTGCTGCTATAACAAAATATCTGAGACTGGGTAATGTGTAAAGGACAAAAATTTATTTCTCACAGTTCTGGTGGGTGGGAAGTCCAAGATCAAGGTGCCAGCAAATTTGTAGTCTAGTGAGGGCTGCTCTCTGCTTCCAAGATGGCACTTTAAATGCTGAGTCTTCCAGAGATGAGGAATGCTGTGTCCCAACATGGTGGAAAGGACAGAAAAGCAAAAGAAGGAAACCGAGCTAGGCAGCTCCCTCAAGCCCTTTCATAAGGTCACTATCCCATTCATGAGGGGGCTCTTCCCTCACGACTTAATTATCTCCTAAAGACGCTACCTGTAATCCCAACACTTTGGGAGGCCAAGGCGGGCAGATCATGAGGTCAGGAGATTGAGACCATCCTGGCCAACATGGTGAAACCCCGTCTCTACTAAAATACAAAAAATCAGCTGGGCATGGCACACCTGTAGTCCCAGCTACTCGGGAGGCTGAGGCAGGGGAATTGCTTGAACCCGGGAGGCAGAGGTTGCAGTGAGTCGAAATCATGCCACTGCACTCCAGCAGCCTGTAAACAGAGCAAGACTCCATCTCAAAAAAAAAAAAAAAAGACTCCACTTCTTAATACTATCACACTGGGGTGTGAGTTTCAACATGAATTTTGGAGGACACACAAGCATTCCAACCATAGCAAATTTACTTTATTAAAAAAGAAAAAAAAAAAGGAAAATCCTGTCTCCAAACATGATATTTTAAGAGTTGATATATTTACATCCCAATTTTCCAATTGCTTACATACATATTTGTGACGATCATTTTTAGCTGAGAAAAGTTTCAGTAAATTAAAAAAATCTCATATTATCTATTAATATCTTATTCAGATAAGATCAAATTTCTAACCTAGATTTTAGGTTAAGACATAGTCATTTGTTGTAATGTGAGAATGACAGAGAGAGAGAGAGATATTAACTAGCAGAATCCAACTATAAAAATAAATTTAAGGGCACAATTCTCTACTAATGACTCCCCCAGACAAATTATTACTTGGATAGCAATGAATCAACTAAAAATGGAAGCGAGAATAGTTTGAGTCCTTTTTGCAATGGATGGATGTTTATGAGACTATTAAGTGAAGAGGGTTCAGAAACAAGGGGATAAATGGCACGCTAATTCGGGGTTGAATGGAGTAATGGGATGGTCTTGGAAATATAAGAATCTTGCTTAATGGGGCTTGTCTACTTGCAATTCAATAAACTAATATACGTAAATTAAAAGAGATAAAGGACATGAGCACTCAGAACAAAATTACAGGAATAAATTTAGCAAAGGGGCACCAAAGTTGAGAGAAGGGTCACTGTTCCACGTCAGACATCTTTAATTCTTGCGTCATGGAGATGGTAAGCCAGCGAACAGAGTCTTCTGTCTGGAAGCTAAAACCAGCCTTTGGGATGGCTTCAGAGAGACTGTTCAGACTCAAGATGCAAAAGTAGATGTTGCATGGTCGAAAATATCCCGAAGGTAAAGGCTTTTTTCTTTTTTTCTTTTTTTTGAGACGGAGTTTTGCTCTGTTGCCCAGGCTGGAGTGCAGTGGCGCGATCTTGGCTCACTGCAACCTTTGCCTCCTGGGTTCAAGCAATTCCCTGCCTCAGCCTCCCGAGTAGCTGGGATTACAGGCGCCCACCACCATGCCCAGCTAATTTTTTGTATTTTTAGTAGAGACGGGGTTTCACCGTCTTGGCCAGGCTGGTCTTGAACTCCTGACCTCGTGATCCACCTGCCTCGGCCTCCCAAAGTGCTGGGATTACAGGCGTGACCCACCGCGCCCGGCCGGCAAAGGCATTTTCAAAGACAATGGTGCTCGGGGAAAAGAATGCTGTGTGTTTTAAAAGAAAAAAAAAATAAAAGAAAGAATGGAAACAAGGAAGAAGAAGTGACCAGAGGGTGGGGTGACCATATGTTCTGGTTTGCAAAGTACACGTAAGGTTATGTCTGCTGTCCCGGTGCAATTATAACAGTGCCCCTTGCACTCTCCGAATGTCCGGATTTGGATGATAAATCATATGATCACCCTGCCAAAGAGAGCAAATTAGCCAGAAGACCCATGTGTCGATTTCAAACGGTGTGGACTGATCCGCAGGCGCGCTCAGGCCGCTGCCCAGCTGAACGGTGTGCACCACCTCTGCCTCGCCCTACCTCGCCCTGCCTGGGTGAGTCTCCAGGAAGGCTACAGCGGAACCCTCGGCTCCCACGTTGCTCTGGTGCCACCTGCAGGTTATGTGGGGGAACTGCTTCTCTCTACCCCACTACCCACCACCCTGCCTCCCCACCCTGATCCTGGGCAGCCTTGGAGTTGACCAAAAGACATTCAGAGCACCCGAAGCCCTGGGTGGGGAATGGGCTGGACCCCGCAGTGAAGCCTGCGTTACGGAATCAGACGGGCCCAGCTTAAACCAACAAAGCCAAGCTCTTCCTCTTCCTACCCACTCCTGTCCTGTCTCATTTTGTAGAGAGGAAACTGAAGCCTAATTCAGAATTTTCATTGGTAGCATTGTGAAGCATACAGCTGGAACCTCCCAGGTGCCATTCCCCACATCTCTGTCTTTCCCCTAATACATTAGGATAGTGGGTAAGCAAGAGAACTTAAGTTTACTGAGCTCCTATTGTGTACTGGGCAGAGTAGGCACTTTTATCTCCAGCCTCGCAATTGATGGGAAATAGGTGATTATACAACCGGGATATAGGATCAGAGTGGGCTAGTGATGTGCTCACAGTATCTCAGCTGAAATTGGAACCTAGGGGTCTTTGACTCTAAAGGTAGTGCTCTTTTTGGGTCTCCAGTTTGAGCAATACTTGCAAAATGCAAAGAACACCATGAAAATCTTACATTGATCCATAAAAGACTGTATTGCAAACAAAAACATGGAGTGTCTTCGTGGGGGAGACGGTGAGGCAGGGAGATTATCTCAATTCTGTGCAACCTGAGAACTCTCTGAGGAAAATGAAAAAAGCCCGACTGAGTGCAATTTGTCTGATAAACAAAATCTGTCAGAATGTGGGGCCTTGTGAGTGCTAAGTGAAGGTAAGAAACCACGGTGCTGGACATTTTCTAAGGTGTTCTTTATGAAATTACTCAGGGCCTCAGTGCCTTCACCTTCTTCATGAGCCTAGGCAGTTTCCCCATCTGTCTTCATCCTACTGCCTGACATCCTATCTATCAAACTGCTTTTGGAGTTATGACTCAATAAAATAAAAATCATGGTGGGAGTCATTTACACCCTAGTGAGAGTCATCTAAGATTCCCTTTTCTTCTCAGACCTTTTAGCTGAAGTTGGTTATGAGAGAGGTTGGGGAGGAGGAAAAGGGTCGGGGCGAGCAATCTTGGAGCTTGCACTGTTTCTTGCCGACGACCTGGCACAGTGTGAAAATGTCAATCTAAATGGAGAGCTCTATGCATGTTCCAGTCTATTCCCTTTGTCACCAATACCAATCCCCAAAGCAGAGCCCCCGGGAGGGCTGGACTGAAAAGCCTGGAGGTAATAGAAAATGCTTGGCTTTGGATTTCAGGTCAAGTTCTGCCGGCGACTTGCTGTGTAAGATTAGACAAGTCAGTTCACCTCTTTGCACTTCAGTGACCTCATCTGTAAAAGGCTGGTCTGGACTAGATTAAAGACTTTCTTTAGGTTTTGCAATTTTTGTTGTTGTTGTTGATGGTTGTGTGTGTGTGTGTGTGTGTGTGTGTGTGTGTGTGTGTTTAAACAGAGTCTCACTCTGTTGCCCAGTTAGAGTGCAGTGGCGCAAACTCGGCTTACTGCAAATTCTCCTGCCTCAGCCTCCGGAGTAGCTAGGATTACAGACGTGCGCCACCACACCCAGATAATTTTTGCATTTTTCATAGAGATGGGGTTTCACCATGTTGGCTAGGCTGGTCTTGAACTCCTGACCTCAGGTGATCCGCCCGCCTCGGCCTCCCAAAGTGTTGGGATTACAGGCGTGAGCCACTGCGCTCGGCCTGCAATTGTTTTTTGTTTTAATGTTATATTCAATTCTTCCTCCATCTTTATTAAAGTATAATTGATAAAAATTGTGTATATTTACAGTGTTCAATGTGATGTTTTGATATATGCATACATTATGAAATGATTAAATCAAGTTAATTAACATTTTCATCACTTCACATACTTTTATTATTATTATTATTATTGTGGTAAGAATATTTAAGATCTATTGGCTTAGAATAGTGTTTACTAGAGGCGAGGAAGGGTAAGGGGGAGGGGGTAGCCAAAGGTTGGCTAACAGGTTAACAGATACATGAGTACATGGCTGAGTTTGGTGGCTCACACCTATAATCCTAGCACTTTAGGAGACTGAGGTGGGAGGATCACTTGAACTCAGGAGTTTGAGACCAGCCTGTGCAACATAGGGAGACCCCATCTCTTTAAAAAATTTAAAAAATTAACCAGGCATGTTGGTGCATGCCTGCGGTCCCAGCTACTCTGGAGGCTGAGGTGGGAGGATCACTTGGGCCCGAGAGGTCAAGGCTACAGTGAGTTGTGATTGCACCACTGCACTTTAGCCTGGGGGGCAGAGTGAGACCCGGACTGGAAAAAAAAACAAAACAGCTAAATAGGAGGAGTAGTTCTAGTGTTCTTTAGCATTATAGGGTGATGATAATTTATGACAATTTATTATATATTTTCAAATAGCTAGAAGAGTGCATTTTGAATGCTCCCAGAACAAAGAAAAGATAAATGTTTGAGGTGGTGGAGATGCTAATTACCCTGATTGGATCATTGCACATTGTATAAAAATATTATACTGTACCCCAAAAATATGTACAATTCTTGTGTCAATTAAAAATAATAATAAAAGCAAAAAATCTCTCTTAGCAATTTTCAAGTATACATTATTATTAACTGTAGTCATCATTCTGTAGAACAGATCTCCAGAACTTATAACATTATATTTAATTCTGATCAAAGTACTAGATACACAGAGTTAAGAACAAAATGGTATCTGGAGCAAGAAATCCTCAGTAAGACAAAAGAAGAAGAAAAAAAGAACAAAATGGTAATAAAAGGGTTATATCAGAAAGCATTTCCTCTGCCCTTTCCTTTCTTGCCTTTGAGTCCTAATTCCCAGAGGCCATCACTTTAAACTCATTTTGCTACTTCCTCTGGTATAATCATATTTCTAAATAATGCTTATGTTGCTATTTCTTGATTTGTTTTCCTCAGCATCTGTCGACTTCCTGGCATAACAGAGTATAAGGCTTACCTCCCTTACAAGTAAGGGAGCCTCCATTCTACCAATTTGACTGGATCACAATCTTATGAAATCAAATGCATTTACAGTCTTATAGATATCTAAATTTTGTTTCCTAAGCCAAGTCCTGCACTGAATTTGTTTCATTTCTTTCCTTTTTTTCCCCTGGAGCTGATAATTGCTTCAGATTGTTTCCCTTCATTTGCTTATACGTTTTTGTCCCTATTAACTACTTTTTTTTCCCCAGATGCTCCAACTGATCTATGAAATGCCTAGTAATAATTATCCAAAAACTAAGATACACCAGCTACCCTATCAGCCCTGTTATTTTCCAGGAGGCATCCCTTTCTCCCTTGCCCTCCATCCTTATGCTCCAAACTGGACTCAGCTCTCTCAGCCCATGGCACGGCTGGCATCCTGGCATTTCTCTGAATTTTCTGCTGCCTCTTCTGTGTGCATCTCCCGTTCCCTGGCCCCATATCTTCTTTTTCCTTGGTTTACCCTCTCATTGTGCTGCAATACATCTTCCAGTGGCTTCCTGAGAAAGAGTGAATGGAAGCCAAGCTTGCTGACTCCCACATATTTTAAAATGTCATTGTTCTACCCCAACTCCTGATTAATAGTTTGGCTGGATATAATGCTCTAATTTAAACGTAACTTCTCCTCACATTGGGAAATATTGCTGTATTATTTTCCAGCTCCCGGTGTTGTTGGGAAGAAGGCAGTGTCATGCGGAGTCTTGGCTCTTTATATATGACCTGTCTTTTCTCTCTGGAAGATTTTAGGATTTTCTCTCTATCCTTGGTTTTCTGGAATTTCCCAATGATGTGCCTTGTTGTAGGTCTTTCTTCATTCACTGTGCTTGTCACTTGATAGACTCTTTTGAACTAGAAAATTATGTCCTTCTATTACGGGAAGCCACCAGCAGGTTTGTGTGAGCTAGGTAATCACATTCTTTTCTTCCAAGGACAGAGGTATCAAGGCCCTGGGAACCTTATAAGTGGATTGGGGGTAAGGGGGCCTGAGGTGAACCCAACAAAGCCGCAGCACCCACTGAGCTCGTGTCCCAGAGCTAGGCTCTGCCTGAGGACAATAGACATGGGTGATACCTACTTCCTGCCCAGTCCCATGGTGGGGCTCAGAACACACATGGTCCAGGAGGACCATGTAGTATCTGGCTACATTTACATGCACCTACCTGTGTGTAGCATTCAGTGAGCAACAGGACAACTTAGGGGAAGGGGCAGCTTCAGAGAGCAGGATAGGAGGCAGGTAAATAAACATGGGGTGGGGAGTGGCCTTGTTGGGAAAGGGCAAAGGCAGGGCTGTGTGTGTGTGTGTTTGTGTGTGTGTGTGTGTGTGTGTGTGTGTGTGTGTGTGTGTTATGTATTGGGGGAAATGGGGAGAGCATCTGTAGTTTCATCTGCCCCCTTTTCTGGCCACTGCATCCCTTTTTTGGTGAATAGTTTTTCTTCCCATCATGGACTGAATGTCTCTGTCTCCTCCAAATTCATATGTTGAAGCCCTAAACCTTTGTGTGGCTGTATTTGGAGATGAGGCCTCTCAGGGAGTCATTAAGGTTGAATGAGGTCCTAAGGGTGGGGCCCTGATTCCATAGAATTAGTGTCCTTATAAGAGGAGACACCAGAGAGTGCACTCACTCTCTCTCTGCACAAATACAAAGAAGAGATCATGTGAGCACACGATATGGCAGCCACCTACAGACCAAGAGAAGAGGCCTCAGAATGAAACCTACCTTGGTGGCACTTTGATCTTGGATTTCCTAGCCTCCAGAACTGGGAGAAATAAATATTTGTGGTTTAAGCCACCCAGTCTGTGGTATTTTGGCATGGCACCCTGAACTGACTAATACATCTCTCCACCTTTCTTCAACCACATGCCGCTAGAGGGCTTGGCAGATTTAGTGTCCCAGCTACCCGGCCAACCCAGACCAGACCAAGCAGAAGCTCTCTTCTGGAATTTTCTGAATAGGAACTAATGGAGGGGAGCCCCATCCTTTCTTGGGGGCAAAGCCAGGAAGACGGAAGCCTCGTGCTGCCAACAGTCTGATTCCAACCTTGTGGGGAAAGTTGCTCTGAGAGCACAAAACTGATCTGCAGGCGGAGATGGAGACAGAGACAAGGGAAGGAGCCTGCAAATCCTGACAGTGCTGGTGACTCTGAGTCCAGGTATTCCTGAGGCCCAACTGTTCCCTGCCCTGCCTGTGGCTAACTTAATGACCAATGAACTTCCCTTCTTGCCTAAGCCAACTCGAGTGAATTTTCTGTTACTCACCCTAAAGAGCCCTGACTGCAACGGCAGGGCATGACGGGGCTGGGCTGGCTGGGGCAGAGGACGGTGTGGGTGAAATCAGCTATGACGGGAAGTGCAGTTATCGAGTGGCCTCCATGAGGTCTTCCTCCCGCCCCGACTGTGAGCAAGGCTGGGCTCATATGCTCAGTGGGCCAGAGTGACGGATTTAGTCAGAGGTGCCATGCTCAGGGCCATCTTTCTATGGGCCAGACTCTTCAGCATCAAAGGCTTTGCCATCAGAGACAGTTTTAGTTACATCTTGGATTCACTTGATCAACTGCTCTTCTCCTACTTTCAGGATCTTTACACTAGACTGCCCCACACAGGTGTTAGGAAGCCATAGGCATCTTGGCCAGAAGCCCAGACCACAAAAAGGGCTTCTGCCAGCCTGCCCAGGGTTCCAGAGGGTAGGGCCGAGGGGCGGTGGGAAGAGCCCAGCCTGGGCAGCCATGGCATGTACACCACTCTTGATCTGTCTCCTGGAACTTTTCACCCCTCAAGTTTGGGCCCCAGTGGGGCACACGTGGGAAAAACAATGAATGCCCATGTCTCTGAATAGTTTCCCCATCAGAAGTGGTCATTGCACCAAGCACCCTCCTCCATTAAAACTGGACAGACCAAGGGCCACTTTCCTAATGGATGGATCTTATTGGTCCATCTCATGTTCCCAACAGAGCTCCCTCCCTGGGATGGGAATGTGCCATTCCAGGAGAGCCCTTTTGACCCTGTCTCCAGCCAAAGCCAGTCCCCCTGCTTTCTCAAAAGCAGGTGAGTGAGACCCTTTCTAAAAAACAAAACAAGAAAAGTACTGTTACAATGGCACCAACTGCATATGAAGTTCCTGAAATTCCGAGTTCCACTAATATTATTTGTCTGATTTAAAAAAAAAATACATACTTAAAAGCAACACACCAATAGAGGCAAGCAAACCATGTTTTGCACAAAACAACTATCAATGGTGATAGCACGTGATCTCCCCTTTCAGAACCCTGAGATTCTCAGTGCCATTACTCTAAGGGCTTTCTGCAGACAAGGTAACTATCAGAATCACATGGAGAAGATCAGAGCCTGGAAGGAAACTTGAGATTTTTTGAGACGGAGTCTTGCTCTGTCACCCAGGCTGGAGTGTAGTGGCGTGATCTCTGATCTTGGCTCACTGCAAGCTCCGCCTCCTGGGTTCACGCCATTCTCCTGCCTCAGCCTCCCAAATAGCTGGGACCACAGGTGCTCGCCACCATGCCTGGCTAATTTTTTTGTATTTTTAGTAGAGATGGGGTTTCACCATGTTAGCCAGGATTGTCTCGATCTCCTGACCTCGTGATCCACCCTCCTCGGCCTCCCAAAGTGCTGGGATTACAGGCGTGAGCCACCGCGCCCGGCCCCATTTTTTTGTATTTTTAGTAGAGACAGGATATCACCATATTAGCCAGGATGGTCTTGATCTCGTGACCTCGTGATCTGCCTGCCTCAGCCTCCCAAAGTGCTGGGATTACAGGTGTGAGCCACCATGCCCGGCTGAGAATTTTTTATTTCAACCTTCTTCATTTTACACAGAGACAAAACTGAAATTCAGAGACTTCTGGTTTCTCAAGGCACACCACTAGTCAATAAACACACAGAGCCAGAAGCTAGATCTAGCTCAGTGTTCTTTTAAAGCCTTCAAAATTCCCCTCTGCTAGTAAAGCTTACAACCTGACAATAACTTAATATATACACACAAATACAGCTATTTCCAAAATAGATTTGTGGGGGGCACAGATACTGCAGTTTTACAACTTATAATATATTTTTAAGAATTGCAAAATATGTCTCCAGTATTCATAACAGCATGTCATTAACCCATCCCCATAGTGGGTTGGACATCTAGGTTGTTTCCAACTATTTGCTTTTATAATTATCCATTGCAATGGTGAAAAATTGGAAACGACCTAAATGTCCAACAATACAGGCACTAATTCTCTATAAAGTGAATATCAAATAGCCATAGAAAATACATTAAAGACCCAAAAGTGTTGCTAATTGAGCAAAAATACGCCATTTCAGGTCAGATGCAGTGGCTCACACCTGTAATCCCAGCACTTTGGGAGGCTGAAGCGGGCAGGTCATTTGAGTCCAGGAGTTTGAGACCAGCCTGGCCAACATGGCAAAACCACATTATAAGGTACATGGGTGTGCTTTGGTCAAGGAATAGACCGAGGCGTATATCCAGCCTGCGTGACTCGCGAGTTTGGCGGGTAAGTGCACACCTCCACTTGTAATATAACCTGTTTGTGTAAGTTCATACTTGGCTTTATGCCACTATTGTCTGTAATAGGTATAAGTGCTCTGTTGATGCTGTGCATAAGACACATGGCTCTTGGGGGCTTGGCTCAGCTCCACTCCACATGGTTTGACATGTGGGTGCACTGGCACCCAGAGAAAGAGAGAGGGAGCCAAAGCTGTCCATCTTGCAGACAAACGGGAGGGACCCAGGACACAGCTGGGCTTGCTCATGCCCAGAGAGAGAAAGAGTTAAGCTGCTGACCCTGAAGGCAAGGGAGAGCCAGCTGTGCAGCTATGTCGGCGGGGCAGCTGGCTCAAGCAGCTGATACACGGTGAACAGTGTAAGAGTAAGCTGCTAATAAGAGAGCTAGTGTAAGAAAGCTGTTAATGAGAGCTGCTGCTGAATAAAGCTATCTTTCATCTGCCTATGGCCCCCCCAGTGTTCTTTCTGATCACCCACCCATTCCCCTCAGACTTCAGCATGGGCTGGACCTGGACCCTGGGACCTGACACACATCTCTACTAAAAATACAAAAATTAGCTGGTGTGGTTGCACATGCCTGTAATTCCAGCTACTAGGGTGGCTGAGGCATGATGATCATTTGAAGCCAGGAGGCAGAGGTTGCAGTGAGCCAAAATTGCACCACTGCACTCCAGCCTGTGCAACAGAGCGTGACCCTGTCTCAAAAAAAAAAAAAAATTAAAGACCATTTGTCCAATATAAACTCTTTCAAAATATATATTCAAGCATAGAAAAGTCTAGAAATGTCATCAATGGCAACTTCAGGGAAGAATTCTAAGGTGACTTTTTTTGGTTATCTACATTTTTTTTTCTTTTTCTTTTTTGAGATAGGGTCTTGCTCTGTCACCCAGGCTGGAGTGCAGTGATGCGATCAGGGCTCACTGCAGCCTCAACCTCCCAGGCTTAAGCGATCTTCCCACCTCAGTCTCCTGAGTAGCTGAGACTACAGGTGCACACCACCGCACTTGCTTTATTTCTGTATTCTTGTATTTTTTGCAAAGATGGGGTTTTGCCACATTGCCCAAGCTGGTCTCAAGCGATCTGCCTACCTTGGCCTCCCGGAGTGCTGGGATTACAAGTGTGAGCCACCTGTGCCAGGCCTACATTTTCTTTTCTATAATGACCATGACCATGGATTTCATGTACCAACATTTTTCTAACAATAATACTTACAAAGTATACTATGAAAAATATTCAGAGAAAATGAAGAATACAAAATTGTAAAAATCATACATAACTAGTTTTTTTTCTTTTTTTTTTAAAGGCAAGAAAGAAACAAAGTAGATTGTCCAGGAAGATAGTTTTTCCCCTTTGTATTTCTCTGGTGAACTCATTAGGAACTCTAAAAAGTTCCAGCAGTAGAATCACCGGGTCAAAATACCCTGGCTTTAACTTCAGGTTCAGAGAATCCTAACAACTTACACTGTCAGCAGCAAGGTCTTTGACTGCATGAGCAACTCTCATCTTAAAGCAATTCTCATCTGACATTAGCTGTTCGGCTTTCTACTGATACGCTGACTCCAGGAGGCTCCTTGAGTTCTGTGTGTTCGGCTGGGCTCCAGTGGCCCCATTATTATTTTCTGCCGGGTAAAGATCAGTCACCCGCACATGGATCTCATCACTCACGATATGCTGCAGCTGGAATCAAACAAAGGCAAGCTGTTAGTGAACACAGAAAACATTTCTCCATTATACAGTCAACGTTCCTTTGATCTAGTCATTCAACTCAAAAAAGATTTTTTTTTTTTTTGGCTGGCAATTTTAGAAAATTAATCACACAAACCACTCTATCATTTTCTTGGAGAATAATCAAGCCAAGAATTTCAACAATATCAGTGGTCCGTTGGAAAACTTTCATATCTATTTAAAATAAAAACCATAGAGAACTCAGGTTAATGTACTGTTTATTTAAAATTCTAAGGATCTTTAAATAATTTTTCATGGGTCATATTTTTATTGCATTTTAAAATCATTTACAATTTGCTTTCACACATATTCTCTCTCATTTGATCTGCACAACTGCCCTGGGAAGCCGGTTGGAGAGAGAGTTGGGGACTGTTAGGAGACAAATTTACACAATGCATAAGAAAGCTCACAGTGAGCTGGGGTGAGAATAGGAGGCTTGGAGAATCATGAATGCATGACTGTCTATATTCCCAGCCCAACTACAAAGTCTGAAACTCATTAGGTATTTAAGAAATAGCTGCTGAATTACTGTCTAGGGGTGCTCAGCTGAACAAGCCTAGGGTTGGGACCAACAGTCAACAGTCAAGCTTCCTGACTCCTAGCCCAATACTTTTCCAAACACACCACCTATTTTTCTATATCTGATAGAAAGTATATGCATAAGTTGTATGTAATGTCAACTCACTTTCAATACAGGCCAATCATGATTGGCTATCGGTAGCTTTTGTGAAAATCTTAGGAAACTAATGACTAGAAAGTTGAACCTTTCAGAGTTCCCATTCTCATGTCATATGCTATTTCTATTTTGAAATAAAAATCCCTCCAAATGAAACTTTATCCATCAAAATGACAGAGAAATGAAGAATAGATACAAGAAGAAAGCAAAATGTTAATTTCAATACCGATTTATCTATTTTACTTTAAAATTATCTTAACCACCAAGTCATTCTATTTTTAGGAAGATACATTCTTTTTGAAGTGTTAGGAACTATGATAACTGTTTATTCTTAACTTTAACTCCTAAATGACCAGTATGTGTATTAGTAGATAACTGGACACAGAGCAAGGTCAGTCAAGGTGACTGAGTGTGGCAGAAACGGCAGTATCTCCAGCAACTGCAGATGGATAAATGATAATGAGTCCAGATAATGGTTTCTGATACAACCATTAAAATAATGCTTATGAGTACTTAATAACATAGGGAAAAGCTTAAGATACAGTGTTTTAGACAGAAAAAAGGCAAAGTGGAAAAAATATATGGAAAGCATGACTTCAATCATGCATACAGATGCTTCCACTTTATACTTTTTTTTTTTTTTTTTTTTTTGAGACAGGGTCTCGCTCTGTCACCCAGGCTGGAGTGCAGTGGCATCATGATCTTGGCTCACTGCCGCCTCGACTTCCTGGGCTCAAGCAATCCTCCAACCTCAGCCTCCTAAGTAGCTGGGACTACAGTTATGTGCCACCACGCCTAGCTAATTTTTTGTATTTTTAGTAGAGATGGGGTTTTGCCATGTTGCCCAGTCTGGTCTTGAACTCCTGAGCTCAAGTGATCCACCCGCCTGGGTTTCCTAAAGTGCTGGGATTATAGGCGTGAGCCACCGCCTCTACTTTATACTTTCTTGTTGAAGTAGACTGTATTACTGATTTCCCAACTGCACCCTCTTTTTGGATATCCGGCCCCTCCTCAAGTCTTTGGAAAGGGCAGCACTACAAATCCAGGGACAACCAGGGAACTCCCACCCCTGCTGCTAGACAGATCAGATTCTCTATCCTGCTAATTGGAAATGACACAGAGAGTGTTCGACAGATTTTTTTTGCAGAGGAGCATCTGTAAGGAAAGTTCCAGTAACATTGGGACCAGGGGTACTGCCAGGGCAGGCCAAAGCCTCAGAGACTGGAGAAGCCTGGAGCACGTGCTCAACGTCCATCTGCAGAGCAAAGCACAAGCATGGAGCAGAAATCCAGAGTGAAGGCATGCAGGGGAGAAAAATCACCTCCCAGCCCAGTCCTTCCATGGTGGGGTCATATTTTGAGTTCTGTACTTAGATGTCTGTGAGATCGCCTATTGTATTCTTAATACAAATCTCTGGTAAGCCAGCCTAGAACAGGTTAAGATAAATGTAATGACTCGACTTGGCTGGAGCGCAGTGCGGCGATCACGGCTCACTGCAGCCTCAACTTCCTGGGCTCAGGTGATCCTCACACTTCAGCCTCCCAAGCAGCTGGGACTACAGGCATGAGCCACCATGCCCAGCTAATTTTTTTGTATTTTTTATCATAAAAATATTACAATTTTCAAAAGAAATGTTATATATATTACATTGAAAATCACTGATTGCTTTTTCTTCGTCTTTTTTTCTGTGAATGTGTAGGTGTTTGAGTATCTTGTATTTCTTCTTTTACACAGGATATGGGCTGTTTGAAAACTATTTCATTATCTTCATCATCATCCTTCATTTCAGCCACTTCAGATTTTCATCTCTCCAAAAATGTTGATGTACAAACCGGTGTGGGGCCCTGGCTATCCACAGTCTTTTCAAGAGTGTCAGGAGTGCCTAAAACCTTTTTCTTCTTCTTACGTAAAACCTGGCCTTTTGTAGACATCCGATGATTCGTTTTTGAAATGCTTTCCATTTTCTGTAAAATCAAAGAAGGAAAATCATAGTCAATTCCTTTTTAAGCTAATTTCTTCCGAGAAATCTTTCTTTCTTTCTTTCCTTTTTAAATCGCTCCTCCATCCGTAGCTTTTGTGTAAGTGCCGATTCTGATTATACCGTTTCACTGATGGATATGACGGCTGCTTAAATGGAATATTCCAGTCTTTAAAAGAGTTATTTCTGTACTTTTTCAGGTGGCATAAAATGACACTCCAAGAGTCTTTCACCAAATAGGTAGCTGTTCATTGTTTCAGTAACTATCTTGGCAACATCCTCAGACTCAAACTCCACAAATGCATAGCCTTTGCTATTTCCAGTCCTTTTCTTTCTGGACAGTCTGAACCTTGTAACAGTGTCACACTGGGAGAAATAGGAAAGGATCTGGGTTTCCTTAAGTAGATTAGGTAGGTGGCGCACATAGACTACACCAGGAGAAAGTTGTTTTTGTTTTTTTTTTTTCGCTTGGTTATGCGCTTGTGAACCTGTGCCACTTCCTTCTGCAACTCGGCATCTTCCTGCGGGTTCAGCGACAGGATTGGCCCAGCCGAGCGGGAAAAGGCCGCCATGCCAAAAGTGGCCCAGCAGCTCCAGGCGGCGCTCCCGGAAACTCCCAATTTTTTGTATTTTTAATACAAAGAGGGTTTCGCCATGTTGCCCAGGCTGGTCTAGGACTCCTGGACTCAAGCGATCTGCCTGCCATGGACTCTCAAAGTGCTGGGATTATAGGCGTGAGCCACTGCACCCAACCTCGACTTTGAAATATATGTTGTACATCCCAGTCAGCAGTGAACTCTGGGGAACACCAAAGATGAGGATAATGAGAGAAGAGATACCTCCAATTAAAAGAGTTCAGATAAGATGCTTGAACTTATGTTTTAAAAAATCCTTCCAGGCTGGGCACAGTGGCTCACACCTGTAGTCACAGCATTTTGGGAGGCTGAAGTGAGCGAACGGCTTGAGCCTAGAAGTCTGAGACCTGCCTGGGCAACATGGCAAAACCCCATCTCCACCAAAAATGCAATAAAATAGCCGGGCGCGGTGGCGCCTGTGGTCCCAGCTACTCAGGAGGCTGAGGTGGGAGGTCAAGGCTGCAGTGAGGTGAGATCTACCACTCCACTCCAGCCTGGGTGACAGAGTGAGACCCCGTCTTACAAAAAAAAAAAAAAAAAAAGTCACTGTTTTGGGGTTTTCTGGATGAAAACTTTGTTTCCATAAAAAAAAAGTGTGGCGACAGTATGTATTACTGATTCAAAATTATAACCAGATGCTTAGAGTAAATAATTGTATCTATTGTTTCAAAAACCAACCTCAGGATTATTAAAAATTAGTTTTATTGGATTTTTTTTTTAAGTTGTCCTGATTCACTCAGGTCTGTCACTTCCAAGCCCATGTTTTACTACTTCGTAACCCTATTTGGAAGGAAAATTGCAACTAAGATTACGATCCGTCCTGAGATGAAAAGTTTCACACATATACACCACACATACCCTCACCACAGTATGATGACACAGTGACCCAACCTTAGGCAAAAGGGTACCACTGCCAGCAAATGCATTTTTTAATTTATTTCTTCTAAAAGCAGCATATGCATTTAACATTTTATTGAGATTCTCAACAGCTGCCATTTGGTTTGTTTAGCAAATTGTTTACAAAGTAACCTTTTTCCATTTTTGATATTTTAATGAAAATTATGTTCTTCAGTTTTAAAGTCCTGTCCCTCTCCCAAAGAAAGATTAATAACTAACTACCAAGTAATGATTATTTAGGAAAATAACAAAAGCAAAAACAGCTTTTAAACACTTGTGAAACAGGGGTAAGTGTTCGAATCAAGACCTTCTGGGCCCACTGGAGGTGCTAGGCTGCCTCAGGACACCATCAGCACTTCACCATCCACAACATCCTCAACAGCTGGGAGCCAAGCGCAGACCCCGGGGGGCTTCCTGTTCCACAAGCTCCACTCTCTTTTTCCTCTCCACCCTTGCTATTGGGCCTCCCCTCCAAATCTGCCTGACAAAGGCAGCAGGATCTTTAATACTGTTCAGCTTTGTAAATGGAGACTGGATACTGTAGAAAGTTAAGAAATTCCCTGGTCCAGTCTGGGGGAGGAAAAAATACACAATGTATCATGGATGGTTTCACTTTCTTGTCCACTCAGACACATGCTCATTCTTGTTAAATGGATGTATCAGATGCTTCAAAAGTCCTGATGTGTAGTAGCACAAAAATTCCCTGTAAAAAAGAAGTCGCAAAATAATAAAAATTTCTGCACCAGTTCAGGGTCCTGATGACAAAGCTGGTTCTGATAAGTAGCTATTTTGACATGCACAGCAGCTTCCTCTACAAGTCCTGTGTTTGGAGGGTTTCATTTAGATCAGAGGAAGTTGGAATCCAAGTTTAAAAGGCTCTCTGCTGACAAAATGTGATATATCCATCAGTGGATTTCTACTCAGTAATGAAAAGAACAAACTACTAAAACATGTTATATGTCATAGAACAACCTCAAAAACATTAGCTAAGTAAAAGAGCCAGACACGAGACCACATATGGTGTAATTCCATTGATTTGAAATTTTCAAAAAAGGCAAATTTATAGAGACAGAAATGGGCTGATTTACCTCAAAAGGCAGGGATTCAAGCTCTCTAGACTACACATGATACATACATGAGAAAAAATAAGGAAAAGAAATTTAAATATAAATAAATGAAAATAATACTTCTCCCTGATTATAACGAAAATCTTTTGTAATTCTTTTTGTAATAATTCTTTTTGTAATAATTTGTAATTATTTTTGTAATAATTTGGAAGACAAAATATGAAGAAATTTTTTTGTAATAATTTGGAAGACAAAATATAAAGAAAAATCTTTAATTTTGCCACTCAAAACATTCTGGTTTGTTGTTTTCTATAGTTTTTTATGCATATAAACATTTTAAAAGGTAGAATCATAGTATATGGTCTTTTGTCACTTACTATGTTTTGGGCATATTTCTATGGCAGTCAATACATCCTTGCATCATCATTTTTAATGGCTGGATGTATCTTAAGTTAATCATTGCCACCCCAGAGGTAAATTTTTTTATGTATACATTTTAATGGACTCGAGCAATCATTTTTGGACTGAATTCATAGAAGTAGAATTTCTGGAGGAAAATAACATAAAACAGTTTTAGGGTTTTTAATAGAAATTTTCAAATTATCCTGCAGGAAAATTGGTTCAGTTTATACTCCCACCAACAAGGACAGAGCTCCAGTTTCCCCCTTCCATTTGTCCTCTATGCTGGTCTCTAAGCAGAAAATCTCATTGTTTTCATTACATTTCTTTGGTTTCTAGTGCTTTTGAACCTTTTTTATATGCTTATTTGCCATTTTTATTCTTGTGGAAAGTGTCTGTTTCTCCATTGCCTATTTTCTGGCCAAACTCCAAAGTCACATTTCACTTAATTTTTATCCTGCTGATTGAAAGCATTTTAACTTAGTGATTTTAATGTAAACAGGAGCAGGACAGACTGTAATTATCTAGGTCTCGCTCTTTCACCCAGCCTGGAGTGCAGTGGCACGATCATAGCTACTGTAGCCTTGAACTCCTGAGCTCAAGCAATTTTCCTACTTCAGCCTCCCAAGTAGCTGCAACTACAGGTGTGTGCCACCACGCCCAGCTAGTTTTTTCAATTTTTTGTAGAGATGTGAATTCGCTATGCTGCCCAGGCTGGTCTTGAACTCCTGACTTCAGGTAATCCTCCCACCTTGGCTTGGCAAAGTGCTGGGATTACAGGCATGAACTACTGCTCCCAGCTGAGAGCTCACTTCTGTTTGCTAGTGGTGTTCTTGGTATCTTTTCATATTTGAGGCTTTGGTGCTAGTGCTAAAGTATTATACTCACTATCAGAGGTTTACAGGACTTTTGTTTTAATATTGAACAGATGGAACTGTTTAGTTCTGCATCTTTGCAGTCATCCAAAAATGTGCCTACCAGGACTCTGGTTTATATCCATTGAAAGCAAGAAGTAATACAGTAAAACTTTGCCTGGCTAGAGGCTTTGAAAGAATGGAGTATTCTGGTTTAATTCTATTAACTTGGAAGTATGAAGATGAAAATAATTCAAAACTTACATTTCCTGTTGAATGCAACTTGAAAATATAGCCAATGATTCCACTTTTCTTCTTTAGTAAGTTTGGACATTCTGATCTACTTGGTGTTTTATTTTTATTTTATTTTATTTTTTGAGATGGAATTTTGCTCTTGTTGCCCAGGTTGGAGTGCAATTGTGTGATCTCGGCTCACCACAACCTCTGTTTCCCAGGTTCAAGCGATTCTTCTGCCTCAGCCTCCCAAGTAGCTGGGATTACAGGCATGTGCCACCACACCCGGCTAATTTTGTATTTTTAGTGGAGACAGGGTTTCTCCATGTTGGTCAGGCTGGCCTCGAACTCCTGACCTCAGGTGATCCACCTGCCTCGGCCTCCCAAAGTGCTGGGATTACAGGTGTGAGCCACCGTGCCCAGCCTTGGTGTTTTATTATAGAACTCCTAGTGTGCCTGAGACTTACATTGTGAAAGACACTTTTTTAAAACTTGAGATGTAAGAGGATGTAAATGGTATTGTGTAAGATCAGGCTGGATGAGAACTGATACTTGTAAATATACTTTTTAGATGAAATCTCTGATTGCCACTTGTTTTCTTATTTAACTCATAAAAATAAAACACACTGGATGGAGGATGGGAGTAGGAAGGAGATTTATTTCTTTTAATTGCATGTCATTGTTTCGTATCAAGACAGAATATATAGTATCCCTGGCTTTGAACCTACAGGAGGAAATACATTTTTCTACCTCCTGTATGCCACAGGTTCTTGAACACCTGGAGGGATTACTGCAACACAGATTGCTGAGCCCTACTCCAGAGTTTTTGGTTCATCAAAGTTCAGGGTGAGGCCTGAGAATTTGCACTTATAAAAAGTTCTCAGGTGCTGCTGGTGCTGCTCGTCCAGAGACTACATCTTTGAGAACCATTCTTGTCTACTAACTGTAAATTGTAGAACTCTAGAAAAAAGCTTAGTTCGGTCTGGGATAAGAAGCACACGTTATGGAGCAAATCATGAAAGATTCAACCCTTGATCCCAGCCTACTATGGAATTCAGGTAACAAGCAATACACAGTGACATAACATAATTCTTAGTTTTCATGATTCCAAATCATAGCCAAGTATCAAGTGAGAAATTCAGTATCATTTGTAAGGCTTAGAGAGGCCAGGTGATTCTAGAAAAATGGGCCTTGTATTTGTTTTAAACTGGTAAAGAGCTTTAAGTGCTTATTAAATTGAAAGCTTTGTGTTTATATTTATTTTTTATTTTATTTTATTTTTTGAGATGGAGTCTTGCTCTGTCACCCAGGCTGGAGTACAGTGGCGTGATCTTGGCTCACTGCAACCTCCACCTCCCGGGTTCAATTAATTCTCCTGCCTCAGCCTGGTGAGTGGCTGGGATTACAGGCACCCACTATCATGCCTGGATAGTTTTTGCATATTTAGTAGAGATGGGGTTTCACCATGTTGGCCAAGCTGGTCTTGAAGTCCTGACCTCAGGTGATCCACCCCCTCAGCCTCTCAAAGTGCTGGGATTACAGGGATGAGCCACCACACCAGGCCCAAAAGCTTAGTGTTTTTTAAGATATTAGACATGTTTCTTGTTTAAAAAATATCTTAACAATAATGTAGGAGAATAAGAGAAATATTTTTCTAAAAAAGGGAAATCACTGTAATTATTTTATCTTATTGGAATGTTGAATAATATAGTCTGCTTTATTAATCATCAAGCATGCTATGGATTTTCCATTTTTATAGGATTTGTATCTTAATTGAGGTAATACTGGTAATTCTTGTACTCCATTTGAAGATGTAAAATATAGGCCAAACTCATAGACCTTGCATAGAAGCTGGATAACGAAGACAGCTCTGGAGGAACATATAGATACACACACACAGACACATATATATATATAAAGTATACACACTTTTTTTTAAAGTTTCTTTTTTAAAGTTTTAAAGCTTTTAAAGCAAAAGCTGACCCCTCCCCTCTCCCGGAGTGGGCAGCCCCTCCCCTCTCCCAGAGTGGGTGGGGACAGCGGTTGCATGGACAGCTTTCCTTGTGACACAACAGGTCCCTCTGGACATGCTGCTGCCTGGCCACACCTCCTTTCGCATTCATCATTCTCATCGACCAATGAGCTTGGATCATTAAGGCCACGCCCCTATTCTGAGTTCTAGTGGGACCCTGGTTACACCTCCTCTGGCTCAGTTGCACAACTGCCTGGCATGTGACTGGAGGTACTTTGCAGTCATTGCTGGGATTTCACTGATGTGACCCCAACGCTGCCTCCCTCTCCACCCCACGATGTTGGAAGAAACTCAACAGAGTAAATTGGCTGTGGCCAAGAAAAAGGTAAAATAAACCAGGACATGGCCCCCCAACCCAGCCACAAATCCCCTCCAGTGGCAAGACAGTTACCAGAGTCCATACCACTCCAAAGGCACACTGGGCTGGGGCCCCCAAACCCAGCACCTCTGGGGTCCCTCAACCAAAGTCTTGTCAGTCATCCCTGCCCCTTCAGTAAGCAGCCCAGCCCCTGCCCTCAGCAGTCACCCCTGGGTGATTTTGGGTGGGTGACTCCTGGGGCTCCCTGGTCCATATTCAGCCCTCACCTGCTGCTCTTTGAGCCTCTCTTTTCACATCTGTAAAATAGAAGTGGTGTTGCTTGCCTTCCATTTGTGAAGTTTAAATGAGATTTGTAATTGCTGTTGTTTTTATGTTAATCCCTAGTACATGGCCTGCTGTAAACACCCAGGACAGCCAGGAAATGTTTGTTGTTGTTTGATTTTCCTCATCCCCAGTCTCAACGGGAAGCCAGGCCGATGAGAACAGCCACTTGTCATCAGGCTCTCCCTTTAGAAGTCACTGAAAGGGCCCCAGGATGTGGTGAGGAGGGCCCCAGGCACTAGAATTAAGAGAAGAACTAACTTGCCACCAGATTGCTCGGTGACCACAGAAAAATCACTTCTTCCCCTGGGCCTCAGTTTTCTCCTCTGTAAGATGATACTGGATAAGATCAGTGTCTTTAAAACTTGTTTTTTAGCTGGAGCCCCCTTTGTTCCAATGAACCCTTACTCAGAAGTCTGTTTTTTTTTAAATGGAGATGGTGGTCTGGAGCTCTACTAGATTCATCGCCCATGTCCTGGGCCTGAGGAGAGGGGTCCGGTGAGCAGATTAAGAGCTGCATTGGTCAGGGGACTCCACTCTGTGACTGCATTGCTCAGGAGACTCTTCTATCTATTTGTTCCTGCCCCTGGCAAGGCAGCAGGTGGCCATTTGGAAGAATGGCACAGGCCATGGTTTTGATCTCTGCTGTTCCTCAGCGTTTCGTTTCCCTGAATCCACATTTTCCTCCTTCCCTGACTTTCTTGCTTCGCTCTAAGCCACTTCTGTCTTTCTCCCCCTGCCCTTGTTTTTCTCTTTTTGCCTTCTGTAGATTCAGGACATTCTGAAGGTGCTGGTGTCCAACCTTAACCATTCCAATGGGGTAGCGCTCTCCCATTGGACAAATGGAAGGTGAGGCAGTGCTGAGACCCCTCTCTGGCTTGCTCTCTCCAGCTGTGCATGCCCCTGAGGCTTCTCTGGTTTGGGGGATACTTTGGCTTATTTTATGTTGCTGCCATTAACCTTCAGCCTGTCTGCTTCTTCACCTGCTTGATTAATTGAGTTTTTTCCTTCCCTGCATCTTTTATCATCTTGGAGAAGGTGAGACATACCTTAAAGTTTAAAAGTAATTTGGGAATAATGTATAGAGCAGGCATGTGGGATCTGGGGCTTTTTGTTGTTGTCGTTGTTGAGACGGGGTCTCACTCTGTCACCCAGACTGGAGTGCCACGGTGTGATCTCTGCTTACTTCAACCTCTGCCTCCTGGATTCAAGTGATTCTCTTGCCTTAGCCTCCTGAGTAGCTGGGATTACAGGCACCTGCCACTACGCCCAACTAATGTTTCTATTTTTAGTAGAGACAGGGTTTCTCCATGTTGGCCAGGCTGGTCTTGAACTCTTGACTTCAAGTGAGCCACCTGCCCCCACCTCCCAAAGTGCTGGGATTACAGGCTTGAGCCATCATGCCCGGCCTGGGACTTGGGCTTTTGAATGCCCAGTGTGGTACTCTCAGACTAAGAGAGATGAAAAACAAAAACAAAACTGACCTTTAGGTTTTGTCCTAAAGGCAAAGATCTATAGACCACATAAAAGTTTGTGCTTATTTTGGATTAATTCACTTTGGTTTAAGAGTAGGGAACATAGGGTTAAGATAAAATGAGTTCACATTATAGCTGGAAGGGTTGAAGCTATTTTTTCAGAGGAACTAACTGTAAATGATGTGAGGTTAACCAAACAGATGAGTGACTAAGACCATAACCTCTTGAAAATCAAATGGACACTTAGCATATTTATTGGGCTTTTGACAACAAAGGCACTTTGCTAAATAAACAGTGGAGAGAATAGCTGAACAAGGTAGGGTGCAGACTGAGGGAGGCAGACTCCTCTGAAGGAGGCAAGAAAGAAGTTTGGAACATTCCAAATGCTCAGCTCAGTGGGAGGTTGGTTCTGAATGGACTTGAGGGTGGAGGAGGTGACATTTGAGGTTGGCTGGAAGATTAAAGGTGGGTAACATTCATCCATATGGGGAGTGGGGGAGGAAGGGGGAGCGGTGAGGTCATGGCCATCGTTATGAACTCATAGAGCACCTTTCAGGAGCACAAAGAGCTTGCTGGGAGACAGGGCATAGGGACACATGGGCTTGGAGATGACCTCCTCTGGCTGTGATTTGGCATTTCCTCCGTATCTAACTTGCCTGGGAGACTCCTGCCAAGCCAGAGGAGCAGGGCACAAATGGAGGCAGATCCTGCTGGAGATGGGCATGGGGAGGGGGACTGACAGAGCACCCTTGGCTGCTGTTAGACAGTTGTTCAGTCATCACACCTGTTAACCCAAGTTGGTCAGGTCTGTCCAGGTGCTGTGACTCACCTTGCCGGCTCAGAAGAGACACTGAATGATACGGTGGGGAGCACAGGCCTAGGGGAATCCTGCAGCTGAGTATCTGGCTTTTGCTCTGCCAATGGTCCAGTAGATTAGGGGGTCTGTGGCCTGTTTCCTCATGCTCTGAGATTCTGTGCCCAGCCCAGGTCTCTCTGTTCTGGAAACAAAGGCCCAGATCCCCATATTTCCTTCTTGCTGTTTTGTTTTGGTTTTTGAAGAGTCTCGTTCTCTCTCCTGGAGTGCAATGGTGTGATTTTGGCTCCCTGCAGCCTCTGCCTTCCAGGTTCAAGTGATGCTCATGCCTCAGCCTCCCCAGTAGCTCAGATTACAGACATGCATCATCATGCCAGGCTAATTTTTTTGTATTTTTAGTGGAGACAGGGTTTCACCATGTTGCCCAGGCTGGTCTCAAACTCCTGGCTTCAAGTGATTCACCTGCTTCAGCCTCCTAAAGTGCTGGGATTACATGCATGAGCCACTGTGCCCAGCCTCTTGCTGTTTTTATACTTTCTCCATAGCCATAACTGTTTTTGATGGAAGTTTTTGTTTTTTTGAATTTCTTATTTTTATTACCCCTGCATCATCTGCTACCCTGAAGGATCTGGAGGTAAGAGGCCCTGGGCCAAAGTGCAGTGGCCCTGTAGGCCAGCCCCCCAACCTCCTCCCACAGCAGGGGCTGAGTGCCCCTCTGCCAGCTGAGACAGCCCACACACACCCCAGCCCTAATGATTGTTCTCTCTACCTCTCCCCGCAATCCTCCTCCAATTCCTCCTCTCTGCATGTGCCTCAGAGCCAGTACCAAGAACTAGCAGTAGCCCTGGACTTGAGCTCCACAACAATCAATCAACTCAATGAAAACACCGAGTCATTGCTAAGAGTCCAGTGGGGTCCCCTGATTCCACACTGCCAATCCTGGGCTTCAGTTTCCCTTTGGGGCCCTGAAGAAAGGGTCTGGGGGCCTCTGGTGCTAAGGGTAAATGGGGAGCTGGGGTGCCCAGGCCTCACCCTGAGGGACCCCAGAGCATGGAGCATGCAGCATGGCTCTTCTGTTACTGCCCTCTTTGCTGCAGGGTGGAATGTCCTGCCCAGAAGGCAGCATGGCCATTTCTTGCTGCTTTTGTGTGTGGTTGTTAGAGGCAGCCTGGGGCTGAGTCAGCTGCTGTGGGTTAGTTGCGGGGCACTGTGGGGAGCGAGCACTGGATGCAGAGCTTGGAGGCCAAGTGCCCACCCTGCTGTTACCTGGCTGTGGCCTTGACAAAGTCCTAGGTGGGGGATTGCATACTTGTACTGTGAAGGTACAGAAGAGTACCTTTAGTATGTTACCATTTGTGTAGAGAGGGGGAACGTGTGTGTGTGTGTGTGTACGTACGTACTATGATAATATACATAAAACATGTCTGCAAGGATTTGTAAAAAATTCAGCAGAGAGCAACAGGGTGGCTGGGAGATACTTCCCGTCTGTACCTTCTGAGTTGTGGACTATGTGAATGTATCATCCTTTCAAAAAATGAATAAAAGATTAATTTCCCCCTTCCTATCTGTGCCCCAACCCCCAGCAAGAAAAATGGGCTTAGAGAATAGGATAGACCTGGGTATTCAAATCCCAGCTCTGTCTAAGTGACCTTAGGCAAGCACTTAACCTCTAATACTAATAATAGAAACTCTAATACTCTAATAGTAACTCTAATACTAATAATAGAGGTAATCATAGTAACTGTCTCATATGGTGGTTATGAGGATTCAGTGGGATCGTTAGCATGGTAACTGGCGAAGCACTCAATAAACATTCAAACAGTGGTAGTAATAACAGTAATAACAACAGCAATATTATCTGATCTCTCTGGGCCTCTGTTAGCCAGCTGTAAATTCGATCTTTTTCCCTGTCCCTTCCAACTTTACTGAGTTCTTTTAAAAACCAGACCACAGGCTTAGAAATGCCTTGACCTTTACTGACCAAGTTGTATATTGAGCCTAACCCTAGCCCTTTTAAGGGGCACTGTGTGGAACGGCCCAGGCTCCCCAGATCGAAACTTCTCACTCTTCACCATACAGTCCTCGAGCCGCTGTGAAGCAGTCCTCAAGCGGCAGTTATGGCAGTCCATAAAGGCTCGGGCACAGCTGGAAGCACACGTGACACAGGTGAAGCTTTGTAGAGGGAGGGATGTGGGAGGAAGATGACGCCAGGTGGCCAGGAGCAGGTGAGGACCAGTGACAGCCTTTCCTAACTTCTGTGCCCATTCTTGCAGATGTTGGAACAAGTCCAGCTAGAGACAGATGAATATACTCAACATCTAAAAGGAGAGAGGGCCCGGTGGCAGCAGAGGGTATGGAAAATGTCAGAGGAGGTGAGACCTGACCCTTAAGCCCCCCACTTTAGATAGGTCACTGGATCTTTCTGGCCATCTGTAAAATGGGAATAGTACAGCCAGAGGTGGTCATGGGTCTGGGCTTTGTAGAGGTGGAGGCAGAGAGGGAGTTGGTAGCCTGTCCAACCACCAGCCCCTCTCTCCAGGGCCCTGTCCCCCGTGCTTTGGGCAGGTTTGCACATGGAAGGAGGAGAAGAAGCATGACAGGCATCGGGTACAGGAGCTGGAGAGGAGCTTGGCCGAACTCAAAAACTAGATGGGTAAGATGGGGCTGGCATGGCCTGGGAGCAGGACTGGCATCAGAGGGCTGTGGGGATGGCTTAGAATGCCCCAGGGAGGTGGGTAGATGGAAGGGCTTTGAGGCAGAGGGAAAGAGGTCTGTGCCAGGAGACGGCAAGTCTTATAATCTCCATGAACCTCAGTGTCGCCATCAACAAAGAGGGAGGAGTGCTCATTGTCAGCCACCCACAGTGCTCTCTATCTGAAAGTGGCTTGGAAGATTGGCTACCATCCGAGAGCGAGGAATCGTTAGCAGTGAGGCCAAGTTTGGGGAGCCTGAGAGGATCTGTGCACCAAGAGAAGGGCTTTTATTTGTTGTTTTGTTTTGTTTTGTTTTGTTAACCCAGAGGCCCTTGTTGTCTGCTTCCTTTCTCAGCTGAACCCCTGCCCCTGGAGCCCCCAGCAGGGCCCTCTGAGGTGGAACAGCAGCTACAAGCTGAGGCCGAGCACCCGAGGAAGGAGCAGGAGAGTCTGGCAGGACAGCTCCAAGCTCAGGTGCAAAACAATCAAGGCTTGAGTCACCTGAACTGGGAGCAGGAGGAGAGGCTGCTGGAACGGGAGACGCTGCGGGAGCAGGAGAGGCTGCAGGAGCTGGAGGAGAAGCTGCAGGAGTAGGAGAGGCTGGGAGAGCGGGAGGAGAGTCTGCGGGAGCGGGAGGAGAGTCTGCGGGAGCGGGAGGAGAGGCTACGGGAGTGGGAGGAGAGGCTGCGGAGCAGGAGGACAGGCTGCTCGAGCTGGGGCGGAAAGCCAAGCTCTGGGAGGAGCAGGCAGAGACGTGCATGCAGGCCCTGCGGAACCACACCACCATCAACCACGTGCTCTCTCAGAACCATGAGCTCGACTAGCAGCTGGCTGGGCCACAGAGCGGCTTAGAGGAGCTGGTGCGTTGCCCCGCCTCGTGAGCCTGCCCTCCTCCCTTGCCCTCCAGGCCTTTGATTCCCCACCTGTAAGATGGGGCAGTGTAGCCCTCACGTGAAATGGTACTTCTAAAGGCACCTGTGAGCCAGAGCCCTGCTCTGATGGCTGTGGGAGAGAGGGGATAATTTTTCTAACCTGCCTCCACCCTTCCTGGTGCCATGGGAGGCAGACACCAAGTTCTGGGGTCTCCAGCTGCAGTGGGTGGCCACTGATTGCTTCTCTCTGTCCAGAACAACGAGAATAAGAGTGCACTACAGTTGGAGCAGCAAGTAAAGGAGCTGCAGGAGAAGCTGGGCAAGCTGAAGGAGACTGTAACCTCTGCCCATCCAAGAAGGGCTGGGAGGTGAGCACCAGCCTCTGGGGAGGGGAGGTGTGAGGCCAAAAGCAGCTCCAGCCCGGGGGCAGGTGACCCCAGCTCCCTCCAGGGCAGTCCTGTGACTGTTTCTTGCTTCCTGCCCTCTGACTTTTAGAGGTGGGTAGCCCTGGGCTCCTCCCAGGTGTGGACATCATCATCCCAGCTAGAGGCATGGAGCCCCCCAATCACAGGGGAGGAGTCGTGGTATAAGAGGCTCCTTATGTCAGGCATGGTGGCTCACGCCTGTAATCCCAGCACTTTGGGAGGCTGAGGCAGGAGAATCACTTGGGGTCTGGAGTTTGAGACCAGTCTGGATAACATGGCAAAACCTCATCTCTACCAATATCACACACACACACACACACACACACACACACACACACACACACACACACACACACACTAGCCGGGCATGGTGGCGCATGCCTGTAATCCCAACTACTCAGGAAGTTGAGGCATGAGAATCGCTTGAGCCTGGGAGGTGGAGGTTGCAGTGAGCTGACATTGCACCACTGCACTCTAGTCTGGGCCACAGAGTGACACTCTGTCGCAAAACGAAACAAAACAAAACAAAAACAAAAAAGTCTCCTTAGATTCAAACTAGATTCCAGCCTCAGTTCCACTGGTCGCCATTCAACCACTTTGCATCTCTAAGTCTCTGTTCCTTTAACTTCAAAAGGAAGTTAGCATTTTCCTTGCAGAGGTGCTGAGGATTAAATGAGATAATACATGGAAAGTATTAGTCATATAGCACACTTAGCAGATGGTGGTTGGCTCCCTCTGCTTTTCCACCAGCCTGTGGCCTACAGTTTAAATGGTGGGAAGAAAGGTGTAAGATTTGAGGCTGGGGAAGAAGGCATGGGGTTCTAGGAAAGGGAGGCAGTCACTTAGGCCTGGAGCAAGGGGCCAGGGGCCTGGGCGGGCAACAGAGCCCCACAGTGCCCTCAATACCCTATTAATGGGCCCAGAATCTGGAAGCCAGCCACCATGTGCCCTCATGCCCAGGGTCTTCCTGCAGGTGAAGCTGAAGAGCCAAGAGGCTCAGAGTCTGCAGCAGCAGGGACACCAGTCCCTGGGTCACCTGCAGCAGTACGTGGCTGCCTATCAGCAGCTGACCTCTGAGAAGGAGGCGCAGCACAGGCAGTTACTGCTGCAGACCCAGCTCATGGACCAGCTGCAGCAGCAGGAAGCTTGGGGCAAAGTGGTGGCAGAGATGGCCCACCAAAAGTTGCAGGAGACCCAGGGGAGGGAATTGCTGAGGACGGGGCCTTGAGGGGGATGACCTGGCAACCTCCGTGCCTTCTCACTCTCTTTCCTGGCCCCTTAGGAGCACCTGGAAGGTACCAGCCAGCAGAACCAGCAGCTACAGGCCCAGTTGAGCCTCATGGCACTCCCTAGGCAAGGTACAGGAGATCTCTCAGAGGAGGAGGAGAGAGCCCCAGAAGGAAAGGGGGACTGTTAGCAGCGTAGGATTGAGGAGTTGGAAGAGACCTTTAGAACAGCTGGTCATTATGCTGACCGGGTGTCTGCACTAAGTTTGGCATCAATATGGTGACCTCCTGGGCTAGGGGGCCAACAGGTTGCCTAAGGATGGGTGAACTGGCCCAGGTCAGAAAGGGAGTAGGTCAGAACTCCTGCACCGACTGGTAGTGGGACTGTGCCTGGGCAATATAGCAAGATCTTGGTTCTTGAAAGTAAAGATAAAGAACAGCAGCTCATTCCCCTCTGGGGAGGGGCTGGCTCAGGGTTACACAGTGAGGATGAAGGCAGAGGTGGGTCTGTAGTACCTCCCTTGTTGGGTTGTCTGAGGACCCCTCTGGCCACCCCCCACAGGAGATGGAGGAGAACATCTGGACAACGTGGAAGAGGAGGCTCAGCTTGGCCCATGCTGAGCATCCCGGAGGACCTGGAGAGCAGGGAGGTCATGGCGAGCGTGACTCACTCTGCCCCCGCTTTGCCACCTTCCTCTGTGGTCCCTCCCAGACCCCCTTATGCTCTTGGTTTCCCCACCTTCTGATTTCTGTGGACGCTCACTCCTTCCAGGAGCCAGTGGTCAGACATCATTTCACCTGTGCATTTCACCAACAGGTGCACTCTCTGAGGCCCCAAGGGAAGGGGCTGCGCTCTACCTCCCTGCCCCGTTTGTTCTGTATATGCCTCTATAAGAATACTCACCTCTTGCCTTCAGGTGGCGTTTTTCAACTCCGCTGGAGCCAGTGCCCAGGAGGAGCAGGTATGGCTTATGTGGGCAGCTGAGGGAGCAAAGGGTGTGGTGCCAGCGCCTGACTCACCCGGGTGGCCTTGGCCCAGAAGGAGCCAGAGGTAGTGGAACCAGCCCCAGGGACTGGGGATGAGTCTGTGTGTGGGTAGACTCATCAGGCCCTGCAGGGATCCATGGAGAAGTTGCAGGTGAGTGAGTCATGGCATGGGCCAAGAAGGTTGGGGGCAGAGCAGGGCAGGGCAGGTCGCTCTCAAGATGTGACCCCATTATTTTGGATCCAGAGTGGCTTTATGGACCTCCTGAAGGAGAAGGTGGACCTGAAGGAGTGGGTGGAGAAACTAGAGCTTCGATCCATCCACCTCTCAGGACAGGCAGACACCATCAGTGAGTGAGAGGCCAGGGAAGGCAGGGGGAGCTGCAGGGCCATCGGAGGGGCCCCAGCATCTGAGCCCTGTCCTCCCGCAGGAAAGTAAATCACAACATACGAGGGCCAGAGGGCAGCGCCAAAGACGCGGCACCAGGAGGAGGAGGACATCATCAGGCTGGCCCAGGACAAAGAGGAGATGAAGATGGGGCATTGCAGCACCTCTGTGGGGGTGGGGGTGGGGTGGGTGTGAGCGTGGGCAGGGGCACTGGCACCAGCGTGGCAGCTGAGCACCCCTCCCTTCAGGTGAAACTGCTGGAGCTGCAGGAGCTGGTGTTGCGGCTTGCAGGCGATCACAACGAGGGGCATGGCAAATTCCTGGCCGCTGCCCAGAACCCTGCTGATGATCCTGCTCCAGGGGCCCCAGCCCCTCAGGAGCTTGGGGCTGCTGACAAGCAGGGTGGTGAGTAGAGCCCTCAGGTGGGGTGGCCAGGCAGGAGCAGGGGAGGCTCGCACTGTGCTCAGATCCCCGCCCCGCTCTCTCCAAAGATTTTTGTGAGGTGAGCCGACAGCCTGGAGCCTGCACCAGGAGAGGCCAGGGAGGGTTGTCCCCATGACAACCCCACTGCACAGCAGCTCATGCAGCTTCTTCCTGTGATGCGGGACCCCCAGGAGTACCCAGGCTTGGGCAGCAGTCCCTGCATGCCATTCTTTTACCAGGCTGCCAAGAACAGGGAGCTAAACATCACCATCATCTAAGAGCTGGTCAAGAAATTAAAAAAGAAGAAAAAAAAGTTATGGGGTTAATCTCCTACACAATTCATTTACTTCATTTGAATGTTAGAGTCACTCATGATTATTTGTGTTTCTAATTTATAGTTTACATTTATTTGTAAAAAGTTAAAGGAGAGTGGGTCTTTCCCTGTTGTTCACTCTGGCATCCCTTAGTATCTTTCTTTTTTAATTCCATAATTGTAGGTCATTAGAATGCATATTGAGTTCGCCCTTACATGGTGGGAATTCAAACACACAAAACTCACTATTTGCACAAAACTGTTCTTTCTGGTTTGGAGTAGGCCGCCATGCTTTTTTAATGTTCTTGCAGCATGTATATTCATTACAGAATTCAGATAAAATTTGCTTATGTTCTGCTATTATGTTTGATCGAATTCGAATCACCGTGAGCTCATTAGCTCAATATGTGGTTTGCCCTCAAGTGCACACTGTTTATTACTTTGTAATATGCCACTATGAGTACTGACATTTAGAGTTGTTTAAAGGCCAAGACTGGAAACAGCCCTACCCTTATTTTCTGTGTATTGGGGATGGGAGTAATAACATTTTGGGGAGCTTTTTAAATCTCACAGAGAGGAAAATGGCCTGCTCTGGCAGGTGTGTGCAGGATAGAGTATGTTTCATGTGTTCCGGTGCCAAGAATGAGCGCTGTACTATGGTAGTTCCCTTAGGATTTGTATGTGCTCTGGGCTCATGAAGACATTGCATCGTGAGTTGTGGCCGTTGTACCCTTTTTCGATTACCTAAAAAGGGATTATTTCTGAGACATGAAAGGCTCCCATCATTGACTGTGGATGTGGAAAACCTTTCCTAGCTTAGAGCATTTATATCTATAATACATTTTAAAGTCAGAGTTCATGTTACCTGTTTTAATCACATGACTACATGTCCCAGTACACAAAAGGGCACTGGTTGGCATTCTTCTTAAAGTATTTAGTAAAGATCATAAGAAATCCTTTTAAAGTTTAAATGTCCCAGAAAGTCATACAGGCTCTAGTCAAGAATGAATTAGAGTGAAGGGAAGCTGTGTGACACCTGGCATTCCTCTCTGTTCATGGAGCTTCTTTGAGGCTAGAAGATTGATTTTACCATCTAGACCTCTCTGGCTAATACCTGTTCTTCAACCACATTGGGTTACTCTGACATAGGAATTTACTTCTTTTCCTTGAATGGAAAACACTTTAAAAAACAATAACAAACATTATTATAAACTAATATTTGTGAGAGTACTTGGTTGAAACAAAAAAGAGTTTTAGTAGACAGTATTATACTATATTTGAAAATCAAGAAGTTTATGCAACTTAAAATGTTTACAAACTGCAGTGCAATCTACTGTTTGTGAATGTCTAAGTATTATCAAGAAAAGCGTCTATACAATCACAGAGTTATATTTCCTCACAAAGTTCTTTATGAAGAGTGAAATATGTTTTTATACCTCTCAGTTTCAGTTAGAGGCATATTTTGTGCAGTATTTATGTTAATGTGCCTATACATTATGAATGAATTATTTCAGTCATACATTGTCTAAATGTGTGACTTTATGATGCTTGGGAAAGAATCAACAGTTAAACTTTATGAAGTTCTAATGTCTGTGTTCCAAAATACGTCACATTGTTAGGATGTAGGGAGGTATGTATGTGTGCTCCCTGGGGTGGAGATTTCTAGTTACTAGACCATCTCCATTTTTAGCATTTGGCATCCTCATGATACTTTTATAAATATGACATTAATAGGAGAGCAATAATATGATTTTATAGATGGAATTACAGATTTGCCTGCATTCACTGAAAGAGTACAAATATTGGGTCCTTTTGATTTCAGTTGACTCTTCCAAATTATATGAATGCATCAGTGTATTAGATAAACCCAGTTTCAGACTTATAAAGAAAAAATGTTAGACCAAATAATGTGGCTAATTAACAGTGGTGTGATTACTAGCCCAAGGGTTTAAAATGGATTTAAAGTCCTGTTCTTGCCTTTTATTTTCTGAACTTGCCACTTTTGCATTCTTTGAGTTTAGTTTAAAGACAGTTAATTTAAGTCCATTTTAAACCCTCGGGCTGGAAATTGTACCACTGTTAATTAGCCACATTATTTGGTCTAACATTTTTTCTTTATAATTCTGAAACTAGGTTTATCTAATACATCAATAAATTATTTCAAAGGTGTTTTTATAGTTCAAATCACTTCACTTTTACCCTGATAAATATAAATGACTAGGAATGACCCTCAGATAGCATTTGGCATCTGTAACCAATCTGACAATAATGTGTTCACCAGGTACCTATGGATTAAATCACATACTGGCATATTTAAGCTGGATGTCAGTCTGGAAAATGAATTTACTATATTAATGGAAATACCACTCTGTGTATGCATTTTGTCGTATATTTAAGAAAAAGCTAAAGAGAATGAAAATCGTATGACAATAACTTAAGTCTTTGTTCAAAGTGCGTGCAGTCTTTTGCAATACTTCATTCAGCCAAGTATTCTTTTCCTCATTCAGTATAAGGCAGCTTTCAATTTGCTCAGAAGGCAACATTAGAAAGTTAGAGTTCAACAGAAACATAGAATTTTAAAATGTGAGTTCAACTGAAAAAAATTGAATTTCTGTGGAAAGTAAAGAATCAAAATACCTAAAGATTGCAATATATGATAATCATTTTTAAAGTGTTTGATTAAACCTGATAGGTTTTCCAGAAATGAAAAAATCAGTTCTAAAACCAAAGCTGATTTTTAGAAAATTTGAAAATGTAAATCAGCCCTATCCATAATATAGTTTCTCTAAAACTTTATCTTAAAGAGTCATTTTAAAATAATATAACTATTAAATAATGTAACTGCTATCTTAATGTTTTGAAATTAGTTAAAACATTTTAAAATATGAATACTGTGGTTTAAAAGAAAGAAACAGGTGGGGGAGGGGAGTAGAGAAAGAAATGCCAATTCCAGTCCAAAGCTTTATTTGCCAAGTTTTCTTAGAATGACTTTTACCAACTTATGAATTCTTGTAAACAGAATGTATAATGGAAATACTGAAAGACGTTTGCCTTAATTGGTATTATTGACTGCTGCTGTGATGCCACTGTAATATAATAAATTAATAAACTATTGCAAAGTGCTGGTTTTGCCTTAAAATTTTTTTTTGTATGTCTTGAAAACTACAGTATTAAAGGAACTGAGACTGCAAATGCTGGGCAGGCTTGGCATGAGATAATCTGTTTTTATTTTTACAAAATTGTAATATAACTCTGCAAGTATGTTTATTAAAAGAGCACAAACTACAAAACAGTTATGGGATTTAAAAAGTTATGGCATGAAAAAGCTATGGGATAAAAAATGTTGTGGAAAAGTTGTGGCAAAAAAATTGTGGAAAAGAAGTAGAAAAAAGTTTTGCGAAAAGTTATAAAAAAAGTTATGAAAAAGAAGTTAAGGGATTAAAAAGCAAGTCATGGGACAAAAATAAAAATAAATAAAAGCAGGCCGCTGTCAGCAAAGCCTGGAGAAGTGGGGCTGGAGTCTCCACCCCCACCATGTCCCTAACACCCCTTCCCAGTCACCCCTTTACCATTAGGGTAGCAAGACAAGACCCCTGTTTAATGGGGGCAGACGAACAGATCCTTTGCCACCTTGACCAGGGCTGAGTCCTTAAATTTCTGGATGATGATGTTTGTTATTTACGAGCCAGAGGCTGGTGGAGTTGGTTTGTTTGGAGGAGGCCTAATGGCCTTCTTATTCGCACCGAAGCAACTTTTCCCTCTGGGGGGCTCCCATCTTCTTATTCAGAGGCACAGCTGAGTCAGGACAGTGGGGCTAACTGTAGACTAGGTGAGGGCATAGGCTGCTGGGGTGGCCCCCCTTCCCCAGTGTACATATTGTATCTGTGTAACGTTTTGTATATTCTAGGGGGTAGGGCCACCCCCTGTATTGTACCTAGCAGAGGTTGGAGCTGGTATACGGGGAGGAGGTTCTAATAATTATTTGTGGCTGGGAAACTTATTTATTGATAGCATAGGACAGAGGAAGGAGGTGGGGATGGGGTCGTGGCTCCCTGGTGATGTGACTCCTGTTTATTTTGCTTTTTATTTTGGAATAAATGGATTTAGCCATACTGCTTGACCTGGTGTGTTCCTGTTTCCCTCACTGGGTCCTGGAGTTTGTGCCACTGAACGAGGAGCCCCAGAGTGTCTGAGCATGTCCAGCTGGGCTGTTGGGACATTCCAGGCCTGTTACCTGTATGCTGCCTGGTGACACCTGGAGGATTTCACAGGGACTGCCATGACGCCTATGGGGTGAGTCCAGCCCTGACAGCCAACAGGCTCAGAAGCCTGATCTAGTGGTGACTGGAAAGGCAGGTACCAGCATCCAAGGGCACTGACTTCCATCCACCCCAGGCATCTTCCGTTCTCCGTCCCCTTGCCTGCCTCTCCTGTCTGCACCTGGTGGTCTGTTCTGTCTGTCCCTCCAGAGTGCCAGCTGCCCCACAGGCTCCCTCCAGGCTGAGTTCATGGTCCTGCCCTCTAGTGGCCAGAGCCAGCTTCACAGGGTAAGAACCAGCTAAGCTCCAGGGGCTTTCCAGGAAAAGTGTCCCTTGCAAAGGGTGTGGCCTTTTCACCACTCCCAATAGCACCCTAGAAATGGCTTGAACTTTCCCCTCCCCAGAGCTCCGCAGAGAACACAGCCAGCAGAGGACACATTCCCTGTCATCCAGAAATGGGTTTGATTCTCAGCTGAGGGACAGCAGAACTGGTAGACTGTCAGGCCACACAGCTGCCTGCACAGCAACCCCATGCTTGGTGGGGGAAAGGAAGGATGGTGGGGGCTGGCAGGCCACGGGCCGGGCAGGACAGCGAGGCTCACTGGAGGTGGTGCACTGTGGAGGGGCAATGTCAGGGGACAGCTTTCTCTTGTTGGGCCACAAGACTCCACAAGGACAGCACAGTGACTGATTCCCAGCACTACAGGTGAGGCAGTTGGCCAGGTATGGGGGTGTGTGTGTGTGTGTGTGTGTGTGTGTGTGTGTGTGTGTTATCTATAAATATATATATGCATACGAGTATTTACAGATTTTTTCTTTTTTCTTTCTTTCTTTTTTTTTTTTTTTTTTTTTGAGCCGGAGTCTCGCTCTGTTGCCCAGGCTGGAGTGCAGTGGCACGATCTTGGCTCAGTGCAACCTCTGCCTCTCGGGTTCAAGCAATTCTCCTGCCTCAGCCTGTGAGTAGCTGGGACTACAAGCACCTGCCACCATGCCCGGCTAATTTTTGTAACTTTAGTAGAGATGAGGTTTCACCATATTGGCCAGGCTCATCTCAAACTCCTGACCTTGTGATCTGCATGCCTCGGCCTCCCAAAGTGCTAGGATCACAGGCGTGAGCCACCGCGCCCGGCCTATTTATAGATATTTATAGAACAGGGCAGGGGCATACCACAGAGGTGGCACAAGTTTTCAGCAACAGTCACAGCTGGATATGTCAGCTCTCCACTACAACAGACTAAGTCACAGATGAAGCTTTGGGGCTGGGGGAGCCGCTGTCAAGTCACAGAACAGCCACCCAGGCAGGCTTGGAAAGGGAGGTCTCTGAGAAGAGGAGGGATCTGTTTAGAGGTCGAAGTGGGGCCTGAGGCTCTCAGGATGGGATGGATTTTCCTGACCCGATCGATTGGCTGGCAGTTGGAGAGAAAGCAGAGAGAAAACGGTAGAGAGAAAAGTGGGCAGAGAGCTGGTGAGGCAAGCACAGAGCAGGGGCAAGCTGCAGGAGCTGTGGGAGGGCCGGGGAAGGGAGGGTGCAGGTGTGGGTGTGGCAAGGTTCCTGGAAGAGAGGGGCTGGAAGGGAAAGGGGAGGAAGATGGAGGGAGGAGCTGGAGCTTCACAGGTAGGTCCTGGGGGCTGTGGTGGCCCTCCACACCCTACACACACTGGCCTCTCCCACGGCACCTAGGCAGTGTACCCACAGTTCAGACCAATGCTCAGCCCCCTCGGGCTTCCCTCTTCTCTGGTCACCCTGTCTTCCAACCCACTGGCCCAGGGCTGCCTCTCACCTTGGGGAGCCCCACACAACAGCCGCCAGGCCTAATAGAGAAAGAACACTGCTTGAACCAGGGTGGTGAAGCTAAAAGGGATGGATGGCTGGAGGGTGCACCTGAGGCCCTTCTGGGTGGTCAGAAAGCCCAGGACCCTCTGAAGGGACCCTGGGGGAGGCAGGGAGAGCAGGCAGCTGGATGCCACTGGCCATAGACTTATAAGTCTAAGAGGGGAGCCTCAGCTGGTTGGGGGGCTGCAGGTTGCATAGGTGAGGCTGGGCGCTTCCTGCTGGGAAAAGCAGAAGAGGGAGAGTCCATGGCAGGGAAGGCGGGTGGGCTCACTGGGTGGAGCTCAGCTGGGCCAGCAGGTACTGTGGTCCCCTTGGCTGAACAGCATAGGCAACCCCTAAGAGCAACAGGCCAAGGTGCATGAGGCCGCTGGCTGGTGGTAGTGCTTCAGCGGGGGCCAGGGACCCTGGCTTCAGCCACATGCTAGCAGCTATGATGGTACCTGGGAGAGAGGGAAGGGGGCTGTGTGTCCCTCCCTGGCCTGTGAGGTGTGTTGTGGGATGACTGTGTGCATGGGACTCTCAAGGTTTTATCCTAGATCACCACTGGATTGCCGACAGATAGAGGAGGTGGGACCCTGACTATCACACCTGCTCTGCACTCCCAGGCTGGGAGCTGGATGCCCTGCCCTGCCAGCATGACTCAGACTGCATGACAGGTGTGCCCAAGATGACGTTCATAGGTCTCTGGCCGCCTCAGAGTCCAGCCCCACACACAACCCCTTCCAAGTTCCCAGCCCCTACACCATAAACCACGAGCTCTCTGCCCTCTCTGATAGTTCCAGAAAGCACCCATGCCTGCCAGCTTGGGCATGGAGTCTGTTCCAAGAGCCCCCAGGCTCAGTCATGGAGGCTGGTGGGCTTTGGGGCTGTGGGGGCCAGCCCTGGTACCTGCGTCCAGCTGGGACGCTCTGCACCTGCAGCCAGGAGTCATCCACGGGTCCCCATGACCATGCTGACGGTGTTTGTGCTGATGTCACTGATGATGCTGAGCGCCTCCTTCAGCACGTGTTGCATGCACAGCATCTCATCACACCGCCATGCCTGCTCTGCCGACTCCTCCATCAGCGTGTTCTGGTCCCCACGCGAGTACAGGTTGTCCAGCAGCTCCAAGAAGATGAACTCCTTGGTCTGAGAGTGGGCAAAAAGGTTGGGACCTGATGCCTGTGCCACTCTGGCCACCCCGTCGGGCCCTGCTGGGACTGTGTGCTGGACTTGGAGCCCCGAGTATGGCTTTTTAGATGCGACTTCTACACTGCTTAGACTCAAAGATCTGCCTCCCCACCGCCTTTTCTCATTCAGATGGGGACACTGAGGTCCAGAGGAAAAGTCACCTGTCCAACGTCACAGATCTGAGAGGGAACCTAGGACATATCATGCCACCAGGACACCTGTTTACTCAGTTTTTCCTAAATTGTTTTTGGAGATAGGATCTCACTCTGTCGCCAGGCTGGAGTACAGTGGGCGAGATCACCGCTCACTGCAGCCTCAACCTCCTGGGCTCAAAGTGATCCTCCAACGTCAGCCTGTTGCGTAACTAGGACTACAGGCACGTGCCACCACTGAGCCCAGCTATTTTTAAGATTTTTGTGTAGGTACCAGGTCTCACTATGTTGCCTAGGCTGGCCTCAAACTCTTGGGCTCGAGCGTTCCTCCCACCTTGGCCTTCCAAAGTGCTGGGATTACAGGCATGGGCCACTGTGCCCAGTCCCGTGTTATATTTCTATGGGAGCTCTAGTCTGGACGGTGCCTCCTTCCCTGCACCTGGTCCCATAGGGCTGGTCGGCACCTCCCCCAGGCCAACCTGCACCCCTAGTGCCACAGGAGCCCCCTGCCCCCATGAGGCGGTGCATGCATGTTGTTGATCATAAGGTGCATGATGGTCTCGGGTAGGAGACCAACCACGAGGTCCAGCAAGGTCTTGTTGACAATGGCCATGTAGGATTCCACCAGGTTCTGGGTGGTCTCCATTTGCCGCTCCAGCTGTGAGTCCATGAAGTGCATGAAGCTGTCGGAGGCATTCTCCTCAGCCTTGCTGGCCTGGCGTGGAGAACACAAGGGCATCAGAGTGGCCAGGCCATGCAGCCAGGCTCCAGGAATCCCCAGGATCTCAGCCCCTCCAACGGTACCGGGAACATTGAGGCACAGAGAGAAGCAACTGGCCTGAACACACACCCAGCTCCCCACACACTCTAGAGCCCCAGCCCCACCCTAGAGATTCTGAGCTAATTGGCTGGGGGACAGCCTGGGCACCAAGAGTTTTCAGAGCTCACCTGATGATGGCAACATGTAGACAAAGTTGAGAAACACTACCCTTTGCTGTCTCCACGTTGTGTCTGCCTTGGTTTCCCCATATTGCCCCAGGCTCCAGGCTCTGGGAGAACTACAAGAATTGAGAATTAGCCCTCCCACCCAGCCACTTTCCTCCACTGCTGGGGAGTCTCTGAGCCCTCCTTTTGGCTATAGGCCTCGATGTAAACTCATCAGCCCAGGGATCAGGGGGCAGGAGTGGGGCTTTTGGGAGAGAGAAGAGTGTGAGCTTTACAGTTACACAGACCTGCGTTCATGTCCCAGCTCTGTGATTTTAGGAAAGGATCTGATTTGACTACCCTGCAAAGTGGGAAAAGTTCCCCCTAGCAGGCGGGATGCTTTTGAGACTGAAATGAGAGAAAGCTGGGCAACAATGAGTCCCTTCTGCCCCACCTCTGTGAGCCGGCCCTGTAGCATCTCCTTGGTCCTTTGAGTTCTCAGCTTTAGCTCTCTTGCTCCTGCTCCTTCTCCTCACTCTCTCTCTCTTTTCCATCCTGGCTAAGAGCCCTGCTTCTCCCCACAGTTTAACCACCCTCCCCCGTGCCCAGTGGGTGATGAAAGTCTTCCCTGGCTGTGCCAGCATCTCCCTGATACCTCATTTCTCTCCTGCATTCAACCATGATGAAGCCCAACACAGTCTCCCTCTCTCCTGCCCCATTTCCACCACTAGGTCACTGTCAGCTCTTACAGAGACCTCCCCAGTAGCTTCCACTTTGGCCTCTTCCAACCACCCATTCTGGAATTGCAGCCATATTCATCTTTAAAAGCCCAGTATTATTAAGTGACTCTCTTGCTAAATTCTGCAATGGCCTTGACTCACTATTGGCCTGCAGGATCTGGACCCTGCCTGCCTCTGCAGCTTCCTCTTGCTTCGTTCTTTCTCTCTCACTCTCTCACTCACCTCACATCCCTGAGGCACCCTTCCTCCTACTTCAGGACCTTTGCACATGCAGTTCTCTCTGCCAGAAGCATTTCTCTTGGACAGTGAACGCCTTCTCAAATAGTCCTCATTTGGGGTGCTGACTACCCACCCCATCAGATTAGGTCCCTCACTATACGCTCTTATATCTCCTTATACTTTTTCAATTAAAAAATTTTTGATCACGTGATTTATGGCCATCTCCCCAACTAGATTGTAAGCCCCAGGATGTCAAGGGCCAGGTTGGTTTTTTTTCACCATTGTAACCCCAATGCTTAGCACTGTGCCTGACACAAACTAGGGGCCATTTGGACCAAGTGCATAGGCTGTGTAGGCTTGCAGCCCCTGTGGAAATGTATGGATGAACATGAGAAATAGGGCTGGGTGCGGTGGCTCACGCCTGTAATCCCAGCACTTTGGGAGGCCAAGGCTGGTGTGTCACCTAAGGTCAGGAGTTCGAGACCAACCTGGCCAACATGGTGAAACCCCATCTCTACTGAAAATACAAAAAGTTAGCCAGGTATGGTGGCGGGTGCCTGTAATCGCAACTACTTGGGAGGCTGAGGCAGGAGAATTGCTTGAACTCGGAAGGTGGAGGTTTCAGTGAGTCAAGATCGCACCATTGCACTCCAGCCTGGGTGAGAGAGTGAGACTCTGTCTCAAAAACAAACAACCACCACCAACAACAAAAAACCACGAGAAACAGAACGACTGCATCCCCACCATTGCTTGAGTGCCTACTGGGTGTGTCTAGGCAGGTGTCACATGCTGGGTAGCATCAGAGGACAGCCCTGTTTTTCTTTTATGTGAGAAGGAAAGATTAGAGACTATGAACGGTCAGCTGTAGGATCATACAGTATCTGCCCTGCCCCACTCAGCTCAGGGCCCCTGGGGACCAGGGACATGGGGCAGGGTGCAGGGGGTTGGGGGAGAGGCTTTTGGAGGAACAGCAGTGAGTCAGTTCATTCTTGGCCTGTGATGCTGCCTCTGTAAGCGTGGAAGGTCATATTTCCCACTCTCATGCTCAGCCTGTTGGGTGCCTCTAACTTGAGCCTGTGTCACTTGTGGCATTTGGCATGTAAAAGATGCATTCCTGGTTTTTCAGCTTGGATCTCATGGTAGGTGGAGGTTTGAGATCTGAGGAGGATGAGTGTTTCAGTGGAGATGTCTGGATAACTTTTAGGATAAGTATATCCCAAATATTACATAGCACATACTCATACAAAAAACTATTTGTGGTTTATCTGATATTGTAGGTTAACTGCTTATTTTATTTGCTCAATCTGGCAACTGTAATCCTGGGGCTTCCTCATTTCCCCATGTGCTGTTTTGCCCTCCCTTCATTACACCACACTCGGCTCTCGGGGTACAAAGAGGAGTGAGACCTCCCTTCCCTCAGGGAACTCACGGTCACAGGGAGAGTTCCCATTCCTCAGGGAACTCACAGTCTAACATAAGAGATAAGAATATGAACAGAGATGACCAAAGCAATGCAAACTCTATTTCTGAGAATTTGGGAGCCCTTGTTGGAATAGGGACAGCTTTAGAATTTAGAAAAGATCACAGATCATGGAACAGAATAACAGAATAGGAAGTCCAGAAACTAATCTGAATTTTTATAAGAACATACTTTTTAGCATATGATAAAGGTGGAGTTAAGACCCTGTGAGCAAAGAAGAATTGTTCAATAAGTTTTGTTAGGGCAATTAATTAACTTCCTGGGAAAAAATCCAGCTAAAATTATTACTGCTTTAAACTTCATGCCAGAAACTAATTCCAGTTGTTGTAAAGATGTTAACAAATAAAACTATAAACATACTAACAAACTAAGAGATAACAAAAAATGAACATTTACCTGATCTTGAGGATTATGAAGGACTTTCTAAGTGTGATGCTCAGTACTGTACAGAAGGTATAAAGAAAAATTGTTCTATTCATTGTAAATTTGTTTTTCTCGATAATTTCTTCTGTCTTTTCATTTGTTTTTCTGGTGTTTTGTAACATACAGAAGTTTCGATTTTTATATAATGAAGTATATCAGTGTGGGTATTCCCACTATATGAAGGTACTCATCAACAAACGGGAAAAAGACAAACACAGTAATAGAAAAAAAATGAGTCAAGGAAATACACTGGCAATTCAGAAAAGAAGAAATACAAATGGGCAATGAATACATAAAATAATATTCATCTAGTAATAATAAAAAAGAAAAAGCAAACTCAGAGTTAGTGAGTGTTAGTGAGTGCTATAACGAAATATCTGAGACTGGGGAATTTCTAAAGAAAAGAAGTTTAACTGGCTCACAGTTCCACAGGCTGTACAGGAACCATGATGCTGGCATCTGCTCAGCTTCTGGGAAGGCCTCAGGAAACTTACAGTCACGGTGGAAGGCGAAGGGGGAGCGAGACATCTCACAAGGTGGGAGCAGGAGCCAGAGAGAGTGAGGGGGCAGGTGCCACACTTTTAAATGACTAGATCTCATGAGAACTCACTCACAATCGTGTGGACAGTGCCAAGGGGATGGTGTAAACCATTCATGGGAAATCTGCGCCTGCGATCCAATTACTTCCCGGCCCCATCTCCAACATTAGGGATTAGAATTCAACATGAGATTTAGTGGGGACACAGGAGATTTGGAAACCATGAATATAGTTTCCAAACCATGAGGGTTTGGAAAAATGAGCCTTTCATAACTGTTGTCTGAAGGTAAAATGGAACAGTTTTTCTAGAGAGCAATTTGTATTGAACATCTTAAATCTGACCAGTAACTTCTAGTATTTTATTATAAGGAAATAAAGTTGTATATCAGCTGTGACTTAACTGGGGATATTGGCTACAATGTAGCTGATCATATTTTAAAAGCTGAAAATGATACAGATGTCTACAAATAAGGTATTAGTTGAATGCATCAAGCACCATTCCCATTGTGAAACCCCATATGCAGGAGAGCCCAGGCTTGAAGCCATAGAGTATTCCTCCCCTTGCTGGGCTTACAGTATCCCCCAGTTTCTGATATCCCTCAAATTTGTAATAAGGCATAAACAATATACCTTAGCTTGAAAACAAAACAAAACAGTACGCCTTTGCATTAGGCCCTTCCTGCATCACTATAAAAAAATACCTGAGGCTGGGTAATTTACAAAGAAAAGAGGTTTAATTGGCTCATGGTTCTGCAGGCTGTACAGGAAACATGGCACTGGCCTCTGCTTCTGAGGAAGCCTCGGGGAGCTTACAATCATGGCAGAAGGCAAAGGGGGAGCAGGCACGTCACATGGAGTGAGCGGGAGCAAAATCGAGGGGAGGTGCCACAAACTATTAAACAACCAGGTTTCCGAGAACACATCCAATTATCACCAAGGGGATGGCGCTAAGCCACTGATGAGGGATCCACCCCCATGATCCAAACACCTTCCACCAGGCCGCACGGCCAGCACTGGGGATTATATCTCAACATGGATTTGGTGGGGACACAGATGCAAACCATATCAACCTTATAAAAATAAGCATTTATTTCATTTTAAACATTAAATGCAAAGTTTTCTTTTCTGGAAGATGCAGGCCAGTGAGCTAGAAGTAATACCTTACGACAGAATAGTTCTATAAAAATAGCTACTTTCAACTGGGTGCAGTGGCTCACGTCTGTAATCCCAACATTTTGGGAGGCCGAGGTGGGTGGATCACCTGAGTTCAGGAGGTCAAGACCAGCCTGGGCAACATGGTGAAAACCTGTCTCTACAAAAATACGAAAATTAGCCGGGCATAATGGCAGGTGCCTGTAATCTCAACTACTTGGGAGGCTGAGGCAGGAGAATTGCTTGAATCCAGGAGGAGGAGGATGCAGTGAGCTGAGATTGCACTAACGCATTCTACCCTGAGCGACAGAGCAAGACTCTGTCTCAAAAAATAAAATAAAAAAAAAGTACCTACTGCCAAGTGGCTGGAGAACATTTTATTCTGCTAAAGGGATTAAATATCCCCCACAAAAATTAAAAAGTCCTCACATCCATCCCCAAACTCATTGCTTACGCAGGACTTTCCTTGGAAGTATCAAAATCAAATATACTTCTATCTAACTTTGAGATTCTTCAACATCCATGTGGGAGTGGCAGGACTCTGTGTGGCCTGAGGGTGGCCTTGAGTGTGTGTCCGAGTGGAAGGCCCAGGATCTGGGGACTGACCTGGGGTCAAATGGCACAGCCAACTTTTTTTTTGAGACAGAGTCTTGCTCTGTTGCCAGGCTGGAGTGCAGTGGCACAATCTTGGCTCACTGAAACCTCTGCCTCCTGGGTTCAAGTGATTCTCCTGCCTCAGCCTCCCAAGTAGCTGGGATTACAGGTGCCCACCACCACACCTGGCTAATGTTTGTATTTGTAGTAGAGACAGGGTTTCGCTATGTTGGCCAGGCTGGTCTGGAATTCCTGACCTCAGGTGATCCTCCCGCCTTGGTCTCCCAAAGTTCTGGGATTACAGGCGTGAGCCACCACACCCAGCCAGCACAGCCAACTTCTAATGAGGCCACCTTAGACAAGTTACTTACTGTCTCTAAGCCTCCGTGTTCTCATCCATGAAATGGGTTTAATCACTCAGATTTGTTGAGATGATTAAAAAGGAAAATACCTGCAAGGCAATAGCACCATGCTAACACAGAGCTGGCTAGTCAGTTCCGGTGCTGGTTTGTCCTCTCTCACGCTCCGATTGCGAGGCCCCTTGCTTTTCCTTTCGCCTCCAGCAGCAGTGTATTCCCCCGGGGAGGCTGCCTTCAGTTGCAGGCTTCTTTGCACTGTTTCGTATGTCCTTTTCCCAGGCACCCGAGCAAGGGCCACTGGTTATGACACAGGCACTGAGGAGGAGCCTTGAATCAAGGGCAGAGCTCTGACTTTAAACTTTGACTCCCCAGGTGTGACCTATAGCCAGTCGTTGTCTGATCTGTGCCCCACTTTCTCATGTCCAAAATGAGAAGACTGAACCAGTCCTCTCCAATGCCTTTCGTATGGCTTTAAGATGAGGTATGTACCTCTCACTTGGAGGAGGGGCTGGCAAAACCACTTGAATTTTAATTTGAATTGAGGCATATTGGCAGAGGTTGTAAAATGTCCTCACATGGTTCAAGGAAGATGATGATGCCCTGCCTGCTCCTGGTGCCCCTTTCAGAGAGGTTAAAAGCCTTTCCATTATTTTAACTTTTTTTTTTTTTTTTTTTTTGAGACAGGGTCACGCTCTGTTGCACAGGCTTAAGTGCAGTGGCGCGATCTCGGCTCACTGCAACCTTCGCCTCCTGGGTTCAAGTGATTCTCGTGCCTCAGCCTCCCAAGTAGCTGGGATTACAGGCATGTAATCACGCCCAGCTAATTTTTTTGTATTTTTTAGTAGAGACAAGGTTTCGCCATGTTAGCCAGGCTGGTCTCGAACCCGTAACGTCAGGAGATTCACCTCCCTCAGCCTCTCAAAGTGCTGGGATTACAGGCATGAGCCACCGCGCCCGGGCTCTGGTTCTATTTTCATGATGCTATTTACAAGAGTAGGTGGAGCGCTCCTTCTATGGAACTTTTCATTTGGTAAATTGTGTGACTGTGGAAGTAAACCATGTCTGAAAGCTTAGGTATCTTCTTTCCGGCCTCAATTTCCTCTCTTCCTCTAAAAGCGAACTTCTTTCGCCTAGTTTGACCCTCGAGGCTTCCCATTTCTTTTGCCCCCCCCCTCCCCCCCGACGCATGCGCGAAAACGCGCTGACCTTTCAGCTTCGCGCTAGTGCTGTTTTTTTTTTTTTTTTTTTTTTAGCAATGGCGGTTCCCGGCGTGGGGCTCTTGACCCGTTTGAACCTGTGTGCCCGGAGAAGAACTCGAGTCCAGCGGCCTATCGTCAGGCTTTTGAGTTGCCCAGGAACTGTGGCCAAAGACCTTAGGAGAGACGAGCAGCCTTCAGGGAGCGTGGAGACAGGTGATGGCGCCGGTTTGCCCTGTAGTTCCGTCCCACAGCGGGCGAGGAGTCTGGGATCACGGGGAAACACGTGGCCTGTGGAAACGGCTGTGGACCCTTTGGCAAGAGGGTGGGGCTGTGTCCTGTCCTCTCCTCTCCTCTGATCTCTGTAGGGGAACCCAGGGTCGCCGCCGTTGCTGAGGCAGAAGTGAGATGTGTGATGTTTGTTTGGGGCGACTCCTGTGTACAGTAATGGAGTTGTTTAGACTTCCATGAAATTCAGGTCAGGAACCCAGTTTGCTTGCACTTTACAGTTTGACGAAATAGTGTTCCCAATGATAGTAATGCTACACACCTGAGCCAGTCGCTGCATCGTGTACGTATATTTCTGATTTTGATACATTAAGTTGTTGCTGGAGGCCGAGTTATATTGTAGCCTGATGAATCAAGAGGATTCTTGGTTCCTAGACATAGGGTTCTGTCTATGAAATGTACTGCCGTTTACTTTATTCTTTTTGGCCATTTTGAACCAAATCAGTCTGGTAACAGATTTGGATTCACTGCAACAGGCTGTTGTCCCGCGTTCGTTCTACATTTATATGCTTCTTTGTGTATTGAGAAGCCAGTGTTATTGAACCTCTCTTGTGACTCAAGAGCTTGTGTATTCTATTTACAGTTCTTAAAACGATCTTGCAAGAAATGTATCACTGTGTCCATTTTACAGATGTAGAAAATGGTTCAAAGAGGTAAATAACTTAGGCAAGGTCACTAGCTCAGTTAATTTAGACTTCTAGTCAAATTATTAAACAAAATGTATTGACTTCTACGATTCCTTGGAGCTATTTTTTCCCTAAAATAAGCTGGTGTCTTTATCAGACTGTATAAAAGACTTACATTGGCAGGCAGTGAGAAATCTTTATGTATTTCATTCAAATATTGATTGGATTGTATTTAGTGGAAGCTACTTCTGTTGAACATTTCTAAGTAACGCTGAAAATTTGAGTAAGGATTCTGCCAAAAAAGCTATTGTAATTTAACATTTGTATGGGTGTTTAAATTTGAGAGTATGTTCATATGCTCTTTGATATATGAAACAACCCTGTAGCGTAGGTGTGGAAGGAAATAACTGTTACTCCATTTTATAGATGAGGGAACAGGGTAGTCCAAGGGTAGCTTGAGTAGTTCAAGCTAAACTCAGCTATTCGGTGGCAAAAATTAAAAAACCCACTGTTTTTTTTTTTTCTTTTTCGGGACGAAGTCTTGCTCTGTCACCCAGGCTGGAGTGCAATGGCACGATCTTGGCTCACGGCAACCTTGGCCTCCCGGGTTTAAGTGATTCTCCTGCCTCAGCCTCCCGAGTAGCTGGGATTACAGGCACGTGGCACCACGCCTGGCTAATTTTTGTGTTATTAGTAGAGATGGGGTTTCACCATGTTGGCCAGGCTGATCTTGAACTCCAGACTCAGGTGATCTGCCTGCCTTGGCCTCCCAAAGTGCTGGGATTACAGGCGTGAGCCACCGCGCCCAGCCAGTAAAACTCACTTCTAATTCCAAGACTATACTCTTCATTTACTGTAGCTTTGCTATTTTTCTTTTTTAAGGAAATGTTTCATTTTGTGTCATTAGAATAATACGACTAAATATTCAGGGATTCTTGCAGGAAATAACAAAATCCTCATTTGGATGTCTTTACCATTTTAAAGAAGGACAGTTAAGTACACCTTATACTCACCTAGAAGCATGTGATTTTATAATTGGAAGGAACTTGAGAAATATCCAATTCAGTTTTTCATTCAGTGTGAGGATTCATTACCAGTTTATAGCAATAAGGAACATTGTTGCATAAATCAGTCAATTCCATTTTTGGTCAGCCTCTAATGGTTGAAAAATATTTATAGTGAGCTAAAATCTGTTAATTTCCCATTTCCAGGTTGGTCTTAGTTTTGACATAGGTTTCATGTTAGTAGTGGAAAGAGCTGTAGTAGAAAGACAATAAGAGTACATGGTGTATTATTCGGGATTCTTTCTGATACAGGTAACAGAAACTAACTCAAAATAGCTTAAGTAGAAAAGGGAGACTATACCAATCTGTGTAACCAAACTCCAGAAAGAGACATATATCATACTTTAAGGTCAATTGGTTTGACGTGGTCAGTGTGAGATATTTTCATTTTCCTTAGCTGTTTTTTGGTGGCCTTATAATCTTGGGCTCTTCTACATGGGATGTTGATGATGGGGGTGATGGTCACCAGCAGCTCCACGTTCACATGCTTGCGGCTTCCGATTGATCACATGCCCACCCTTTGGATGAAGAGGAGGTGTCCAAAATAGTCTGATAATCCCTATCTCATGGGGTGGGGGATAAGTGTGACAGTTCCACCACAACCACATAGAGTGGTTTTTTACTAGCAGGGGTGTGCTGTTACCAGAACTGTTACCTGAACAGGTTTAGCTGTTGTTTGGATGCCAGCAGCCAAACCAACAACAGCTAAACTGCAGGAGGCTACCCAGCTTATTAGGTATTTGACTTTGGGCAGTTTTTTTCACCTGCAGTGATACCTACCCTGTCTATCTTAAAAGGTTATTGTGAATTTCAGAAGAGTGTGTATGTGACAGTGCTTGGAAAACTATTAAGAGAAGGTGCTATATTATGTTTAAAGCCAGTGCTCAGCTCTCAGATTCTTACAGTTTTTTTTTTCCAGGCTGTAAATCCTCTCTTTATCTGTAGTAATTGTATATTAGAGTTTCTAGACTTTTTGTTATTCCTCTCTGGATGCTCTCTGGCTTATCTATTATGTCCAGAGTAGAACATGTACTCCATATGTGGCCTGATTAGTAAGTACCAAAGAAGTGTTATTACCCCTTAAATTTGGATTTTTAAAAACGTTTGTCTCAATAAGGCCTGAAGTTCTTTATATGAATTCATTCTCTTCCTATCCTCAATCCAGAAGTTAAGACATTCCTATGATGCATCAGACTTTCAGGCCTCTTTTATAAAACTGCTAGGTTAATTTTTCCCCCATTACGTGCATGCATCTTTATTTTGTTTTTAATTCTAAATACAGGATAGTATTCTGTCTTTTTTTTTTTTTTTTTCTTTTGAGAAGGAGTCTCTCAGTCACCCAGGCTGGAGTTCAGTGGCGCTATCTCGGCTCAGTGCAACCTCTGCCTTCTAGCGATTCTCCTGCCTCAGCCTCTTGAGTACCTGGGATTACAGGCACGCGTTACCACACTTGGTTAATTTTTTGTATTTTTAGTAGAGATGGGATTTCACTATGTTGGCCAGGCTGGTTTGGAACTTCTGACCTCAAGTGATCCACCCTCCCTGACCTCCCAAAGTGCTGGGATTACAGGCATGAGCCACTGCACCTGGCCTATTCAGTCATTTCTTAATGTTAGTTTGTGCTTACCATATTGTATTATCAAGACCATTGCACATTTCAATCTGTCATAAAATATTAGCACTTATTAGTTCTTCCTTTTAATTTGTTATAGATTTGATAAACCTTTGGTGAGGCAATAAATTACCTCAACTTTCTGTTCCCGCCTTCACAACTTTGTCATCGTGTCTACATCATTCTTAACCTACTGTTGTTTACGGCTTTAGATTCTACCTTTTTCATCTTCTCAAGCACATTGCTCCATTTTTTTTAATCAAACTTTTCTATCTCATTCTCAAATGTAATCCCTGCTCTTTGCCAGCAGTCCACCTGCAGGGATATATTTGCATAAATGTGCAAAGACATTGCATACAGATGACATTGCAGCATTGTTTGTAATAGTGAAAAAATGGTAAACCACCTAAATATTTATCAATAGAGATTTGGCTAAACTATGATAAATACATATTTAAGAGTATATACTTTTTAAAAGAAATAAAGTAAATGTGTATCTTCTGATACGGGAAAATGTCCCCAATATATTAAATATCTTACAGCATGTTACAGAATATATAGTAAGATTTCAGTAAATTTCAGTTGTGTAAAAGATGTGTATCTATGGATACAAGTGTATATGTTTACATATACCTTGAAAATGTCTGAAAAGGTAAGTACCACAACTTAATGGTTGGCTGTTAGGGTAAGAGGACTGGGAGAGGACTTATGCTTCTACCTGAGAAAATTCTACACTGTTTGGGCCGGGCGCCATGGCTCACGCTTGTAATCCCGGCACTTTGGGAGGCCGAGGCAGGAGGATCACCTGAGGTCAGGAGTTCAAGAGCAGCCGGACCAACATGGTGAAACTCCTTCTCTACTAAAAATATAAAAATTAGCCTGGCGCAGTGGCAGGTCCTGTAATCCCAGCCACTCGGGAGGCTGAGGCAGGAGAATTGCTTGAACCCTGGAGGTGGAGATTGCGGTGAGCCGAGATCACACCACTGCACTCCAGCCTGGGCAATAGAGTGAGACTCTGTCTGGAAAATAAAAAAGAAAATTCTATGCTGTTTGACTTTACTTTTACAATACGCAGTTGGACATCAGTTTAGACTCAGTAAAAATCAGAGACGAGTGTGTAGGTGGCATTCACAACTGAAAAGGTGGTAAGGTGGTCTAGGCAGAGCCTGTAGCATAAGAGAAGGAAATAAGGACCACTTGGAGGAAGGACAGTTGGTAGACTGAGATCTAATTGAAAAGAATAGCCTCTGCCCTCAATATGGAAGAAAGTATTCTTCCATATTGTTAAATAAATATAACACTATGAATTACATTCCTTCATAGTTGTTAAAGTAAGGTAATACAGAGGTGGAAGAGATTCTGCCATGGAGAGTCAGAAGTCTTCACAGACCTGAGCAAGATTTGGAGGGTGAATGGGAGTTTGCCAGACAGAAAATGAGAAGGTAGACATTCCAACCAGAAGGAAGAAGACATAGATAGTTCATAGCATGTGATAGTATTGTGTGTGTAGAGTACCATATGTGAAAAGTACAACAGAAAGAAATGGTATAAGTGACATGAAAGAGGGGAGATGGGACATGGTGCAAGCACTTTATACCCATGCTATGGAGTTGAGATGTGATCCTAAAGGCAGTGGGGAAACCATTAAAGGATTTAAGCAGGTAAGCCAAAGAATAAGACTTAAAAAAAAAAGACCATTTTATAAAGAACACTTTGGCAGTTATGTGGAGGATAGCTTGAGAAAAACAAAACTAGGGTGAATGAGACTAGTTTAGGAGTCAGATTATTGTGATACAGGCCTGAAATAAGAGATTGATGTTAAAGAATTGTCATTGGGAATGGAGGCGAAGGCACATAGTTAAAAGCTGTATTTTCAGGCTTGGCGTGGTGGCGTCATGCCTGTAATTTCAGCACTTTGGGAGTCCAAGGAGGGAGGACTGCTTGAGGTCAGCAGTTCAAGACCAGCCTGACCAACGTAGTGAAACCCCATCTCTACTAAACATACAAAAATTAGCTGGGCGTGGTGGCGCACGCCTGTAATACCGGCTACTGGGGAGGTTGAGGCATGAGAATCGCTTGAACCTGGGAGGCGGAGATTGCAGTGAGCTGGGGTTGTGCCACTGCACTCCAGCCTGGGTGACAGAGGGAGACCTTGTCTCTTTAAAAAAAAAAAGAAAAAAGATAGTAAGATAGTGGGTTTGGAGTATTTCCTTGATCCATCAGTTTCATAGCCTTTTGGAAGAAAATGAGGCTAAAAGCTTCTGCTGATTTCTATACATCATTTACATTTTCTGTTCTATTTAATTTCTTTGGAATTTTAAGATTTTTTTTTTTTTTTTGAGACAGTCTCCCTCTGTCACTCAGGCTGGAGTGCAATGGTGCAATCTCGGATCACTGCAACCTCCTGGGTTGAAGTGATTCTCCTACCTCAGCCTCCCAAGTAACCGGGACTGCAGACACACGACACCACGCCTGGCTAATTTGGGCAGGCTGGTCTCAAACTCCTGGCCTCAGGTGATCCGCCCACCTCCGTCTCCCAAAGTGCTGGGATTACAGGTGTGAGCCACCGCGTCTGGCCTTGTTAAGGGTATTGATATCAGACTTGGTGGTTTATGATCTCTAGAGTCTACCATTCCAGACTTTTTAAAGAAACACCTTAAACTACTTAACTGGAAGTTAAAATCTTGGGGGAAAAAAATTAGTTGTTAACATTCAGGTTTGTGCTTTAATACTCTCTTAGAACTTGAATAATTTTTTTCTCTCTATACTTAGTTCATTTGTTGACCTTCCCATTGTGGCTAGTGGGTTATTAATATTTAATTCTTCACTGTCACAATTCTTGTCTTGATTCCCTGTGATTGTAAAACTCCTAGCCTCTTTCTTTCCTTAGTAAAATTATCAGGGAGCTCTTCATGGGCAGTAACGAGGTTTTAAATTCTTTGATTTCCCTGATACAGAGCGCATGATAGTTGGTAACTCACTGTTAATTGTTTGAGCCAGATCAAGACCCTTGAGAAAGAAAAATGCCTTAATAGCTTATGTCAAAACACCGAATTTCCAAACTCATTGTCTCATTACACTCAGGCTTGTAATAATTTCTTTTAGGCTTTGGAATGTTACAATTTGCACAATTTTGTGTGTGCATATTTGTACAAGTATTAAATAAGTGATTTTAGTTTCCTGGTTTTTTTTTTTTTTTTTGTGGAACTCCGTTTTCAGCACTTTGCATCAAGCATAGTAAATCAAAACAGAGAAAGTGGGCAGTTTTAATAGTAGTCATGGGAGAGTAGTCAAACGAACACTGAAAGTGCAGTAATTCCACCTCATCCATGTTTTCACTGTCCACAGTTTCGGTTCCTCACAGTCAACTGTGGTCCACAAATAGGTGAGCACAGTACAATATGATATTTTGAGAGAGAGAGAGACCACATTCATATAACTTTTATTACAGTATATTAGAATTGTTCTATTTCATTATTAGTTGTTGTTAATCTCTGTCTCTTTTTTTTGAGACAGAGTCTCGCTCTGTTGCCCAGGATGGAGTGCAGTGGTGCAATCTCAGCTCACTGCAACGTCTGCCACCTGGTTTCAAGTGATTCTCCTGTTTCAGCCTCCCAAGTAGCTGGGACTACAGGCGCGCGCCACCATGCCTGGCTAATTTTTGTATTTTTAGTACAGATGAGGTTTCACCATGGTCAGGCTGATCTCGAACTCCTGGCCTCAGGTGATCCACCCACCTCAGCCTCCCAAAGTTCTGGTATTACAGGCATGAGCCACCAAGCCCGGCCCGTTGTTATTAATCTCTTACTGTGCCTAATTTATAAATTAAGCCTTATCATAGCAATGTATGTGTAGGATAAAACATTGTATATATAGGGCTTGGTAATATCTGAGGTTTTAAGCATTTACAGGCATCTTGGATCATAACCCCTGTGGGTAATGGGGAGACTACTGTAGTATAGTTTAACCCTTATAAAGGAAGAGAAAAAATAGATTAGGTGAAGTTGGTTTTAGTCATATATGAAGTCTTTAAACACCTTATCAAAATATTTTTAAAATTTTGTGTGTGTGCGTGTGGTGGAAATGTTTTTGTCTCGTTCATAGGCTTTGAAGACAAGATTCCCAAAAGGAGATTCTCTGAGATGCAAAATGAAAGACGAGAACAGGCACAGCGGACTGTTTTAATACATTGCCCAGAGAAAATCAGTGAAAACAAGTTTCTTAAATATTTATCCCAATTTGGACCTATTAATAATCATTTCTTCTATGAAAGCTTTGTAAGTATTTGAAAAACAATCTAACTTAACGTTTATGCTTTTCAAGGGTGGAGGTCTCCATTAGTTGTTTTTTGCTGTTGCTTTTTGCAATATGGTAGGTAGGTTCTCTTTGATATACTGCATCTTCTTTATCTAGATTTCTTTAATGAGTTTTGTTTTTGATATGGGATTCTTATAGCGGTATTTTAGGATTATAAGTCATTTATGACTGATTTCATTATTTGAATGCTTAATTTTATTTTTTAAGAGACGGGGTCCAACTATGTGGCCTATGCTGGAGTGCAGTGGCTGTTGGCAGGTACGATCATATTGCACTACAGCCTCGACTCCTAGGCTCGGGTGATCCTTCTGCCTCTGGAGTAGCTGGGACTACAGTCCTGCACCACCACACCCAGCTTGAATACTTTAGATAGTCTCTTTAACTTGCGGATGAAGGCCAGTGGGAGGGGATCTTTGTTTTGCCTTTGGATTTTTCTGCTTCATCATTCTTTTCAGTCTTTTCAGCTTCTCTTAACTAACATTGTTTTAAGGTTCCGTTTCTTTTTTTTTGACATGGAGTCTCACTCTGTTGCCCAGGCTGGAGTGCAGTGGCATGATCTTGGGTCATTGCAACCTCCGTCTCTTGGGTTCAAGCGATTCTCCTGCCTCAGCCTTCCAAGTAGCTGGACTTACAGACACCTGCCACCACGCCTGGCTAATTTTTGTATTTTTAGTAGAGGCGAGGTTTCACCATGTTGGCCAGGCTGGTCTTGAACTCTTGACCTCAGGTGATCTGCCCACCTCCATGTCCCAAAGTGCTGGGATTACAAGCGTGAGCCACTGCGCCCGGCCCAGTGTTCCTTTTCTTCATCTACTTAAATTGAATAAAATTAATGCTATGTTAGAATCATATCATTTGTAAATTTTAAAGACTTGATATTTTGTAGCATTATGATAATTGTTTTAATATATGAGCTAAAATAGTATGTTAGATATATCGTGAAATGTGTTCTGTTTTTTCTTATGTTTTTGGTATAGGGTCTCTATGCTGTCGTAGAATTTTGCCAAAAGGAAAGCATAGGTTCACTGCAGAATGGGACTCATACTCCAAGCACGGCCATGGAGACTGCAATTCCATTCAGATCACGTTTCTTCAATCTGAAGTTGAAAAACCAGACTTCTGAACGGTCACGCGTACGGTCAAGTAATCAGTTGCCACGTTCAAACAAGCAGCTTTTTGAATTACTTTGTTATGCAGAAAGTGTAAGTTTTTAGGTGTACCTCAACTTTTAGAACTATGTATTTTTTTATGAACAATAAAGATTCCTGTAAAATGTTCAAGCTACATTATTGTTTAATGGGTATAGATCTTCAGTTTTACAAGGTGAAAAGAGTTACGGAGATGAATCGTGGTGGTGGATGCATAATGAGATGAAGGAAAGTTTTTTTCTATTTCTAGCTTTCTAAGAATGTCGTCATGCTCAACACATTGAGTAGATGTTGAGTTTTGACATTTGAGATGGTATTGATGACTGGCATATGGTCTTGAGATTGTATATGGTTCCTAATGTCTTTTTCTTTCCCCTCCTAATGTCTTAACGTAGTGAATTGTAGATTCACTGTAGATTTCCTCATGTCAAGTCATTCTTGCATTCACAGAATAAACCCTACTTAGTCAAGGTGTATTTACAAAAATGCATTATTACATTTGTCGTGCTAATATTTTTATTACAATTTTAATATCTCTATAAATAAATGGGATTGCTTTTAAAAATTCAAACTACAGGATATGTTGAATGAAAAGTGATAGTAATCCTTGTCTGCTCCTTCCCCGCCATGCCCCATTTGTACTTACAGGTAACCACATTCTTCTGAAGTTTTCGGCCTTTTGAACAGTTTAGGTTTTCTTTCTCTTTCCAGCATAATGACATAAAATTGTACATGGTTTTCTGTCAATTTTAAAATGTCTTCTTTCTGATTCTCTCTCTCTTTTTTTTTTTTTTTTTTTGAGATGGAGTCTCGCTCTTGCCCAGGCTGGAGTGCAGTGGCATGATCTTGGCTTACTGCAACTGCTCCCCGATTCAAGCAATTCTCATGCCTCAGCTGCCCAAGTAGCTGGGACTACAGGTGTGCACCACCACACCCAGCTAACTTTTGTATTTTTAGTAGTGACGGAGTTTCGCCACTTTGGCCAGGCTGGTCTCGAACTCCTGACCTCAGGTGATGTGCCCACTTCGGCCTCCCAAACTGCTGGGATTATAGGTGTGAGCCACTACGCCCGGCCCAAGATTCTGTCTCTTCTGTGTTCAAATATTGTTTGTATTTGTCTTGGTGTTTTTTTGTTTGTTTGTTTTTGTTTTTGTTTTGAGACGGACTCTTGCTCTGTCGCCCAGGCTGGAGTGCAGTGGCGTGATCTCAGCTCACTTCAAGCTCCACCTCCTGGGTTCACGCCATTCTCTTGCCTCAGCCTCTCAAGTAGCTGGGACTACAGGCGCCCACCACCATGCCCGGCTAATTTTTTGTATTTTTATTAGAGACGGGGTTTCACTGAGTTAGCCAGGATGGTCTCGATCTCCTGACCTTGTGATCCGCCCGCCTTGGCCTCCCAAAGTGCTGGGATTATAGGCGTGAGCCACTGCACCTGGCCTGTCTTGGTGTTTCTTACTCAGACTTGCCAGACCTTGCTAGTCTTTCCAAAGAATCAACTCATGGCTTTATTTATCAAAATATTATTTTCAAGGTTTAATTTTCTAATAAGAAAATTTTTGCTTCTAATCTATTTCCTTTACTTTTATTGTTATTATTATTATTTTGAGACAGAGTTTTGCTCTTGTTGCCCAGGCTGGAGTGCAATGGCCTGATCGTGGCTCACTGCAACCTCCGCCTCCCAGGTTCAAGCGATTCTCCTGCCTCAGCCTCCCAAGTAGCAGGGATTACAGGCACGCGCCATCACACCTGGCTAATTTTTTGTATTTTTAGTAGATTTGGGGTTTCACCACGTTGGCCAGGCTGGTCTCTAACTCCTGATCTCATGTGATCTGCCTGCCTTGGCCTCCCAAAGTGCTGGGATTACAGGCATGAGCCACCGAGCCCGGCCTCTTTTATTATTTTTGAGTTGAATGCTTAGTTCAGTTCAGTTCAGTTATGTTACGTTATGTTATGTTATGTTAATGTTATGTTGTTATGTTAATGTTATGTTGTTATGTTATGTTATGTTACGTTATTTTTTGAGGTGGAGTCTTGCTCTGTTGCCCAGGCTGGAGTGCAGTGGTGCAATCTCAGCTCACTGTAGCTGCATACTCCTGGACTCAAGTGACCCACCTCAGCCTTCTGAGTAGCTGAGACTACAGATGCATTCCACCATGCCCAGCTAGTTTTTGTATTTTTTTTTTTGGTAGAGTCAGGGTTTCATCACGTTGCCCAGGCTGGTCTCACTCCTGAGCTCAAGCGATCCTCCCGCCTTGGCCTCCCAGTAGTTCACAGGTGTGAGCCACTGTGCCCAGCCAGTTGATATTTTCAATGTTGGTTTCAAATAAGAGCATTTGAAGTTACGATTTTTTTTCACTTCAGATACTCCAGTACACAATTTCAGTATGTGATCATTTTAATGCCAGTCTTCTAGTGGATAGACAGGATTGTTATTCTGAGAAACTGAGAGGTCTTGGGCCTTCATTACTTGAGTATTTCTAGTTTTTCTTGCCCTTTAACATTGGTCTTTCATCCCTTTGAGTTTAAAATGTCTAACGTGGTTGTTTTAACCTCTTCTGGAGTACTTTACTACTTTCATTTTCTTAAAACAATACTTTATACTCATCGCTTACAAAGTTTTAATTCTAGCCAACTTTCATTTTGCTAGTGGCATTCCTCAGAGCTTTTTAAAAATTTTAAAATATTATATAATTTATTTCTTTAGTGAAATAGAGACGAGGTCCTGCTGTGTTGCTTAGGCTGATCTCAAACTCCTTGCCTCATATGATCCGCCTTGGCCTTCCAAAGTATTGAGATTACAGGCATGAGCCACCGCGCCTGGCCTTCTCAGTGGTTTTTAAAGAGTATTTTTTTTTGAGACGGAGTCTTGTTCTTGTTGCCCAGGCTGGAGTGCAATGGTGCGATCTTGGCTCACCACAACCTCTGCCTCCTGGGTTCAAGCGATTCTCCTGCCTCAGCCTCCTGAGTAGCTGGGATTACAGGTATGCGCCACCACGCCCGGCTTATTTTGTATTTTTAGTAGAGATTGGGTTTCTCCATGTTGGTCAGGCTGGTCGCGAAATTCCGGCCTCAGGTGATCCACCTGCCTTGGCCTCCCAAAATGTTGGGATTACAGGCGTGAGCCACTGCGCCAGGCTTTGCATATTTCTAAGGTAGGTCTTCAACGCCACCAAATCTTTGAAAGTAAAATGGTAACTTTTTATGCGACCTGTACTTTTTCTCTATTTTGTTGGTTTTGTTTCGGCTAGCTAGATAGACGATCAGCTGAACACTCTCTTGAAGGAGTTCCAGCTAACAGAGGAGAACACTAAGCTCCGATATCTCACCTGTTCTCTTATTGAAGACATGGCCGCCGCGTATTTTCCAGACTGCATAGTCAGACCCTTTGGCTCCTCAGTCAACACTTTTGGGAAGTTAGGATGTGATTTGGACATGTTTTTGGATCTAGATGAAACCAGAAACCTCAGCGCTCACAAGGTAAGTCTATTTCTTTTGACCACTATAATCATGTAAAGTTAAGAAAGTATAAAAAGAAAAATCTTTGAACTTAATAAAATAGAACTGTTGATTTCTAAACTTATTAAACATTGTGGTTAAAGAATAAGGTGTATTTGTTATTGATTCTTTGGTGAAGTCTTTCTTTGTATTGTTCTACTATGTGATCATTTTTGTGAATATTCTGTAGATATGCAATCAAATAGTTAATTGTTTTCAAGTGTTCAGAAATTTTTCAGTTAAGTCAAAGTTACCTATTGTGTTATTCAAATTATGTATCTTAACTAATTTTTTCTTTTTAATCTTGTGATCTAGTTACTGAGATGTTTTTACATCTCATGATTCTTGGTTTTGTTAATTTCTCTTTAAAATTCTTTTGATTTTTGTTTTATCCAAAGGCTATATTAGCTACATATAGGTATACGATCATCATATTTCCTTATTAGATTGTTTTATTATTATATCCCTCATACATGCTTTATTCATCTCTATAAATACTTTTTTCTTAAGTTCTATTTTATTTGTTAATATGGCCGCTTGGTAGTTGTCTCACATGTCTTCTGTTTCTTTATTTTCAGCCTTTATATATGTTATTTTAGTTTGGGTGTATCTCTTATAAATAGCAGTATGCTTTTACTCCAGTCTATCAGTCTTTGAGTTCAATATGTTTATTGTTACTGCTGATAATTCTTGGACTAATTTCTCCTGTTTTATTTTTTATTTCCTATTTTCTGTGCTTTTGCTTTTCACTTTCTTTTATTTATTTATTTTTTTTGAGGCTGAGTCTCACTCTGTCGCCCAGCCTGGAGTGCAATGGTGCAATCTCGGCTCACTGCAACCTCCACCTCCCGGGTTCAAGTGATTTCTCCTGCCTCAGCCTCCTGAGTAGCTGGGATTACAGGCGCCTGCTACCATGCCCAGCTGATTTTTGTATTTTAGTAGAGACGGGGTTTTACCTCCTTGGTCAGGCTGGTTTTGAACTCCTGACCTCAGGTGATCCACACCCCTCGGCCTCCTAAAGTGCTGGGATTACAGGCATGGGCCACTTCCCAGCAGCTTTTCACTTTCTTTCTTCCTTTTATTGGATTACTCCTGCTTTATTCCTGCACTTTCCTCCTTACCCTTTTTTTCTCTTTCAAGTTTGGATATTATTTCTTCCATTTATGTTCTCTTTAACACGATGTCTAATGGTAAAATTAACCAGTGTCTCTTCCATCCTCCCAAACAATATAAATGATGTCTTAATTTAATTACAGTGTTGAAAAGGCTATTTATTTTTATTTTTATTTTTTTGTTGGAGATAGAGTCTCTTGCTCTGTTGCCTAGGCTGAAGTACGGTGACGTGATCTAGGCTCACAGCAACTTCCGCCTTCCAAGTTCAAACAATTCTCCTGTCTCAGCCTCCCAAGTAGCTGGGACTGCAGGCAGGGGCCACCATGCCCGGCTAATTTTTTTGTTTTAGTAGAGACAGGGTTTCACGTATTGGTCAGGCTGGTCTTGAACTCCTGACCTCAGGTGATCCATCCACCTCAGCCTCCCAAAAGTGCTGGGATTACAGGCGTGAGTCACCACACGCGGCCAAGGCTATGTGTTTTTATAAAATGTTTAGTTTCTATGGCTGTATCTTTCCTTACATCTTTCAAACTAGTAGTGAACATCAGACTTTATGTGGATGTCCAGTTGATATTTCAAACAATATTTTGAGACAACTTATATTCATCTTCCCACAAATGTTCTTTCTAAGTTCTTACAAAAGTTCTATATGTTTCACATGTTAATTAGTGGCATTTTAGCTTTGCTAACCATTCTTTTAATTCTGCTTCTAAGTTGTTATCTTTTGTATTCATAGTTTCACAGTCCCTTATAAACTCTCACTTAGATTATTGTAACTACATTCTGTTTCCACTTCTTATTCCTTGTGTCATGCCTTGATATTTTAACCTTCAGTCTTTGTTGGAGTTACCTTCACTCACAGTTTGAATTTTCCCACAAAGTTAGAATGCTTCTTTTCTTTAGCATAGTATTGAAATCCTCTGTGTCTTAATTAATTTTAGTCATCATTTCCCATTATATATTGTTACATACCCAATTTTCCAACTACATTGTTTTTATTTTTCTTTTTTTAAGACGGAGCTTCACTCGGTCACCCAGGCTGGAGTGCAGTGGCATGATCTTGGCCCGCTGCAGCCTCTGCCTCCTGGGTTCAAGTGATTCTCCTGCCTCAGCCTCCTGTGTAGCTGGGACTTCAGGCACGCCCCACCACGCCCGGCTAATTTTTGTGTTTTTAATAGAGATGGGATTTCGCCATTTTGGCCAGGCTGGTCTGGAACTCCTGACCTCAGGTGATCCACACACCTTGGCCTCCCGAAGTGCTGGGATTACAGGCTTGAGCCACCATGCCCGGCCCCAACCACATTGTTTAATTACCATTTCCAGTAATAGAAGGCACTTGTAAATATCATAATGATCAAACAGTTGTTCTGTGCCTTCACTCAGGAGTGCACTTTCCCTCCATTCCTCGACTCATTCCTAATGCAGCTTTCAAGGTCTAGTTCTAATTCTACCTTCTTGAAACCGCTCTTGATTTTTTTCTCCACTCCAGCCAAAATTAACCACTCCTTTTTTGTAGTATCTTGCAGGTATTTCTATCTGTCTCCAAATTTCTTCTGTCATGTTTAGTGAGTAGCTGATGTATGTATCTCCCACTATATAATAAACTTGGGCAGATAGGAATCATGTCTGTTCATATACTTATTCCACAGTACTGTGTACTTAATTTGCTCACCATATGCTTATTGAATTGAAGCTAGCCAGGCATAGGAAACAGATAAAAATTAAATGGGTCAGTTTTATTATAATAATAATTATTATTATTACTATTTTGAGATGAGGTCTCACTCTTTTGCCCAGGCTAGAGTGCAGTGGTATGATCTCAGCTCACTGTAACCTCTGCCTCCTGGGCTCAAGCAATTCTCCTGCCTCACCCGTGTGATTGAGACTTCAGGCTTACACTGCTGCTTCCGGCTAATTATTTTAGAGATAGTGTTTCATCATGTTGCCCAGGGTGGTCTCGAACTCCTGAGTTCAGGTGATCCACCCACCTCGGCCTCCCCAAGTGCTACGATTATAGGGATTACAAGCGTAAGCCACCGCATCCGGCCTGGATCAGTTTTATTAAGACTAACATGTACTTGAAAATATATTAAGTTCCTGGCAGTGGCACTTAAATTACATTAGGCTGTCTTAAATAAAGGATTGTAACTGAATAATCAAGGAGCATAACAGTGTGTTGTAATGGTTTAAAAAGCCTGGGCTCTGGCATCAAGCTGCAGAATTTTAATTCTACTTACTAGTAATGTGATCCTAGGTAAGTTATTTACCTTCTCTCTGCCTCAATTGTCCTAACTATAAAATTGGAATGGTGTTATAGCACATATCTCATACAATGTTTGAGAGGATTTATTGAGTTAATATGTGTGAAACATTTAGAACAGTGCTTATGGCACAGAGTAAGTGTTGAAATGTTGACCACCATCAACAGCAATATAATTTTACTCTTATGTAAGTGGGAGGCAAAATTTTTTCTTTGGTGGAAACAGGCAGGAGTTAGAAACTTTCTTCTTTTTTTTAAATTTATTTTTAATTAATTAATTTATTTTTTTTTGAGACAGAGTCTTGCTCTGTCTCCCAGGCTGGAGTGCAGCGGTGCCATCTCGGCTCACTGCAAGCTCCGCCTCCCGGGTTCACACTATTCTCCTGCCTCAGCCTCCCGAGTAGCTGGGACTACAGGCGCCCGCCACCACGCCCAGCTAATTTTTTGTATTTTTAGTAGAGATGGAGTTTCACCGTGTTAGCCAGGATGGTCTCGATCTCCTGACCTCGTGATCTGCCTGCCTCTGCCTCCCAAAGTGCTGGGATTACAGGCATGAGCCACTGCGCCCGGCCATTTTAATTTTTGTTTTCTTATTGACTCGTTGTTTCACCACGGTACCCAGGATAGTCTCGAACACCTGGGCTAACGATCCTCCTGCCTCAGCCTCCCAAAGTGCTGAGATTATAGGTGTGAGCCACTGCACCTGGCCTAGAAACTTTTAGTTGAGTCTTACTCTTAGATTTCTGAGGTATAGAGGTATTTAGAAAAAGATGTTTTAAAGACAGTGCTCCAGTCTTACTAAACAATTAGGCATTTTGGGCCGGGCACAGTGGCTCAAGCCTGTAATCCTACCACTTTGGGAGGCCAAGTCGGGTGGATCACTTGAGGTCAGGAGTTCGAGACCAGCCTGGCCAATGTAGTGAAACCCCGTCTCTACTAAAAATACAAAAATTAGCTGGGCGTGGTGGTGGGAGCCTATAATCCCAGCTACTCAGAAGGCTGAGGCAGGAGAATTGCTTGAACCCGGTGAGGCAGAGGTTGCAGTGAGCCGAGATCACGCCACCTCACTCCAGCCTGGGCGAAATAGCAAGACTCTGTCATACATACACAGAAATAACCAGAACTTGGCATTTCCTGTGTCAGTTTAAATTAGGAAAGTGTTGTTATAAACATACATGTGCTTATTTAAGGATTTTTTGGAAATATGTTTTTGTTCAAGATTATAATAGCTTTGCTAGTAAAAATATTAAAAATAAAATACAATAAAAAATACAAGTACTCTTACATTCATCAGATTCATAAAACCTTCTTTGACTACTTTCTGCATTCATGAGCTCTTCTCTTACCTTTTGTTTCTTTGATATCTTTTCACACTACACCTTGCTTTATAATTCTTTGTGTGTGTGTTTTATTCCTCAACTCAATCTGAGAGGAGTTAGGAAGAGTGTGTTAGACTTTTTTGCATGTCTTATGGCACTATGTATGATATCCCATGCACGATAGGGACTAAAATTATTTGCTAATGAATGAATAAAAGTTACTTACAGCTAGGCGTGGTGGCTCACGCCTGTAATCCCAGCACTTTGGGAGGCCAAGGTGGGCGGATCACCTGAGGTCAGGAGTTCAAGGCCAGCCTGGCCAATGTGGTGAAACCCCGTCTCTACAAAGATAACAAAAATTAGCCGGGCATGATGGCGGGTGCCTGTAATCCCAGCTCTTCAGGAGGCTGAGGCAGGAGAATCGCTTGAACCCAGGAGGCGGAGGTTGTAGTGAGCCGAGATTGCGCCACTACACTCCAGCCTGGGCGACAGAGCAAGACTAAAAAAGAAGGAAAGTTATTTACTAACTGAAATGTAGATTTTAATGTTCATAAATTTTTTAGTGTGTGTAAAAGTTGGTTACATGTGAAATATGTCACCTGACTTATCACAAAGATCATGTTAGCACAAAATCCTAAACTAAAATCTGCCTTTGGTCTTTCCTTCAGTTTTGCTTTTTCTTACAGGGTTCTGTATCTTAGAGGACTTAGGTAATAAAAGTAAGAATTAGTGCCTAAGTCTTGAGTACTGCTTTCTGTTATCTGAATGATTGCTGTGGACAGTGTGCTTAACTTCTGTTTTTTCTTTATTAGATGATTTGCTAATAAACAGATAGTGCTATAGGAATAGCACACATTAATAGGAAGTATTTATGGATCTAACTGTCTGTGAACAGTTTTTCTAGTTTTTATTTATTTAATAGAGGACAGTCATTTTTGAGAATATCTTTCCTTTGCTCATAATAAGTATAATTTTCATCTAAATTTTCCCTAAAGGCAGTGTTTTATTTCTGTACTGAGTCCATTGTGATTCTTCGTGGCTTGCATTTTTGGTCAGTCAGGTTAGGCTAGTTGATGCTTTGGTAACAAACAACTCCCATATCTCAAAGATCTCAGTGGCTTAACACATCACCTATTTATCTGTTGCTGAGGTTATATGTCACAGCAGGTCAGCATGGGCACTCTAGACATTGTAGTAGCTCAAGCACCCAGGCTGACCAGTGTTTCATCTCCACCTGCGCTACCATCACTGAATAGTGGAAAGGCAAAGTGAAGAATTGAGCATCGGCTCTTGAAGTTTCTGCCTGGAAGTGACACTTAAAACCTCTGCTCACATTTCACTGGCCAAAGCAAATCACATGAGTTTGCTTAACCTTAGAGGGGCAAGAACATGAGATCTTCCAAATGCCAGAAAGGTGATACAGAACATATGGTGAGCAGCTTCAATAACTACCACACTCCTGCTCATGGTTCACAGTTCACCACTTTCCTGCGCCCAGTTCCATTAATCAGAGCTATTTTTTCTTGTCATTTTCACTTCTGTTACCTCAAGGATTTTATTCTCTCATTTATAGTACTTAATTTAAAAAATCTCTGTCACCTTTCTTCTGAGTGATTCTAATCCTTCTGTTGCTTCTGAGATTGAGTCCACCATGACTCCTCCCTGATGTACTCTAGTACTGCTTTCTCACTTGACCTCTTTTTGCCATCCTGAGATAGACCCCCAATCTGTCTTTGCTTTTGTTTGGATTCCTATTCCTAACATAAATTGTGTGTGTTTGTATTTTAAAAGAGAATGGACAGGGAACTAGGTTATGAAGGTAAATTATAACAAAATGGCTAAGGAAGAATCTTGAAATTTTAATTTTTTAAAGGAAGTTTATTTTTAGTCCTTTTAATATAAAAATATCTAAATGACAGATCAGTAGAGAAAATGCCACATGTTTATTTGTAGGGATTGTATACAGTGATTTATTTAATCTATTTTTTTCTGATTATAAAATGATAGACATAGAAATACATAAGTATCTCTGTTGGTCACACTGCCTCCAGAGATAACCCGGTGAATAATTTAATATATTCTGGATTTTTTTTCCTGTGCGTATAGAAAAGCTTTTTTTTTTAAAAGAAAAAACCCAGAACATAATCTTTACCGATAATAACTTTAACTTCATTTTTTTTCCCCCATTAGTAGTGTCTTGGCAGTTCAATCTACTGTATCGCCCTCAGTGGCCGCAAAATACTCCATTGAATGGATGTACCATAATTTATTTAACCAGTCCTCTTTTTGTTGGATAATGAGGGTGGTATCTTTTTTTTTTCCCTCTTTCAGTGAAAGTGCCAAATCCTAGGCACTGGACCACTAGGTAACTTTTCCCCTCTTTATTGCCAACTATATATTAGTTAATATTCTTTGATTATACATTAGAGAAATAACACGAGTTAGCTTAAACAATTAAAGAAGTAGAGGAGGCATCATAGAACCCAGGGCCAGGAATATGGATGAGTCTTAGGAAAGGACTAGAAGTAAGAAGTGTAAACCATCAAGAACCCAGGAAGTGGCCGGGCCCAGTGCTTCATGCCTGTAATGACAGCACTTTGGGAGGCTGCAGCGGGAGGATCACTTGAGCTCAGGAGTTCGAGACCAGCCTGGGCAACATAGGCTGGGGGAGACCGCATCTCTGCTAAAAATAAAAAAATTAGCAAGGTGTGGTGGTGTGTACCTGTAGTTCCAGCTACCCTGAAGGTTGAGGCTGGAGGATTGCTTGAGTCTAGGAGGTTGAGGCTGCAGTGAGCTTGGTTGCACCACTGCACTTCAGCCTGGGTGGCAGAGTGATACCCTTTTTTTTTTGGATTCTCACTCTGTCACCCAGGCTGGAGTGCAGGGGCACAATCTCGGCTCACTGCAACCTTGGCCTCCTGGGTTCAAGCTATTCTCCTGCTTCAGCCTCCTGAGTAGCTGGGATTACAGGCTTGCACCACCATACCTGGCTGATTTTTTTTTGTATTTTTAGTAGAGATGGGGTTTCACCATGTTGGCCAGGCTGGTCTCAAACTCCTGACCTCAAGTGATCCGCCTGCCTCAGCCTCCCAAAGTGTTGGGATTACAGCCACCACAGGCAGCCTATGATACCCTGTTTCAAAAACAACAACAAAACAACCTAGGATGTGTTCTGTTTCTGTCTACATGTTTTTCCTTCATTTATTGCTCTCTCTCTCTGTCCTTAACTCCTTCCTCCCTACCCGCACTGATTTTCTTTTCTTTTTCATGCTTGTGTAAATATGGCTGCCCCAAAGCTTCTGAGTTAGATATTTTAGCCACATGGTTGCCTCTGAACCTTACTTAGTTCCTGTTCCCAGTAACCAGTTCCCAGTAGAGATCTCCAAATGAATGTGGGGTACACTCCTACAGTGCTTAGATCAGCTGTCTTTGCCCAGTCCATTCAGCTGAAAGGAAGGGGGTAGATGTCCATGATAAACATTGTTGGAGCCTTCATCCTTTTAGGAGGAATGAATTCTAGAAGAGGGAATAGTTGATAGGGAACCTTATTAAACTAGATACAGCTCCCAAAAGGTGTATACCACATGGATAGTACTGCAGTGAGTGAACATCTTTATAAATTGGCTCATTTATGCAAATATTCCTTTGACGTAATTTCTAACCATTTTAATAGTTAGCCAACGTATACAAGTTTCAGTAGATACGGACAAGTTCTACAAGAAGTATGTCCCTTGTTTACACTCCCATCAACAGTGTATACATGTTTTCTCATACGCGTTAGTTCTGGTCACTAACCTGTTTGTCTTTACCAGGCTGAAAAATAAAAAATCTCATTTCTGTTTTAATTTCTGTTTAGTTTCTAGAAAACATGCACAACTTTTATCATGGTTTTTAGCCATTTTTATTTTTTCTGTGAATTTTTTTGTCTTTTTTGCCCATTTTTAGAATTTGATGGGTTTCTCCCTTTCGTTTGCCTAAAACTGTCGTAAATTACCCGTTTGTATGATGTGTGTTATTTGCTTTGTTCTTTAGTAGTGAATGGATGCTTTGCCTTAAGGTGGTTTTAATTTTTTATGCAATCATATTCTTTTGTGTCTTCTCTAATTTTATGTCATGGTTACAGAATCTTTCGCTATTCTAAGATCGTAAAAGCATTCACTCATTGTCTTCTGGTACTTTACTGATGCACCTTTTACATTTTAGTCTTTGATCCATGTTGAATTTACTTCAGTTTTTTTTTTTTTTTTGAGATGGAGTCTTGCTTTGTCACCCAGGCTGGAGTGCAGTGGTGTGATCTCGACTCACTGCAACCTCCACCTTCCAGGTTCAAGTGATTCTCTTGCCTCAGCCTCCCAAGTAGCTTGGTTTACAGGTGCATGCCACCATGCCTGGCTAATTTTTGTATTTTTAGTAGAGACGGGGTTTCACCATGTTGGCCAGGCTGGTCTAGAACTCCTGACCTCAAGTTATCTGCCTGTTTCTGCCTCCCAAAGTGCTGAGATTGCAGGCATGAGCCACCATGCTCAGGGAATTTACTTGAGTTTTAGTAATTTATTTATTTATTTATTTATTTATTTATTTATTTATTTATTTTGAAATGGAGTCTCGCTCAGTTGCCCAGGCTGGAGTACAGTAGTGTGATCTTGGCTCACTGCAACCTCCATCTCCTGGGTTCAAGTAATTCTCCTGCCTCAGCCTCCCGGGTAGCTGGGATTATAGGCATCCGCCACCACACTTGGCTAATTTTTTTTTTTTTTTTGTATTTTTAAAAGAGATGGGGTTTCACCATGTTGGCCAGGCTGGTTTTGAACTCCTGACCTCAAGTGATCCACCCGCCTTGGCCTCCCAAAGTGCTAGGATTACAGACGTGAGCCACTGCACCCGGCGAGTTTTAGTATTAAACAAAGGATCTGGTTTATTTTTTTTGATGGCCACTTAACTCATTTGTTGAATAGGAATTTTCCCCTAGTAATTTGTGGCCTTAAATATTAAATTCCTATGTACAAGCCTGTTTACACCATCTAGTCTTCTTTCTTCTACTGATGAGCTCTTGTGCCTGTACTTCCATACTACTGTGGGTTTATAGCATAGATTAAAATATAATGGTCAACTGGGAAGGGGCAAGTATATGTTCACTGAATTTATAAGGTGAATGGTTCTATGCATAGTATTTATGATTCATTTTATACTGTAGTTCATAAGTTAATTACAAAAACCAGTGATCGTTCAAGTTAGTGCTTTGTATTTCTCTATATTCTGGAGAAACAGAAGGCAACTGGGGATCTTTTAAGTTTGCTTTTGGCTGTGATTTCTTGAAGAGTTTTTATTTTGTGGGTTGTTTTTTTCTTATTTTGTTTTGCTTTCCAGCAGTGATTTAGAGCATTCTTTTACAAAAGCTTATTAAAAAATTGTTTTTTTTACCAAAAGCTCCTATTTAGAAATGTGTTTATTTTTCAGATCTCAGGAAATTTTCTGATGGAATTTCAAGTGAAAAATGTTCCTTCAGAAAGAATTGCAACTCAGAAGATCCTGTCTGTGTTAGGAGAGTGCCTTGACCACTTTGGCCCTGGCTGTGTGGGTGTGCAAAAAATATTAAATGCCCGGTGTCCGCTCGTGAGGTTCTCACACCAGGCCTCCGGATTTCAGTGTGATTTGACTACGAACAATAGGTATGACCGCTTACATTTATTATTTTAAATATGAATATTCTGATATATTAGCTTAGTGTTTCTCACACAGAAACAGTGGCTTTGTAATCTTAAACATGCTTGAATAATAATTTTTTAAAAATTTATCACTTGGATTGAAAAGTAAGTAATCTTTTCTCTTACGTTATACCTGTTGATAATTTGGTGTTCCTAAACAGTGTTAGGATATTGTGTTAAAATGTTCACATATCTAACCTCTGAGAAGAAATGTATTTCATTATTCTTACTTGTGCAGCCTGGTAGTGTGTAGTGTGAAAGATGCCTATTTTTTAGGAGAAATTTCTGATGGCAAAAAAAGAAAAAAGTAAAATAAGAAAGAAAGATGCCTATTTATAGTACAAGCCTTCTAAGAATACTTAGAAAATAAAATACCAACTTGAAGTTGACCTTTGAATTGCCTCCAGATATATAGTCAACTTTGTGTACTAGACAAATGTCCCCTTTACTTAGGTCCAAAAGTGGTTGGAAGAGCTTAAGACCGGATGGCTTTTGTTCAGCCTATGTGCATTGTATTATCCTAGTGATTTGTTTGCTTAAAAAAGTGGGGTGGGAAAAGTTCTTTTGTACTGATGACTTTTCCTGGTTTCACAACAGGGAAAATTTCTTTATTTCATTTTTTTATCATTATTACTTTTGAGACGGAGTCTTACTCTGTTGCCTAGGCTGGAGTGCAGCACACTGCACGATCTCGGCTCACTGCAACCTCCACCTCCTGGGTTCAAGCGATTCTTGTGCCTCAGCCTCCCAAGTAGCTGGGATTGTAGATGCATGCCATCACGCTGGCTAATTTTTGTTTTTTTAGTGGAGACGGGGTTTCACCCTGTTGGCCAGGCTGGTCTCGAACTCCTGACCTGAAGTGATCTGCCTGCTTTGGCCTCCTAGAGTGCTGGGATTACAGGCGTGAGCCACTGACCCTGGCCCACAGTAGGGAAAATTTCTTAATTGAGAAGTTTATTTCTTAACTTCTCATTGCATGAGTTCATTTCACTATGTTATTTGTTAGCTAAATAATCATTACTGAAAATAGATTCAGAAAATCAAGGCTAGAGCAGTTTTGATTAAACTCGAATCTTCACCCACAAGCCAATCATAAGTACTTGCGACTTTCTCTCAAGTAAAACTCATGGAGTAAAGTCTGTGATTTCTTGACAAATTTTAGTATAAAAATATAATACTGTACTTTCTATCATTATTATATTTTCTTTGTAGTATGTAAAATAGGACAAAATTACATTTATCTTTGTAATTATGTTTTTTTCTTTATATCAAGATACCTTATACTTTTTGATATTTATTTTTAGCTTAATTTAGCTTCATTTTCATACATAAAACACTTAATCACAATGAATTTCTAAGTTGCTGTTTCTTCTTTTTCTTTTTCTTTTTTTTTTTTTGAGACATAGTCTTGCTCTGTCGCGTAGGCTAGAGTGCAGTGCCGCAATCTTGGCTCACTGCAATGCAACCTCCGCCTCCTGGCTTCAATCAATTCTCCTGCCTCAGCCTTCCGAGCTGGGACAGGCACATGTGATCATGCTGGCTAATTTTTGTAGAGACAGGGTTTCATCATGTTGGCCAGGCTGGTCTTGAACTCCGGACCTCAGGTGATCTGCCCACCTCGGCCTCCCAAGTGCTGGATTACAGGTGTGAGCCGCCACGCCTGGCCTTGTTTCTTCTATTCTTTTTAAAGACAGTTTTAGAGACAGTTTTAACTTGATGCTGTTAAATTATTTTTTTATGCCATCTGTTGGTTCTTGGAGAAATTACAAGACACGTTTTGATCAGTAGGAGCTTAATATTTTTAATTTAATTTAATTCTATTTTTACTTTTTTAGAGACAGTGTCTCTCTCTGTTGCCCAGGCTGAAGTGCAGTAGTGTGATCATAGCTCACTGTAGCCTCGAACTCTTGGGCCCAAACAATCCTCCTTTCTCAACCTCCTGAGTAGCTAGGATTACAGGTGCATGCCACCACGCCTGACTATTTTTTTAATTAAATTTTTAAAATTTTGTTTTTCTTTTATATATACATTTTTTATTTTTATAAAGACAGGGTCTTACTATGTTACCTAGGGTGGTCTCAAACTCCTGGGCTCAAGTCATCCTCCTGCTTTGAAATGCTGGGACTACAGGCGTGAGCCACAGTGCCCAGCCAATAAATGCCTTTTTGTCTTTATCGATTTTATATATATATATGTGTGTGTGTTTGAGATGATGCCTTACTCTGTCGCCAAGACTGAAGCCCAGTGGCTTAATTTTGGCACACTGCAGCCTCTACCTCCCTGGGCTCAGGTGATCCTCCCACGTCAGCCACCCAAGTAGCTGGGCCTACAGGTGTGCGACACCACACCCAGCTAACTTTTGTATTTTTTGTAGAGACAGTGTCTTGTCATGTTTCCCAGGCTGGTCTTGAACTCCTCGGCTCAAGCTATCTGCCCACCTCAGCTTCCCAAAGTTCTGAGATCACAGGTGTGAGCTACTGTACCCAGCCATTTATTAATAATTATAAAGCGCCTTTGTGTGTTTTACATATTATTTAAATCATGTTTAGAAACTTTGATTTAAAAATTCTAAGTTCTAGGCTGGGCACAGTGGCTCACGCCTGTAATCCCAGCATTTTGGGAGGCCGAGGCGAGTGGATCACGAGGTCAGGAGATTGAGACCATCCTGGCTAACACGGTGAAACCCCATTTCTACTAAAAATACAAAAAAATTAGCCGGGCGTGGTGGTGGGCGCCTGTAGTCCCAGCTACTTGGGAGGCTGAGGCAGGAGAATGGCGTGAACCCAGGAGTCGGAGCTTGCAGTGAGCCAAGATCGCGCCATTGCGCTCTAGCCTGGGCGACAGAGCGAGACTCCGTCTCAAATAAATAAATACATACATATTCTGAGTTCTAGATCTACATTTTCTTTATTTCTTTTTTTTTTTTTTTTTTTTTTGAGGCAGGGTCTTGCTCTGACACCCAGGCTGGAGTGCAATAACGCTTTCTCGGCTGACTGCAGCCTCCGCCTCCCGGGTTCAAGTGACTCTCCTGCCTCAGCCCCCCAAGTAGCTAGAATTACAGGCATGCGCCACCACGCCCAGCTAATTTTTGTATTTTTGTTTAAGACAGGGTTTCACCATGTTGGCCAGGCTGGTCTCAAATCCTGACCTCAGGTGATCCGCCCGCCTCAGCCTTCCAAAGGGCTGGGATTACAGGCATGAGCCACTACGCCTGGTCCTAGATCTACATTTTCTTTCTTTTTTTTTTTTTTTTTTTTTTGAAACGGAGTCTTGCTCTGTCTCCCAGACTGGAGTACACTGGTATGGTCTCAGCTCACTGCAACCTCTGCCTCCCGGGTTCAAGCAATTCTCATGCCTCAGCCTCCTGAGTAGCTGGGATTACGGGGGCACGCCACCACGCCCAGCTGAATTATTGTATTTTTAGTAGAGAAGGGGTTTCACCTCGTTGTCCTTGAACTCCTGGCCTCAAGTGATCCGCCCACCTCGGCCTCCCAGAGTGCTAGGATTACAGGCATGAGCCACCGAGCCCGGCTTACATTTTAATTATCAATTTTAAGAGGATGTTTTAATGGGAATGAATGTATTTGATATTCAGCCATTCATATTAAATTTTATATTGCAAATTCATAATGCTTTTGATTACCTAATGATGTTCTGAATACATTCAGATATAGTAGGATATTTAGATGTGTTTCTTGGTTTGAGTTTAATTTTACCCTTGGTTTATAATTTGGGGATTTGAACATTTTTCTTATTTTTATTTTTTGAAGGATTGCCTTGACAAGTTCCGAACTCCTTTATATATATGGTGCCCTAGACTCAAGAGTGAGAGCCTTGGTGTTCAGTGTACGGTGCTGGGCTCGAGCACATTCACTAACAAGTAGTATTCCTGGTGCATGGATTACAAATTTCTCCCTTACAATGATGGTCATCTTTTTTCTCCAGAGAAGATCACCCCCTATTCTTCCAACACTAGATTCCTTAAAAACCCTAGCAGGTAAGACTAGAAAGAAACTTCTCCATTTTCTTTTTCCAATGTTATGAGTAAATATAATTACCATGTGTTACCAAAGTCCCGTCTATTTGTTTATTAGTCATAAAATTTGTCTTGACTTTTTTTTAAAGTCTACCGGAGTCACGAGAGCAGATGATTTGGGAAGCTAGGGCCTTTAGCATTTTTTGAGAGTTCTGTTTTCTTTGTATCAGTTGGCAAGGTTGTTTACAGCAGTTGTGAGATAGCTGGAGCTTCTCCCCTAGTTGACCAAGTCTAGAATGACCTTTTTCAGATACAACTTGTTCAGATACAACTTTTGATTGGATCACAGTCTCAGAGATGACTTTCAAATCTGAACTTATGTTTAGACTTGTATTAGAGATACTAAAACTGCTTCGTGATGTTTCAAAGATTCTAAATGTGTTTTTAATGAAAAGCATATAAGCAGTCTTAGGTGCATTATTTTAAATTTGACATACTATATTGTTTGTATTATAAATGATTTTATAAATGCCTCCCAGATTCAAGTGATTCTTGTGCCTCAGCCTTGCTGAGGCCTGCTGGAGAAGTTATGTTATAAAATCTTGAAACTGTAAATGCTAAAGGGAAGATAATTAAGGGGTACATACACACAAATGCATACTGTCTTCTACCCGTCTTACATAATTGCTGCCTGATAATTCGATTAAGTGCCTTCTTGAATCTTCCTGTTTAAAATGACCTTAAGAGGCAAACTATTTACATAGCTTGGTGTTTAAAATCTTTAGCTCTCTAGACACGGCCCAGTTTTCCATGCTCTTCCCTACTCCTCTTTATGTGTCCCACATTCCAGCCAGTGCTGTGATTACCCTTGGAACATTTCATCTTAGCTTTTTGTTCACACTGTTTTTCTGCCTGGAATCTGCTTTCTCTTCTCCCAGTCTAAATTATTTCTTCCATGCTACCTTCCTTTATCCATATTAGAAGTGATCTCTTCCTGTTAACACTGTAAGTGTTGATATTGTTTGAAATTGACCTTAAAAAAAGCTTGATTTGTGTTTACAACTAATTGATCACAACCAGTTACAAATTTCTGTGTTCCTTCTCCACTCTCACTGCTTCACTTGACTAGCCTAAAGAAATAAAGTAAAATGAAATAAAATAAAATAAAATAAAGCTAGATTTGATAGGTTAAGGGAAAATGGGAAGTTTTCAGTGGGGTAGAGTGGTGGTCACTTATCTCACTTTTGAGATTAAAATAAAGGGCAGCATCAATATCTGTGCTCATTTCATCCCTTAGTGTCATTCATTCAGTATTTACTGATTACTTCCTATGCGTCAGGTGTTATTGGAGTAGTGGGGGTATGAACAGTGTTCCCAGATAACTCACAATCTAATGGAGAGGTAAGCCATACATAAGATATGGGCAGATCTTCACCACTAAACTACCTGTAAGTAGCACTTCCTTTTCCACTCCTGCTGTGTGCAGTGGTGCTTAATGCTACTCTCATAGAAACCATCGTGGGGAAAAATAACGGAACTTTGGGAGTTCAGAAACTAAGAAACAGTAGAAGCTGTAAAAGGAGGAGCAGAAGAAAGTTGAACTTGGGGTAGACTACTCCTAAGCATCTTGATTGCTCCCTTCAGTCTTACAAGTACTGGTACCCCTGCCCATGTTAAGGCCCTGTTGTCCTCTGCCTGGGAAGGCTTATGTTGTCTTTCCTCCTTATCTCAAGTTTGGTTCCCACCAATCTATTCTTAGTTAAGAGAGTGATTTTCACAAACACATATGATAGTATTACCCTCTTTTGCAGTCCTTCAGTAACTTTCTATTATCTTTTTTAAAAATGGTCACTATTTTTTTAAAAATTTTATTTATTATTTATTTATTTTAAGAAAGGGTCTTGCTCTGTTGCCCAGTCTGGATTACAGTGGCACAATCTCGGCTCACTATAGCCTCGACCTCCCGGGCTCACGTAATCTCACTTCAGCCTCCTGAATAGCTGGGACTATAGGCATGCACCACCATACCTGGCTAATTTTTTAATTTTTTGTTGAAACGGGGTCTCGCCATGTTTCCCAGACTGGACTTGAACTGGGCTCAGGGGATCCTCCCATCTTGTTCTCCCAAAGTGTTGGGATTACAGGCGTGAGCCACTGTGCTCTACCTTGTAGGCAGGCTGGAGTGCAGTGGTGCAATCTTGGCTCACTGCAACTCTGCCTCCCAGGCTTAAGTGATCCTCCCACCTCAGCCTCCTCAATAGCTGGGATATACAGGCTTGTGCCACCACTCACTCAGCTAATTTTTTAAAAAACTTTTTGTAGACATGGTGTCTTACTATATTGCCCAGGCTGGTCTCAAACTCCTAGGCTCAAGCGATCCTTCTCAGCCTCCCCAAGTGCTGGGATTTTAAATGACCTGTTGAGTTTTTAATTCCAAATCTACATTAAAATACATTTAAATATGTTCACATCGTATAGCATCAAAACAGGCAAAACTAGCTTGGAATTCTTTAATATTTCACTTGAAACATCAAATTTGATTGTTTTTAAATTTTTGCAGTAGTTTTTAAATACGGTAAGAGAATTTTTCAGGCTAGTTTTTGCAATTGCTTCTCGGCATATAGCACATTGTAGGTGCGAATTGCCAATAAATGCCAAGCAAAATACACTTTTTGCCTTCCATCACCTATGGTTTTTGAAGTTGCTGTAAAAGAACTTGTCTTAGATTAATGTATATTAAGAATTTGGTGAAGATCATTTTGAGGAGAATTTATCAATATTTTCCTTTTCCTTTTTTTTCCCTCCAAAATCCATGGTTTTTATACTTTCTAATTTTGACCAGTAGTTCAACTTTGGTGGACATTAAACCTAAGGAAGAAAACAATTTTAAACTGTGAAACAATCAAAACCATATTGAGTACTTGGTGTTTAATCATGTAAGTGACCTGAATCTTGTGTACAATCATTTCATTTCTTCTAAGCTGTACCTCTCATTTGATATACAAATAATCAATTTGTTCTTTTTTAAAAGAAAAAATATTTTATTTGCTTCCTTGCTTGTTTATTAATAGAAGGCAACATGAATTCCTAGAATACCTTCCAGAACTTCTAGGATTTTGTAAACTACTATTTAGAACCTAAGCTAAGCTAAAGACCAAACTTTTTCACATTGTATGCAGGGCCCTTTATCACCTTCCTTTTTATCCTCTTCTTTTACGTTGATTCCTGTATACCAGTTGGGAGCTTTAGCCACTCTTGAACTCCTTGATGATCCCTGATGTTTTGTGCTTTTTTTCATTGCTCCATGCTTTTGCCTGAAATGGCCTTCTCCCAGCCTCCCCCTCCCAGCCACCCCGCTTTTTTTTATGGAGAATCTCAAGATTAAGCCAGAGAAGACAGACAAACCTAGTACAGGATCTCATCTGTTAGGTCTTTTCTTGCTGTCCTCTCTGCTTCCCAGTGGGTAGTGCTTTGTTGGTTTCCAAGCTCTTGGTACACACCTGTATTGTAACAACTGTTAGATTGTTGTAGTTCTTTTATGTGCCTGCCTCAGCATTGTCAAGCTTTTCTAGGGCTAGCTGTCTGCTTCACCTCTGCGTCTTCTGTTCTCGGAATAGTATTGGGTTCATAGTAGGAGTTCACTATGTAGATTTCAAAATGATTGGATAACATTTTAAAGTTGAGGGCTGTTTGTACTGGGCAAGATGGACCATGATATTAACTTTCATATTTGGTTCCTCTTGAATTGCCCTGTTTATTTGTGTTTTCTTATAATCTCCACTGTGTTCTCTCATATGTCTCATTTTCTTGTGTTTTCCATGCTTTCTGGCTTTGCTACTTTTGTTACATTTACTTCTGTGCTTAGTGCTTTAATTGAAGATTCATTCCTGAAAAAAGACACAGCAGCTAAAAGAGCATCAATATATGTGACTGACACTGCATCACAAAAAAACATACACTGTTAATTACTTGAAATAGTAAAACATGTGCTCAGGTTCCTTAAAAATAGATCTAAGTAGAAATATATATACATACATACATTTTATATAGCTCCTTCAACATATTATAAATTGTATAGTAGAGCACGTAAAATGTGCTATTAAAATGTTAAAACCTAGAATAATTTTTGAGAAATTATGCAGGTAACCAGGTCTTGACAAAAAAATGACAAAAAACACAAAAAATGGGAGATAAATTTATAGGAGGCTTATTTATCTCTCTGGTGATTATAGGCATTTAAAGTCAAATATCAGGGCCGGGCACGGTGGCTCACGCCTGTAATCCTAGCATTTTGGGAGGCCGAGGCGAGTGGATCACTTAAGGTCAGGAGTTTGAGACCAGCCTGGCCAATATAGTGAAACCCTGTCTCTAACTAAAAATATAAAAATTAGCCGGGTGTGGTGGTGTTCGCCTGTAGTTCCGGCTACTCAGGAGGCTGGGGCAGGAGAATCACTTGAAGCCGGGACGCGGAAGTTGCAGTGAGCCAAGGTCACGCCGCCACTGCACTTCAGCCTGGGTGACAGAGCCAGATTCCATCTCAAAAAAAAAATTAAAATATCAGCAGTCATCCAGATTATTGATTATATACCTGCTATATGCTAGATGCTCATTGGGGGCAGGTCGGTGGTGGGGAGTTGGGCAATAATGAATAGGACAGTGGCCTTTGTAATTCCTGACTGGGGCAGAGGAGTGGACAGCATACAAACAGTCACAATGCAGTCAGATAAGTCAAATGGTGAATGGAACAAAAAGGATGGAAAACCAGTTTGGAATTATGAAATGCTTTCAGATAGGAAGTAGCCATTGATGAGATTTCTGAAGAGTGGGAATTTGCTCTTGAAAACAGCATAGTATCTGTTGCAGATAGTGTGGGCCAGGGATTTCATGGTGGTTGTATATTTATGAAAATGATTACCTCTTAAGATATAAATACTAGTAGGAAAGGTGAATATCTGAGTCTAACGTGCTGTTATTGAGTTTGTTTTGCTGAATTACTGAATTCCAGTTAGTCTAGAGTGCTACATTTTAGAAATTACCTGAAGCTTTTTTAGTTAGCATTCAGTTTGTGTCGTGTATGAAGATGATAAGAATGGAATTGGAGATGTAAATTAAGTATTGACTAGAGGTAGTGCTGAAATTTGGTTTGGTGAAAGATGGGGGAACTCCCTACATTTCCATCTACTGTTAGAAAACTGATTACCTCAAAAATTGATTAGGAATCATTGGGTTGTTGAAAGACAATAATTCTAGTATGCTAAATTAAATGTAATGTTAATTTCACTGTGGCATAACTAGTCTCAAATCTTTTTTTAAAATATAACTCCATTAAAAGAAGATAAAAAGATTTGAGATTAGTTATGCCATAGTGAAATTAACATCATTAAATCATAGACAAGAAATTATAGATTAAATCGTTATTTAATCATTCAGTCATAATTATTCAATCATTTATAAAATCTGTGATTTAAATAAAGAATAGAGTAGAAATTTACTTAAATTTGTTTTGTTTTGTTTTGTTTTGTTTTTTGAGATGGAGTCTTGCTCTCTTGCCCAGGCAACAGTGATGTGATCTCAGCTCATTGCAACCTCCGCCTCCTGGGTTCAAGCGATTCTCGTGCCTCAGCCTCTTCAGTAGCTAGGATTACAGGAGCAAGCCACCATGCCTGGCTAATTTTTGTATTTTTAGTAGAGATGGGGTTTCACCATATTGGCCAGGCTGGTCTCGAACTCCTGACCTCAGGTGATCTACCCGCCTCAGCCTTCCAAAGTTCTGGGATTACAGGTGTGAGCCACCGCGCCTGGCCTTAAATTTATTTAAATCATAGATTTGTATTCTGAGGTAGGGAATATCTTTGAAATATGTGAAATAGGCTGGGTGCGGTGGCTCACGCCTGTAATCCCCTCACTTTGGGAGGATGAGGTGGGTGGATCACCTGAGGTCAGGAGTTCGAGACCAGCCTGGCCAACATGGTAAAACCCCATCCCTATTAAAAATACAAAAATGAGCTGAGCGTGGGGGCATGTGCCTATAATCCCAGCTACCCGGGAGGCTGAGGCAGGAGAATTGCTGGAACCTGGGAGGTGGAGGCTGCATTGAGCTGAGATCATGCCGCTACACTCCAGCCTGGATGACAGAGTGAGACTCCATCTCAGGCAAAGAAAAAAAAAAAACACGTGAAATATTTTTTGTTTGTGTTTAAGATGCAGAAGATAAATGTGTAATAGAAGGCAACAACTGCACATTTGTTCGTGACTTGAGTAGAATTAAACCTTCACAGAACACAGAAACATTAGGTAAGTGTCTTTCTGTTTACTTGATCCTTTCTGGATTGAAACAGGCTTTCCTCTGATTGTCCTTGTTTTATTTTCTTACAGAATTACTACTGAAGGAATTTTTTGAGTATTTTGGCAATTTTGCTTTCGATAAAAATTCCATAAATATTCGACAGGTAAATAATGTTTTACTATTTAGTTATTAGTATCTGGTCTTCCACTGTACTAATATTTAATTAACTGTTTTCAAAACACTCTAATAAATGTTATTTATTTCTTTTGTGTAGTAATTTGTAGTAACAAGGAGGTTGATGTCCAGAGAAGTTACATGACTTGACTAAGATCAGTCATCCCTTTATGCCAAATAGTAAAAGCCAGCTCTTTAGCATCTGCCTTGTTATTATGCCATGGGACTTCTGTCCTCACTTAGTGTAATACTGTATCCCTCATGATGTGGAATACATTCCAGAAAGTTTCCTGAAAACTATTATTTACATACAGCTGTTTTTAAACTGGATTTGTGTCTATGGAATAAACTTAAGTCCCAAAGATAGATTTCAGTGATTCCCTCAATTTGAGCCCTTAGGATTTAGGTGTTTTTTTGTTTTGTTTTGTTTTGTTTTGTTTTTTTTTTTTGAGCAAATGAACTTACGATTTGGATTTCTGAGCAGCTGGGATGAAAGACATTTTTTCTTTTCAAAAAGAAACTCAGGCAGAAGTCTAGACAAAATTTGTTTGCAAGTGGGAGATAACTTGGGATAGCCCTCTGTTTGGGTTTATTCTGTTTAGCATTTGGCTACTTGATTACAAACCTTACAAGATTGGCTTCATAAAACACAAACCCAGATATACTTTCTCCTTATTTCTTCACCTCTCCGTTTTTCATCCTTCCCTCTTACCTGCTCATGGACTCTTTGTTAAAATAAAAGATTGGGGAGAGGAGAGAGAAAGGATTCATTCGGAAAGCTTTGCAAATGCTATCTAGAAGGAAAAAGTCATAAGCATACAAAGTTCGTCACCTTTTTTGTACTCCAAAGCTCAGAGATGCCAAGCATGAAATAAGTTAGGGAATATAACAGCTGCTGCTCACATCAGGGAATTTTGACCATTGGCTTTGTAATAGTTAATTAAGTAAATTTATGGTATCATTTGAAAGAGGAAAAGATATATAGACTAATGGCTTATGTTAGTCATATGATTCATAGCTTTAGCTTTTCTTTTTCTTTTCTCTTCTTTTTTTTTTTTTTTTTTTTTGTTTTTGTTTTTTGAGACAGAGTCTCACTGTATTGCCCAGGCTGGAGTGCAGTGGCATGATCTTGGCTCACTGCAGCCTCCGCCTCCTGGGTTCAAGTGATTCTCCTGCCTCAGCCTCCTAAGTAGCTGGGATTACAGGCATGCGCCACAACACCTGGCTAGTTTTGTATTTTTAGTAGAGATGGGATTTCACCATGTTGGTCAGGCCTGTCTTGAACTCCTGACCTCAGGTGTTCCACCTGCCTCGGCCTCCCAAAATGCTTGGATTACAGTTATCTTTTTTATTTCTGTGAGATACTATCTTATGTGGCAGAGCCCTTTTGTTGGATCTATAGGAAGATAATGGAAACTTTTTAGTGTTTTAAATAAATAATGAATAATCCTTTGTTCCTCCTCTTTTTCCTCATCTCATACTTGGGAAACATTAATTAATATATTTAATTTAAGGGTTCTAATTTTGTGTGTTCCTGTTTCTACCATAATAGGTATGCTTTTAGCAAGTCTCAGAAATAAACGTATCTTCATCTTACTTTCTGATTTTTTAATCATTTTTTTCCCTTTCATGCTCTACCTTGTTAGGTAAAAGTTATATTATTTTAAAA